>NC_000016.10:22425879-22728910 GCF_000001405.40 Homo sapiens
AAGAAGTCTTAAGAAGCCTTACTGGAATTCCTCACTTGGAGAGCAGCAGTGAGATCCCAGGCTGCAGGGACAAGAGGGAGGAAGGCAGGGGGCAGTGACGGGTGGGAGATGGTGCATGCTGGCTCTGGAGCTGACTGTGCAAATCTCTTCCCAACTCCACTATTGGTGACTGCACCTTCAAAACTTGAACTCGGCCATGCAGGGGTAATTGCACCATGGAAAGTGGCGAACACCACACATCACCGCTCTTGTACCTCCACCCAGCCCCGGAAAGCCAGCTGCTAGGCCTGTACCAGCATTCCCCACCCATGGACTCAGGAGGGCCAGGCTTACCTGGGACCACTTCTGAAAGTTGCACCAGCCCCAGCTTCCCTGAGGACAAGGCTGAGTCACGAAGCATGGACGAGGCTGAGCTGCAGTCTGCACAGGTGGAGTTAAACAGGCCATAGCCAACTCGCCCCTCACCCAGGGTCTGCACAGACCTCACCTGCAGCCAAATTACATTTGAGCACACAGTAAAAGGATGGAAACTGATGATCCTCCTGCTCCCTCCCTTCCATTTCTTTGCTCTCAGTTTAGTCACTGTTTTTTGTTTGTTTGTTTGATTGTTTGTTTGTTTTTGAGACAATGTCTTCTTGCTCTGTCACCCAGGCTGGAGGGCAGTGGTGCAATCTCAGCTCACTGCAACCTCCGCCTCCTGGGTTCAAGCAATTCTCCTGCCTCAGCCTCCTGAGTAGCTGGGACTACAGGCACGCACCACCACACTTGGCTAATTTTTCTATTTTTAGTAGAGACGGGGTTTCACCATGTTGGCCAGGCTGGTCTGGAACTCCTGACCTCAGGTGATCCACCTGCCTCTGCCTCCCAAAGCACTGGGATTACAGGCATGAGCTACTGCACCTGGCCAATTTAGTCACTTATTTTATTTTATTTTATTTTATTTTTTTTGAAACTAAGTCTCACTTTGTTGCCCAGGCTGGAGTGCAGTGGCGTGATCTCGACTCACAACTTCCGCCTCCCAGGTTCAAGCAATTCTTCTGCCTCAGCCTCCCCAGTAGCTGGGATTACAGGTGCTTGCCACCACGCCCAGCTAATTTTTGTATTTTTACTTTTTTTTTTAGACCAGGTTTCACTCTTGTCACCCAGGCTGGAGTGCAATGGCACGATCTCGGCTCACCGCAACCTCCACCTACCAGGTTCAAGCGATTTTCCTGCCTCAGCCTTCCAAGTAGTTAGGATTACAGGCATGCACCACCACGCCTGGCTACTTTTGTATTTTTTGTAGAGATGGGGTTTCTCCATGTTGGTCAGGCTGGTCTCGAAATCCTGACCTCAGGTGATCTGCCCGCCTCAGCCTCCCAAAGTGCTGGGACTACAGGCGTGAGCCACTGCACCCGGCCAATTTTTGTATTTTTTAGTAGAGATGGGCCTTCACCATATTGGCCAGTCTGGTCTTGAACTCCTGACCTCAAGCAATCCACCTGCCTCGGCCTCCCAAAGTGTTGGGATTACAGGCATGAGCCACTGCACCTGGCCACTTTTATTTGCTTGTATCAGGACTCTTGGAAGCAAGTGATAGGAACTTAAATCAAACTGATTTTAAAAAGAGGCTTATTAGTACAGGGGTTGACTTGGCTTCAGGTACAGCTACATTCAGAGGCCCCGAAATTGGCTTGGGCCTTGATATCCCCCACCTTGGCTTTGCCCTCCTGTGTGGACACTTTCTCAGGAGGGCCCTCACCTGCTGCGGGGCACAGCTATGGAAATAATCTCTTTAAATACGTCCCAGAAAAAAACTCCTTGGCTCTCATTGGCTGGTCTTGAGTCACGTGCCCATGCCTGTACCAATTGCTGCAGCCAGTGACAGGGCTGTTCTGAGTGGCCATGCCCAGGTCCCCACCCACTCCTGTCTCTGGACCCCGTGAATGGGAGTCGGGGATGGGCTCCCAAGGAAAACAGGAATGTTGGACCCAGGACGCAGGAGGATGGAAGCCGAGCCAGCAACACAGCAGATACCCTTACAAAGCCACGGACTGGCGGGATCAGCGGCACCTGGGAGCCTGCTGGCATGAGATTCTTGGATCTGCCTTGCACCTGCCAAGTCAGAATGTCTAGAGGGAGCACAGGTTGTGTTGTGTGTATGTTATTGTTATTATTATTATTTTTTTTGAGAGACAGGATCTCACTGTGTTGCCCAGGCTGGAGTTAAGTGGCACAATCCCAGGTTACTGCAGCCTCAATCTCTTGGGCTTAAGCAAGCCTCCTGCCTCAGCCTCCCGAGTAGCTGGGACCACAGGCATGCACCACCACGTCCAGCTAACTTTTTTATTTTTATTTTTGTAGAGATGCATTCTCGTTACCCTCCCGCCTTGGCCTATCACAGTGCTGGGGTTACAGGTGTGAGCCGCCGGGCCGACAGGAGTCTGTGCTCCAACACACTCTCCAGGGGATGTTGGTGCACACTGGTGTGTGAGAACTGTTTGTCAGCCCCCCACTAAAATTAGCATTTTATTCACTGATGTGAATAATATCCTCGCCAGGACCAGGTGTAGTGGGGAAGGGGAGGTTCCAGGGAAAGTTGCGAGGCTGTTCCTGAGGAGGGTGTGCCACACAGACAGGCACGCAGGTTGAGATTCTTGACCAAAAGCAGCCTTTGACTAGTGATCCTGGGGGATAATTACCATCTGCAGTTGTCTTGTTTTCTAGCCTAAAACCTGAGCCTGGGTTCCCTTGGGGATACAAAAAACATCTAGATTCCAAGGCACACCTGCTGCCACGAGCTGAACAAAAAATAACAAGTGTGCCCTTAAAGCACTGCAGGGATGTTCCTGCTCCACCGCCAACAGGGCTGAGGCGTGGGCTTGTTCTTGCCCTGGGGGGTGAGGGACGGGCCTCCCGTGCAGACCTCAAGGCCCAGTGGACACAGCCTCTGCTGGGCTTGAGCCAGAGGCCCATCTGGGCCCTGGGCCGGCTGCCGGCTCTCCTGGGGACTGACTGTGACCTTGGCCTCACTCACCCAGAGTGCTGGTGCTTCCTCTCTGCATGGGGGTCAGCTCCTGGTGGCCTCCTGCTGGATTTTGTGGATGTTCGATGCAGATTATTTCTCTAAAGGGTGCCTGCTCCCCAGATTCCCTTCTTTGCAGAGCACAGAGTCCCACTGGGAGGCCTCTGTGGCCTCTGGCCAAGGAGTTCCCCAAGCCTCCTTTTTCCCCATCTGTAAAATGGGGACTGGTCTGTGTCTCCCACGACTGTTGAAAGGAAGACTGCAGTGGTGCAAGTGAAGCCCTTGGTGAGGAGAAGTGAGTTGGTGAAGGGCTAGAATCTGCAGTCGAACGGAAGCCGGCTCCTTGCACTGGGTCACTCACCCTTGGAAGTCGCCCCTTCTCTGAGCCTCCATTTCTTGCTACATAAAACGAGGGTCCCGCAATACTCTCTCTAGTGGCTTCTGTTTTGTGCCATGCTGCTATTCATAGATGGCAGTGCTTTTTTTTGTTTGTTTGTTTTCCATGATGGAGTCTCGCTCTGTCACCCAAGCTGGAGTGCAGTGGCTCAATCTCTGCTCACTGCAAACTCCACCTCCCAAGTTCAAGCGATTCTCCTGCCTCAGACCCCCGAGGAACTGGAACCACAGGTGTGGGCCACCAACCCAGCTAATTTTTGTATTTTTAGTAGAGACGGGATTTCACCATGTTGGCCAGGCTGGTCTTGAACTTCTGACCTCAGGTGATCCACCCACCTTGGCTTCCCAAAGTGCTGGGATTATAAGCATGAGCCAGCTCATGCCAGGGTGGGCGAGCTGGCTTGAGGTGAGCCGAGATCACACCACCGCACTCCAGCCTGGGCGACAGAGCGAGACTCCGTCTCAAAAAGAAAAAAAAATCCACCTCCTCCAGCATCAATGTTTAAAAGTACCTACCTCTTCAGCACACAGGGATCAAAGGGGACGAAGGTGTCCAGTGGGTTTGTGCAGGTCTGCACTGAGTCTCCTCCAGTGGTACTCCTAATGACTGGCAGCATCTGGCGATTGTTCCTCTCGATGATGGTGTAGCAGAAGACGAGCTGGTACTTACTGTGGAACAAAAAAACAACACAGACAGAGGCATTAACATGCTGGAGTGACTCTGCGGATGTGAGCTGCATGTGACAACTGTACCTACCACAGAGAAATTGCTGAATATAACAAGTGCTGGTAAAAATAACAATATAAAGCAGAAAGTAACACTTTTAGGGTACCGTTCTATGGGTCTTCTATCTGCAAGTTTGCTAAGGAGAAAGAAAACGTGGCTATCACTCAGAATGTGAAACTGGGCTTATATTTTAATGAGTAATAGATATTATTCATTAAAAATAAATGTTTGCAAGGCAAAACTCTTAGATTACATAACTACAGGTGTCTTTATTTTTACTGTTTGCAAAAGAATTAGAAGGTTGGTGGAAAAGGGATTCAGGAGTTACTCAGGAGGAAATAGTGGTTGGTGAAGAGACTTGCTGAAGAAGCACTGAAGAAGAAATAAGCCTTTACTGAAGGAGGGACATGGGGTTGACTAAGTCATGACCTCAAAAACAGGCACAGAAAGGACTAGGCATGCCGAGTGAGAACAGTTAAATGCATAGAAGAAAACATAAAATAAAGACAATTATGTTTTTAATTTTTCCAGTAGTTGTCTCTAAATGATTGAGCAACTTGAAAAATTATTTATTGGACAGCTTCTCCAAGATGAGGACTTAGATCTCACTTCTGTCACTCTCCATCTCAGGTTCTCCGGTCACCATGGCAACTTCAAGCCACATACTTTGATTTCTGTCCTGTTAGCCAAGGCTCACGGCACTTGACCCCTCCTCCTGGTGGAGGACACATCAGCAAAACCACACTGGAGGGTGGTTTGCACTATCAGGTAAAGTTGAAGATCTACATCTCCTACAACCCCGCAGCTGACCGCACTTCCGGGTGTGTGACAAGGAAGCGTGTGCCCACACACAAGAATGTTCCTGAGCACTAAAACACTAACACAGCCGGCTGGGCACGGTGGCTCACACCTGTAATCCCAGCACTTTGGGAGGTTGAGGCAGGTGGTTCACTTGAGCTCAGGAGTTTGAGACCAGCCTGGTCAACATGATGAAACCCCGTCTCTACTAAAAATACAAAAATTAGCTGGGTGTGGTGGCAGGCGCCTGTAGTCCCAGCTATTCGGGAGGCTGAGGCAGGAGAACTGCATGAGCCTGGGAGGTGGTGGTTGTAGTGAGCTAAGATCACGCCACTGCCCTCCAGCCTGGGTGACAGAGCAAGACCTTGTCTCAAAAAAAAAAAAAAAAAAAGACAAAAACTAACAGATGAAATCCCAACAAAGACTCAATAAAAAAGATTCCCAGAACATAACACAGCAGTTAAAATCAATATAAAGCTTTGTGTCAATATGGTTCAATCTCAAAAGCATCAAGCAGGCAAAAGCAACAGCTACAGAATGGTACACGCCTTTATTTACCATATCTGTACCTAGGCAGAGACTTTTATTTCAATCCCCTGCTCTTAGCCTCACATCGCATCACACTCTGTCCCTCCAATGCGCATGCCAACCCCAAATCGAGAGCCCCTGGACCAGATGGTTCACAAATGCAGTCCTCTGTCCCCACCCTGAGAACATACCAGGGGCAGCGGCCTCTGCTTTGCTTCATCCATCCTCACTCTTTGAGCTGCTCACCATCTTAACCAACGTGCTGAAGCCTCCACCCACTCACCGCCGTTGCTTATTGGTCTCTTTATGCCTTTTCCTAATCCTTTACTATCACTGAGACTCAGAAGAGAGGACACCTTGAACCAGACGCCTAGCAAAGGAGAACTAAAGAGGCTGACAGAGCTCAGCAAGCTGCTGGCTCTTATCTGTTGAAGATTTTAAGCTATGATCTGGCCTAAATATCCTCATTGAATATTCAATTCTCCAATTCGCTTTCTCCATAAAGCAGAATAACTTAGTGAAAGCTTACAAAGGAGCCAGACTACATTTAAATCTGTGCTGCCAGTCTAGCTCTATGACTTTAGGCAAGTGATTTCACCTCTCTGTACCTCCACCTCCCTGTTGATAAACAGGGTTTCATCCTAGAGGGTTGTTTGAGGATCAAATGAGTTCTATGTAAAGTGCTTAGAACTGCCTGGCACAGAGGAAAGGCTATGGATTAGCCATAGCTACCAGACCTGAGAGAACAGAACTCTCTAAACCAATCTCTTACAGGTCAACATTTGCCTCATGTCCAGTTTATTTCTATTACTATTACAGGAGTCACTCTAATAAGCATCTATGGCTTTGCCCCTCTCAGCTTACTGGTTGCCATACTTATTTCAAAGTGCTGCCCTTTGGATAAGAAGTAGTAGTAATTTCCAATGCCATCAAAGTATAAAAACAATAGCTGTATCACAGTATTTCCTGTAAGGACTGGGTTGTTTTTGTTTGTCTAAGAGACAGGGTCTCATTCTGGAGCCCAGACTGGAATGCAGTGGTACAATCAGGGCTCACTGCATCCTTGACCTCCTGGGCTCAAGTGATCCTCCTACCTCAGCCTCCTGAGTAGTTGGGACTACAGGCACAGGCAACCACACCCAGCTAATTTTTAAAATTTTTTTATAGAGATAGGGTCTCACTATGTTGCTCAAGCTGGTCTTTTAACTCCTGGCCTCAAGCAATCCTCCCACCTCAGCCTCCCAAAATGTTGAGATTACAGGTGTCAGCCACCACGCCTGGCCTTTTATAATGTTACTAATTTCATAGAAATTTAACAGACTCTTACAATACTAGATAAACATAAATAAAAATATTTTAAATAACTCCCATCAAGAAAGCGTAAATAACTTACTTTGTGATTGCAGCAAAAAAGTTAACCACTGAGGGCAGGCAAATCTTCAGGGGATTTAGCTGGCTCATCACTATCCGCTCAAAATTCAGACTCTGAAGATACTGCAAACCTTTGGTTTAAAAAAAAAAAAGATTTTTTAAAGGTACAAATAAGTGAAAAGTGTAAGATATCTTTAAAAGCACAAATTATCACACATTTAAAAAAAACTTAAAAAAATTATTTGCAGAAATGCTTTCAATAAAGGTCCATGCAGATAGTCACACAGTATATGGCCCAGAAGAGTATCACTAGGCTAACCACATTCATTGGTCACCAAGGCAGCTTCTCTAAAGGAAACTTAGGAAGTAGCAGGCTGTAAGATTCCACGACAACGTGAAGTTCATACGTTTGTAAGCTCAGTGTATGCTGAGCTAATACAGAGGGAGAAAAAGACCTTGTGATTTGGTTTCAGCTAACAATCACGACAGGCAACAAAACAAAACAGCAATTTGATTCTAGCTTGCATGTCTCGTTAGTGAAGCTGAGTGCTGTTTTCAGGTGCACAGTAGTCATCTGTAGTTTTTTTTCTAAACAAGAAAACTCCAAATTTGCCTTCTACCTCAACGGACGGCAAATTTAGACAGAAGCCACTTTCTTAGACTTAATAAATACAATTCTTTCCTACATGAGTAAAATAAAGACATCACATTTATTTTAAGAGGCAAGCTGACCAACTTGTACTTAAGTATATTTTCTTAGGAGTTTCTTTGATGCATATTTCAATAAAAATTACCTAAATGGGATGTCACTGCTTACAAAAACAAGATATTTAATTCAGATTCCTGGCATTAATTTATACAAAGAAAAGCAGAGCTTGTATTTACTTACCTTGTGATAAAACCTCATCCTACTAGTTCATACAACATCTTTTAGAAGCATGTAGGATGTAGGTAAACATATATAATGCAACACGTACAACTGTCAGTTTAGAGCTGTGGCTGTTAACCTAAGGAGACTGCAACCCCCACAGAGGACACCTGGCAGTGTCTGGAGACACTTTTAGTTGTCACAGCTGGGGGTGGTCAGGGACTGCTGTTGGCAGCTAGTAGGTGGAGGCTGTTAAACATCCTACAGTGCAGAGGACAGCCCCCGACGATGAAGGATGATGCAGCCCAAATGGCAATCATGCAGGGTTGACAGACCCTGGTTTAGAGGAAGTGACCCACAAAACCATATGAATTATTCATAAACATAAACAGAACAATTTACAATGACTTATAAACACTGTTCTTGGAGACTCTCTTCAACTAAAATACGCTAATCTAGTAAGTTTCAACTGATAGATTTGAATTATAAGTAACTCTTAGAAATTAGCAAAACAATACTGGTCAATTAAGTCTCAAGGCTTCAGGCAGAGTGTAATCTATATAAACTCAAACTTTAGGGTCAGCTGAACCTGGCTTCAGTTTTCTAATCCTGCCAGTAACCATGTGATCTTGGGAAAATGACTTCCCCGTGCTTTGGTGCTGTCTGTAAAGGGAGAATACCTGCCATTTACTGGGCTGTTACAAGGACAACAAAGAGAAGGTGCATCCAACTGAAGCTTTGTACAGGGCGCTGGCACAGCCCAGGGCTCAGCCTCACCTCTGGAGACATCTTCACATTTCAAACCTTCAAAGGCAGAAACCTCTTTCTTAACCTCAAATCCATCTTAAGGGGTTTGTAGGGTTCTCAAGCTCAAATCTATCTTAAGGGGTTTGTAGGGGCCTATGAGCTGCTTGAAATTATTATTAGAAGTTTGAGTGTACATGCAGTTTTCTGAATCCAGTTTTTATAAAAATCTCAAAAAAGTAATGAATCACCATTCTGAAGGGTGACAAGAACACAAGGAAAATCCAGTCCAGCACTCCCACAACACTGACCTTCTTTCAGGTTTCCGCTCAAAAGCTGCTTGTGTCTAAAAACAAAGGTGTAGAACACAGCTTGGCAGGCTGAGTAAAATGGTCCATGGAGAGCAACATTGCAGAATGCCTTTGTTCCCGAATCCTGGTTATTAAGGTATATGTGCAGCCAGTTAACCAAAAGATCTAGGCATGGTTTTACAGTACTAGAGAAAAGAAAAATTCAAGTCAACTTTACACTTCATAAAAAAACCAGAATAACATAAAAACACACAACTGCCTTTCATTACAAACCATGCTAAGTAAGTTCATAGGTTTCTTTAAATAATACCCATGGGTACAGAGGAAAAGCAAAGAAAGGAAGGATAAGGATGGGTGCGTAGGAAGACAACCTTCCAATTACAAGGCAGAGTAGCTCTGACCTTCTAGGAACAGGTGAGCCCCTAAGAACGTCCCAAGGGATGGAAAGCAGGTTCTCCTAACCATCTCAAAGGCACCCCTCTTAGGGTGATTGGCCAAATAGGACATGTTCACCAACACGTCTCAAGAGAAAGACAGTCTGGTGGACTTCAGTATTCCCTGATGCATCCAGTCAAGTCCTATGGTGAATAATTTTGTTCTTGGGGAAGGGATTCAACAGCATCCTTGTCCAAAGATATCTTCATGGGCCACTGAAAGAAACTGGCCTCCTAGATAGGTCTATTACCTTTAAAAGGGTTTTTCTTCAGCTTTAACAGATACAATAGATTTGGAATGCAAATGAAAAAATGACAAACCTACAAAAAGAATCAAAACAGTATACAACACTGTCCTCTATCCACAAAACAAATGGATCTTTAAGTGCAACCACACAAAAGAGATGACAAAAGCCTTACATACAGGGTTTTATATATAAAAAAGGAGACACTTTATTCTAAAATCACCACTTAGAAATATAAACATCTTACACAGAGTAGGAATTTTATTCACTTTAAAAACATGCCAAAAACATATGGGAGATATTTCTGACTTGAGACAATGCTATACTCTTTTTAAAGCATGATATTAAAAAGTACTCGGAAAATTAGGCTACTTACATAAGAGGAATAAATTTAGCTCTTGCCAAAAAGCTTCCAATATAATTTCCAGCAGCCTGCCTGATGATGGCAGGATTACTTGGATCCTGCAATTTTTTCCAAAGATGTTCCAAAAATGCCTCTGCGAATCCCTATAAAAAGAGAGGGCGTCGGTGTGATATTTTTTAATGCCTAAGATAATCTGACTATCAAAATCCCAAGATTTTTACTTCACCAATGTAGGGAAAAGTTCTACTATCTCATAACTATCTCATGCGCTTCATTTTTAAAACACGTTGAGAGAATATCATTAGAAACAAAAGGCACCTCGGGTGTTAAATAATCCAATGGATCCCAAACCTAGCTAAGCATCAAAATCAACCCAGGGCCAGGCACAGTGGCTCACGCCTGTAAATGTAATCCCAGCACTTTGGGAGGCCGAGGCGGGTGGATCACCCAAGGTCAGGAGCTCGAGACCAGACTGGCCAACATGGAGAAACCCTCTCTCTACTAAAAATACAAAAATTAGCCAGGCGTGGTGGCAGGTGCCTGTAATCCCAGCTACTTGGGAGGTTGAGGCAGGAGAATCGCTTGAACCCAGGAGGCAGAGGTTGCAGTGAGCTGAGATCATGCCACTACACTCCAGCCTGGGTGACAGAGTGAGACTCCATCTCAAAAAACAAACAAACAAAAAACAACAAAAAATTCAACCTGGGAGGTACAAATTCAATAGGTTTGTGACAGGGCTTTGGAATCCACATATTATAAAAACTCTTCAAGTGATTCCAATGTCAGCCAGAACTGGTGACCAACAATAATTCACATCCCATGGAGCTCCACATGGGCACTCCTGTGAGTGCAAAGCACCTTCCGGTCTCTGGACACACTGAACTCAACCATGAACAGAAATACGGACTAACGTACAGCTGGTATTTGAGTTAATTATGCCAATCATGGAAAAAAACAGACACAGCTTCTCACCAAAGGGTGTAACTTCCAACTTCTCCTAAATAGCGCTGTTCTAAAGCTAGGCACGCCCATGTGGGCAGACTGAATTCAACCTTCTTTCCCATGACCAACACTCTCCTGACCTCTAGGAAGCCACAAAATCGTTGCAGAGAAGGAAAAGCCTTCTATATTGTTTCCCCCACCAAAAAAAAAAAAAAAAAAGAAGAAGAAGAAGAAGAAGAAAAGACAAAGCCTAAAGTTTTTAAAATCCCGGTGCTTTCCGGGAAGCGTTCGGGAGAAAAGTGTGTGGCCGCACTAGTGGAGATCCCCGCCGACAGGACCCGCCTCTCTCCCCAGGCCCGGCGGGGCCGACCCCGCTTCTCGCTCCCAGCATACCGTGCGATAGCGGCGGCGCGGCCAGCGGAGCCGGGAGGCGGGTTAGCAGTGGCCTTGTGAGCGTGAGGAGCTGCCGCCACCGCCTGCTCCTCGTCGTCCTCGTCCTCCGCGGCCCCGGCGACGTGGGCCGCGCACGGCCCTGGAAGAGACGTCGCCTCCCCTTCATCCACCTCTCTCTCACCGCGCCGCTCCCGCCTCCTCGTCCTGTGCTGCGGGCTCAGGCGGAACCCGGAACGGTCGTCCTCTTCCCCCGCCCGCCGCCGCCTCCTCCTTCTCCTCCTTCTCGGCTTCCTCCTCAGCCCCGGGCCGGAGCGGGGTGTTGGCGGCGGCCGGTTCGGGCGGCGACTCGCGCTTCTCTGGGCGGCGGCGCTTGGCCATGTCGTGTCGGGGAAGGTAATGAGCCGCAGAGCCCCGGGGTCTCGGCTGAGCGGCGGCGGCGGCACCAACGGCACCAACTATTCGCGGAGCTGGAATGACTGGCAACCCAGGTGGGTGACCGGCCCGGGACCCCGCCCCGACCTCCCGGGCTCCGCCTCGGGCGGGCCGAGGCCTAGGCCCTCCACCCCCGGGAGCCGGGCGCAGCTTCCTGGGTCTCCTCCGCCCCGGCTGGGGGAGGAAGGCCGCGGGGAGGCGAGGCCTAAGTGCCTCTCCCCTCCCTGCTTGTTCAGCCCGGGGCTGAAGCCGAGACCCGGGGCTCCCGGCGGTGGCACTGGCCTAGGGTCGGGACCAGGAGGTGAGAAAGAGGCGGGGGTGGGGGGGCGGGGGGCATTCCACTTACCGCTTCCCCCTGACCCCGAGTTGGGAGATCCTGAGAGTCCAGGACCCTCCCTGTTACTCATTCACTTTCTCGGTTCCCCAGTCTTTCAGCCGCCACGTGAGAGCTCTTCTAACCTCTGTTCCTTTCTGTGACCCCCACGTGGTAATATTGAAAAAACCAAAACAAAACTCCAGCTAAGGCATTGCTCTGACTTTAGGCAGAACATTCATTAGTGGAGCGTGAGATGAGATTGTGTGACTGTTGATGGGATCGACCTACTCTGGTCTTGGGCGATGGAAGTTTTCCCTAAGTGCAAGGCCGGTTACTCTGGTGAATCGTAATTCATACCTGGACACTTGAGTGAACTCTGGGCACCCACTTAGAAGTCTAGAGAATTTCCTCTTTTATGGAGGATTTGATGTCAGACCGTTTTGGGGCTTAGTTAGATTTGAATATATTAGGAACATTAACTTTTTAAATAAATGTAATTTCCTGTCTTTTTGATCAATGGGGGGAGGGCAGCTGTGCCTAATTTAGGATTGATTTATTCTAACCTCTCTTACTAAATAAATGCTTGTATTCAGAGTCTGTTTGGAATTTAACCCAATGCTTAGAACTCCTTAAATATACAGAAATATATTTTAGGGGTAATTGATTCATGGAACTCTCCTACTTTGGAGCACAATTGTATTATAATTGTCCGGAAACTGGCCAGATAATGTAGAACGCACAAGTTGTTGAGAAGCCCTTTTGTTTCCTGATAGTTACATGTAATTCCAGCAGTATTTGGAAATAATTTGCTAAGATGTTAGAATGTAACATTTGAAGACTTGTTAGAAAAATCAATAAAATTATCTTTGGCTAATGGGTAGTACACATCTTAGTCTGTTTAATATGCCTTTCCAAAAAAAACTGTGTCTGTTGAGAATTGGTGTATATAACTACATGACTTTAATAATTAGTGCCTGAGTCTAGAATTGAGATGTTTAGTCGTAAAAAAAAATATTGTTCGATAAACAGCGTTGACTTGTCTTGTACCACTTAAGAGTTTGTGAGTGCTTTAAATAAAATTAGTTGATTAAGTATTTTTTTCCTATGATTGACATGCTTAGTTTTGCCTTTTTATTGAAATGTGTAAAATTTGGTTTTCTGGCATCTTAACAAATTAGGTGGTAAATGAATGACAATGGATTTTCTATTATTTTTCAGTATTGTGATCAGTATAAGTATATAAGAGAATTTAGTAACCTTTTAGAAGAATAAAGTGCCCTTCCCAAATAGTCCTACAGCTTTTGGAAAAGTGTAAATTGTAGTTTGTAGTTCTAAATAAATAGAGAAGAGTCGCAGCCACGTGCTAGGGCCAGCTGACTTCATTGCTGACAGGTATGAAGCCAAATGGCTTATGTAGTTATGGAATATGTACATGAGCTATTAATAAATATTATCCATGTTGTTTCTTTCAAGTGCTTTATTTCTTGGCTCTGGGGAGGGGCGATGGGGGAAGGGAGGAGCTTACAAGAAAGCTTGCAAGGTTTCTTTGAAGCTGTGCTTTTTGTAGGAAAGTTTCAGGATGTAACGCCTTGGTAGACGATACTGTGATACATTTGGTTACAGGCAGTAACAGTTTGTTAGGATGTTGGAAAAATTTGATTTTCTCCTGTTGTAGAGGGAACAGGGAAGTGTGGACATACCCCATAGCATAACTTGATTTGTTGCTAAGATTGTCATAGCTGATTTGTTAGTCAATAAAAATACCTGGGGTGTTTGCCAAGTCATAAATTTTTATTAGTTAAATTTGAGGTGATTCTGTCCCCTATTCAGAAAGATGACAGACTCCAGGTAACTGACGGAACAGATCTTGATCTTGCTTCTTGCTTAAATGAAGGTTTAGAACATCTTCAGATGCAGGCACATTTATTATTGTTCATCTGAATAATTTTGGTGAAAATTTTTTTGCCTCTTATGTACCATTTTGTCCCTGGTGTTTTGGTTCTGTTTTCCTTGATGTAGGCTTTTTTTTTTTTTTTTTTTTTGTCTTCCTGAGATGGAGTCTTGCTCTGTCTCCCAGGCTGGAGTGCAGTGGTGTAATCTCAACTCACTGCAGCCCCTGCCTCCCGGTTACAGGGAAAAATTCTCCTGCCTCAGCCTCCTGAGTAGCTGGGATTACAGGCGTCCAGCTAATTTTTGTATTTTTAGTAGAGACGAGATTCCACCATGTTGGCCGGCCTGTTCTTGGACTCCTGACTCAGGTGATCCGCCTGCTTTGGCCTCCCAAAGTGCTGGGATTACAGGTGTAAGTCATCGCACTCAGCCGATTTAGGCTTTTGAAAAAGCAATACTTGTTGATT
This sequence comes from Homo sapiens, assembly GCF_000001405.40. Taxonomy (NCBI): domain Eukaryota; kingdom Metazoa; phylum Chordata; class Mammalia; order Primates; family Hominidae; genus Homo; species Homo sapiens. The sequence continues at coordinate 22,440,110 of NC_000016.10, forward strand.
TCTTTTAGTGTTAGTTTGCCAGTTGGTGTGGAAAATGACTGTTGAGACAATTTTGACCACACATGATACTTCACACATACTGACAGGAAGTGTTCCAGGTGGCTGAATATGTGAATGTCATATGGCAAGAGAGCAAACCCGTGTTCCATAGAAGCATACCTCCAACAGTAAGCATTTATATGGCACTGGCTTATAGTCTTCCTTTTCATTCACTGTGCTCTCAGTCAACTCTTCTGTCAATTTTTTTGAGACGGTCTTGCTGTGTCACCCAGGCTGGAGTGCAGCGGCACAGATACTTGGCTTACTGCAGTCTCGACCTCCCAGGCTCAAGCCTCCTGCCTCAGCATCCACAAGTAGCTGGGGCTACAGGCGCTTGCCAACAGCCCGGCTCATTTTTGTATTTTTTGTAGAGATGGGGTTTTCACCACGTTGCCCAGGCTGGTCTTGAACCCCTGAACGCAAGCAATCTGCCCACCTTCAGCCTCCCAAAGTGTTGAGATTACAGGTGTGAGCCACTGCACCCGACATTTAAGAATGGTTAAGCAGGCCGGGGGCAGTGGCTCACGCCTGTAATCCCAGCACTTTGGGAGGCTGAGGTGGGTGGATCACCTGAGGTCAGGAGTTCGAGACCAGCCTGGCCAACCGACATGGTGAAACCCCTGTCTCTACTAAAAAAAAATAAATAAATAAATTAGCGGGATGTGGTGGTGCATGCCTGTAATCCCAGTTACTCGGGAGGCTGAGGCAGGAGAATCACTTGAACCTGAGAGGCAGAGGTTGTAGTGAGCGACATCACACCACTGCACTCCAGCCTGGGCAGCAGAGCAAGACTCCTTCTCAAAAAAAATAAAAAGTTAAAAAAAGAATGGTTAAACAAATGAGTGTCTTAGGTCAGTTGTATTATTTGAAATCTGTGGGTTCCTCAAGCGTAAAGTTGAGAAGGTTTTGGGAACCACTGGATGCCTCTGGTTTTTTTCATATGAAGAAACAGGGGTGGTGGCTTCTTAGAACAAAGGGATATCTGACCTATGGAGGTGGCCCTCTTTACTCCTCTTCCCTAAAAAAATGACCTATCATTGCCAATAGCTAAAGTCTGTCATTTTTTCCACCTTAGTTTGGAAGATAATCTTCTAGTATCAATCAAGACAGAGATCAGAATGATGTGTTTTAAAATTAAATGTGTAATTCATAATTGTACATTTTAATATTCTAAAGTGACATTGATTAATTTGACATTGGAGTCAAATAGATTGATTAATTCAACAAAGAAGAGAAGGCGTTCAAGTCAACAGAAAACAAGTAGATTTTACTTCTCCACTCGGGGTATTAGGACATTAATTGTGTAATTGGTCTTACTTGTTTAGTAGTAGATCTATATTGAGTGTCTTACTGTGCCCAAACTTAGGATCTTTCTATATTTCTAAAAGGATGAAACTGTATAATAAAAACACCTTCCAATTTTGGTAGATTGTAGACAGATCAGAGTATTCAAAAGTACACACATCTTCTCTATTGTGAAAGACCAAAAAATGGAAATGTGTTGTGAAATTAGAAAAGCTGTATACTAGTATGTCTGATGTTGTGAGAAGCTGGATTTTTGAAACCAGAGTTGTCTATTCAGCCTTTTATCAGTCTGTACTAAGTTTGATGTCCATAGGTACATAATATAGGGAGATACATAAAGGATAAAATTAAGTGAAGTTACATATTTTATACCTATTAGGTAGGTGCAAAAGTAATTGCGGTTTTGGCAAAAACCGCAGTTACTTCCACACCAGTCTAATATTAAATGGAACTAGAGTCAAATAGAATTTAGCGATTGCCAGTTCTGTTCCACAGATTTCAAAGTACACTAAGGAAAATTTCAGCAAATTGTGTATGGCTGTTTTACTTGGGGGAGAGTAAAACAGCCATAATAAACTAAAAAATAAAAATTAAAACTAAAGGAACATTTGTTTTTATGTTTTTCTTTTCTTTTCTTTCCTCTTTTTTGAGATATGCTCTTGCTCTGTTGCCCAGGCTGGAGTGCAGTGGTGCAATCACTGCTCACTGCAGCCTTGACTTCCTGGGCTCTGGGAATCCTCCCGCCTTAGCCTCCTGAGTAGCTGGGACCACAGGTGCATACCACCACACCTGGCTAATTTATTTTTCCTCTCTCTCTCTCTTTTTTTTTTGAGACAGAGCTTTACTTTGTCGCCCAGGCTGGAGTATAGTGGCACAATCTCAGCTCACTTGCAACCTCCGCCTCCTGGTTCAAGTGATTCTCCTGTCTCAGCCTCCCAAGTAGCTGGGAATACAGGTGCATGCCACTATGCCCGGCTAATTTTTGTGTTTTTAGTGGAGATGGGATTTCACCATGTTGGCCAGGCTGGTCTTGAACTGCTGACCTCAGGTGATCCACCCGCTTCGGCCTCCCAAAGTGCTGGGATTACAGGCGTGAGCCACCACGCCTGGCTTCCTCTCTCTTTTTCTGAAACAGAGTCTCGCTCCATTGCCCAGGTTGGAGTGCAGTGGAACCATCTCAGCTCACTGCAGCCTCCACCTCCCAGGCTCAATAAGTCCTCCTACCTCACCCTCCCAATAGCTGGGACCACAGGTGCATGTTACCACCCCCAGCTACTTTATTTTTTTTTTGTTTTCTGTAGAGACGGGGTTTTGCCATGCTGCCTGGGCTGGTCTTGAATACCTAGGCTCAAGTGATCCTTCCTCCTTGGCCTCCCAAAGTGCCAGGATTACAGGTGTGACCCACCATGCTTGGCACGCTAATTTTTTATTTTTACTTTTTTGTAGAGATGGGGCCTCCCCATGTTGCCCATGCTGGTGTCAAACTCCTACTCCATTATGAAATAAGTCATTCCTTATGAAACACTTAGTAATTGTATCTTTAAGTTGAACCTTCCCCTCACCCCAACTTTTTTTTTTTTTTTTTTTTTTTTTTTTTTGAGACAGAGTTTTGCTCTTGTTGTCCAGGCTGGAGCGCAATGGTGCAATCTCGGCTCACTGCATCCTCCGCCTCCCAGGTACAAGCTGTTTTCCTGTCTCAGCCTCCCAAGTAGATCAGATTACAGGCATGTGCCACCACACCCGGCTAATTTTTTTATATTTAGTAGAGATGGGGTTTCACCATGTTAGGCTGGTCGTGAACTCCTGACCTCAGGTGATCCACCTGCCTCGGCCTCCCAAAGTGCTGGGATTACAGGTGTGTGCCACTGCACCCCGCCTTTTTTTTTAAAGACATAGTTTCACTCTGTCTCCCAGGGTGGAGTGCAGTGGCACAATCTTGGCTCAGTACAACCTCCACCTCCTGGGTTCAAGTGATTCATGTGCCTCTGCCTCCCGAGTAGCTGGGACTACAGGCGCATGTCACCAGGCCCGTCTAATTTTTGTATTAGAGACAGGGTTTCGCCATGTTGGCCAGGCTGGTCTCGAACTCCTGACCTCGAGTTCCCACCTTGGCTTCTCAAAGTGCTGGGATTACAGAAGTGAGACACCGTGCCTGGACCCGCCAACCCATTTTGTTTTGATTCCTTTATAAATTAGTATAATGGAAGGTTTTTTTGTTTGTTTTTTATAACAGGTAATGAAATACTCTAATTCAGTAAATATTGATGCTTCTGGGGAGATGTGTGTGTGTGTGTGTGTGTGTGTGTGTGTGTGTGTGTGTGTGTATATAATAAATTTTTTTTTTTTTTTTTAGGATGGAGTGTCACTCTGTCGCCCAGGCTAGAGTGCAGTGGTGCAATCTCGGCTCACTGCCAGCTCCACCTCCTGGGTTCACGCCATTCTCCTGCCTCAGCCTCCCGAGTAGCTGGGATTGCAGGTGCCCGCCACCACGCCTGGCTAATTTTTTGTATTTTTAGTAGAGATAGGGTTTCACCGTGTTAGCCAGGATGGTCTCGATCTCCTGACCTCGTGATCCGCCCGCCTCGGCCTCCCAAAGTGCTGGGATTACAGGTGAGAGCCACTGTGCCCGGCGAAGCAGCGTCTCTTTTTAAGGTTGTAAGGTAGCTTGGGTTAGAAATAAAGGCAGAGAGCCACTCCATACCTGTAGTTCTAGCTACTGGGGAGGCTAAGACCAGAGGAATCTCTTGAGCCCAGGAGTTCAAGGCTGCAGTGAGCTGTAATCACACACTGCACTACAACGTGGGCAACATAGAGTGAGACCTAATAAATAAATAAATAAATAAATAAACAAATAAATGCAAGGAGAAAGTCAGGAACTTGGTGCATTTAGGTGTACAATTAGTTGGCATAAACAATTTTTTTTTTTGAGATGGAGTTTCTCTCTTGTTGCCCAGGCTGGAGTGCAGTGGGGCAGTCTCGGCTCACTGAAACCTCTGCCTCCTGGGTTCAAGTGATTCTCCTGCCTCAGCCTCCCGAGTAGCTGGGATTACAGGTGCCCGCCACCACGGCCAGCTAATTTTTGTATTTTTAACAGATGGGGTTTTGCCATATTGGCCAGGCTGACCTTGAACTCCTGACCTCAAGTGATCCGTCCGCCTCAGCCTCCCAAAGTGCTGGGATTACAGGCGTGAGCCACTATGCCAGCCAAGAATTTTTAAAAAAGGAGTTTCATTCAGCCCACCTCATTCCTCTGCAGGGCACCTGTGTGCAGGGCAAAACTGCCCAACCCTACTCAGAAGCCCTGTGAAAGCTGCTGAAAGGATGAGCAGATTGAGGCCTGAACTGTATCTTGGATTTAGCAGCCTGGAGGTCATAATGGATTTTGCCAAGAGTGATGGGGCAGAAATTGGACCAGTGTGTGTTAAGGAGCTAGAAGAAGTGAAGAAATGGGAGAGGGGAATCTAGACAACTTTAGTTTGGCTGCAGCAAGTAAAGGCAGATTGTTTGATGGAGGGACGTGTGGGATTGATGGAGTTTTTCCTTTTTATATGTTTTTGTATTTTTCAATGGAATACATTAGAAAGTGTTGCATGTTTATGGGGGGGATTTAGTTCAGTGGGAAAAGTATTTGAAAAGTTACAGTAAGGTGGAAGTAGATGGAATCCTCAGTAAGGTCTAGAATCGGGTACAGGTATTTTATGGTATCTTCCTCACCCCACCCCGAGACGGAGTTTCGCTCTTATTATTGCCCAGGCTCTGGAGTGCAGTGGTGCAGTCTTGGCTCACTGCAACCTCCACCTCCTGGGTTCAAGCGATTCTCCTGCCTCAGTCTCCCATGTAGCTGAGATTACAGGTGCGCACCACCACACCCAGCTAATTTTTGTATTTTTAGTAGAGATGAGGTTTCACCATTTTGGCCAGGCTGGTGTCCAACTCCTGACATCAAGTGATCCACCCGCCTTGGCCTCCCAAAGTGCGGGGATTACAGGCGTGAGCCACTGTGCCCAGCTGGTACCTTTTTTCTTGTTGGTGAAGTAGAATGTGTGTATGGGGAGGGGAGGTGATAGGATATTTTGGAATTTGAAGAGAATGGGAATGTCTGGATAGTGCATGTATAGAATGGGAAGTAAACACTGGAGGACCTGGGAGTGTGGTGCTTATTGATGGATCGTTGGGTTTATCCAGGATTGGGGTTTTGCCAGATGGGTGTGATGAGAATCTTAAGAGTTAAGGGTATAGGCAAGAGTGTTGTTGAAATGATACACAATGAAATCTAAGCTGGTTAAAGAAGTGAAGAAGGGGCCGGGCACGTTGGCTCACGCCTGTAATTCCAACACTTTGGGAGGCCGAGGCGGGTGGATCCCTTGAGGTCAGGAGTTCGAGACCAGCCTGGCCAACATGGTGAAACCCCGTCTCTACTAAAAATACAAAAATTAGCCGGGTGTGGTAGCAGGGGCCTGTAATCTCAGCTACTTGGGAGGCTGAGGCAGGAGAATCGCTTGAACCTGGAGGTGGAGGTTGCAGTGAGCCAGTATTGCACCACTATACTCCAGCCTGGGCAACAAAGTCAGAGTCTGTCTCAAAAAAAAAAAAAAAAAATGAAGTGAAGAAGGAGGAGAATACTTGGATTGGGATAAAGTAGAAAGAGTCACTGGATTAAAGTTAACTAAAAAACTCATAAACTTTAGAGTGGTATTGAGAAATTGTAGGGTGAACTGAAAAAGGCTCATGGGATTTTAGAGCCAAGAAGGCCTTGAGTGGCAGTTCCTACCTTAGTAGGAATAGCTTCAGTGGTGTGTTGCAGGTGGAACCCAGATTAAAGTGGGTTAAAAAGTAAATGAAGGCAAGGAAGATAAATTTTTCAACAGGTTTGTCTGTGAAGAGTCCAGGCTATTAGATTGATAGAGGGAGAAAGGCAGTTAAAGGGTTTTTTTGTTTTTTGTTTTTTTTGAGTCAGAGTCTCACACTGTTGCCCGGTCTGGAGTGCAATGGCGTGACCTCGGCTCACTGCAACCTCCGCCTCCGGGGTTCAAGTAGTTCTCCTGCCTCAGCCTCCCAACTAGCTGGGAATACAGGCGCCCACCACCACACCCGGCTAATTTTTTGTATTTTTAGTAGAGACGGGGTTTCACTATGTTGCCCAGGCTGGTCTCAAACTCCTGACCTCATGATCTGCCTGCCTCGCCCTCCCAAAGTGCTGGGATTACAGGCGTGAGCCACCGTGCCCGGCCTTATTTTCTTAATTTTTAAATTTATTTTATTATTATTATGATTATTTTTGAGATGGAGTCTCTCTGCCGCCCAGGCTGAAGCGCAATGGTGCAATCTCGGCTCACTGCAACCTCTGCCTCCCGGATTCGAGCGATTCTCCTGCCTCAGCCTCCTGAGTAGCTGGGATTGCAGGCGCCCGCCACCACGCCTGGCTGATATTTGTATATTTAGTAGAGACGGGGTTTCACTACATTGGGCAGGCTGGTCTTGAACTCCTGACCTCATGATCCACCCACCTTGGCCTCCCAAAGTGCTGGGATTACCAGCGTGAGCCACCGCACCCGGCCTTTAGTTTTTTTTTTTGAGACGGAGTCTCGCTCTGTCACCAGGCTGGAGTGTAGTGGCACGATCTTGGCTCACTGCAAGCTCTGCCTCCCGGGTTCAAATGATTCCCCTGCCTCAGCCTCCCAAGTAGCTGGGACTACAGGTGCGTGCCACCACGCACAGGTAATTTTATTTTTTCTATTTTAGTAGAGACGGGGTTTCACCGTGTTGGCCAGGGTGGTCTCAATCTCCTGACCTTATGATCTGCCTGCCTTCGCCTCCCAAAGTGCTGGGATTACAGGCATGAGCCACCGTGCCCGGCCATTTTTTGTTTTTGTTTTTGTTTTTTTTAAAGTAAGACTTTTGAGAGTGCTCATATGTTGATGATGTGATAAGCAGTAGTAAAATGGGAGATTTTGCAACGTACAAAAGAAACAGGCCGGGTGCAGTGGCTCAAGCCTGTAATCCCAGCACTTTGGGGAGGCCAAGGTGGGCGGATCACGAGGTCAGGAGATCGAGACCATCCTGGCTAACATGGTGAAACCCCGTCTCTACTAAAAATACAAAAAATTAGCCGGGCGTGGTGGTGGGCGCCTGTAGTCCCAGCTACTCGGGAGGCTGAGGCAGGAGAATGGCGTGAATCCGGGAGGCAGCGAGTCGAGATCACGCCACTGCACTTCAGCCTGGGCGACAGAGCGAGACTACATCTCAAAAAAAAAAAGACAAGACATACCTTGGAAAATGGGGGGAATAGACAGATGATTTCTATGGATAGGAGGTTTATTTGTTCCATTATGCGAAGATGATGGGAAGAAAAGCTGTATGTGCAGATGCAGGTGAATTTGTGGATATATTAGAAGGAAGATGACAGGCAGTGATGGAGTGTTGAAGAGCTCAAACATTAGACAGTACTGGGTCTGAGTTCTGACTCTGCCTTTTGCAAGCTGTGCAACCATAGGCCAGTTATGAAACCTTAGTTATCAAGTTATAACTAATAGGATTGTGTTGAACACGAAATGACATGATAAACATATGTAAACTGCTTGGATCAGTTGCCCACTAGCTCTTGTTAGGAGCTAAAATGTTAGCTCTTGCTGAGGGTGCTGTCAAATGGCTTCTGTTTCTCATGGAGCAGAAATCTATAAGGTCATCCACTGGTAGTGGTGGGAGAAGGAAGAAGGTGCAGAAAGTTTTACAGATGTCTTGGAAAGGAAAGAAACCTGGTGAGGGAAATGTGGGCAGCATCAGAGGCCCACTTGAAGTCAGAGAAAAGGAGCATTGGGGCATGGAGGTGAGGGGGTACTTTCTTCAGCTTTTCTCTGAAGACAATTGTGCATGTGAAACAAGGGTTAAAATCAGATCTATTGCCCTCCTGGATTTATTGGCTTCGTTTGCTCTTTCTGGCTAATTTGATTGGAGTTCTGAAAGTAGAGAATATTAGAGGTTCCTTGGAAGGAAAATAAGCAACACTGAAGTCAAATCTTTATCATGTTTGCTGGAAATGTTATTAAAAAACAAAATTTATGGCCGGGTGCAGTGGCTTATGCCTGTAATCCCAACCCTTTGGGAGGCTGAGGTGAGTGGATCACTTGAGCTCAGGAGTGCGAGACCAGCTTGGGCAACATTTTGGGAATGTTGTAGAGAATGGGACAAAAAAATACAAAAGTTGCTGGGCGTGGTGGAGTAAGCCTGTGGTCTCAACTACTTGGGAGGCTGATGTGGGAGGTTTGCTTGAGCTCGGATTGCACCACTGCACTCTAGCCTGGGCGACAGTGTGAGACCCTTTTTCAAAACAAACAAGCAACTTTTTTTGAGCTACAGTATATTTAATGGTTTTAAATATGAGTGCAGAGTAAGAGGGAGTCCAGTCCATAAGATGACCCTTGCTTCTAATACTAGTTGCAAGTTTGGGGGTTCCCAAGACCACTCTTTTTTTTTTTTGAGACAGGGCCTCTCTCTGTCACCCAGGTGAGAGTGCAGTGGCATGATCACGGCTCACTGCGCCCTGAACTCCTCCCTCCCAGGTTCAGGCAGTCCTCCTACCTCAGCCACCTGAGTTGCTGGATCTGTGGGCACACACCACCTCGCCTGGCTAGTTTTTCTATATTTTTTAGAGACAGTTTCACCATATTGCCAGGCTGGTCTCAAACTCCTGAGCTGAAGTGATCCGCCTGCCTGGGCCTCCCGAAGTGCTGGGATTACAGGCTTGAGTCACTGTGCCTGGCCAAGACCACTCTTAGGTTGGATGATTTGCCAGGAGGACTCACTAGAACTCATTGAAAGCTCTCATACCCATGGTTAGAGTTTATTGCAGTTTAGGGATTCAGATTAGAACGAGCCAAGGGTAGAGGTGCATAGGGCAGAGTTCGGGGAAGTTCCAAATGTTGGAGTTTCTAATTGTCCTGTCCCTGTAGAGTTGTGAAAAATGACACCTTCCTGGTGGCACTGGTGTGCGACCATACTCATGGATTATTGCCAACCAGGGAAGCTCACTCTATTTTTTATGTCCAGCGTTTTTACTGGGGTTCCATGGTTGCATGCCCATGTGGCTAACCTTAGTCTCCAGCCCCACTGGAGGCCAAGCTGATCCATGTGACTCAAAGCCCCCACCATAAGCCACATTATTAGACTGTGCTGTGGCCTAAAGCCCCCAGATGAACAAGGACACTTTCCCCCACCGCCGCCCCCCCCCACTTTTTTTTTGGAGATAGTCTTGCTCTGTTGCCCAGGCTGGAGTGCAGTGGCATGATCTCAGCTCACTGAAACCTCAGCCTCCTGAGTAGCTGGGATTATTACAGGTGCCCGTCACCATGCCTGGCTAATTTTTGTATTTTTAGTAGAGACAGTTTTCACCATGCTGGCCAGGCTGGTCTCAGAATCCTGACCTCAAGCGATCTGCCCGCCTTGGCCTCCCAAAGTGCTGGGATTACAGGTGTGAGCCACTGCTCCTGGCCAGGACCCTCTTATTAGGTATGACATTTCAAGAGTTTAGAGATTACCTTCCAGAATTCACAGGTAGAAGCCAGACCTCTCCTTGGTGAAGATACAATTCTTTACAATTTTACAATAGTTAAATATATTTTATCAGTCTATATTGGCTGTTTAGTTGACAGACAGTTAAAAATTGGTGACAGTCCAGATGTGGTCACTCATGCTTCTAATCCTAGCATTTTGGGAGGCTGAGGTGGGAGGATTGCTTGAGTCCAGGAATTTGAGAGCAGCCTGAGCAACATAATCAGACACCTGTCTCCAAAAAACATAAAAATAAAAAATTAGCTAAATGGAGTGGCATGCACCTGTGGTCCCAGCTGTTTGAGAGGCTGAACCCATGAGGTCGAGGCTGCACCCATGAGGTCGAGGCTGCAGTGAGCTATGGTCATGCCAGTGCACTCCAGCCTGGGTGACAGAGTGAGACCCTGTCTCAAAAAAGGAAACAAATCACCCATAAATGGATAATTAAGATTTGGTTATTATAGACACTTAATACTTAGGTAGCTAAGGTAGTTTTACCAATAAATTATATTAATTTAATATTTCAGTATTGCAAAACTGATGCATACTCATTTACAATTTTGACATGGAATGGTTCTGTTTTGTTTTATTAAATTTGAACTTAAAAGTTCTCTGCAAGAAGAGATTTGTATAATAAATTCTCTGAGCCTCTCAAATTAATATTTTAGCCATAGACTCATATTTAGAGCAGTGTTTCTAATGTAATGATACAAGGCCCAGGGTTATTCATAGTTTCACCGTTTCTCTTATTCCTCATTAAAGCATGTTTGAATCCAGGTAAGAGGCATTACAGGGGAAAACCTTGAATTTATTTTTGAAGGGTAAATCATTTCCAAGTGGTATTAACCATTAGTATGGAAAGCAACATATCCTATAACTGCTCTGTGACAGTGAGACTATCTTTGCTGCTTTAGAGAATAAGTACATTCCTACTTCATTGGCTTTAGTGCAAATCTCATTTCCTGGTTTATATCCATTACAAATTAGATCTCACCATGAGAGCAAAATCCCTTAATAAACCTAGGTAAAAGCAATTTGAAGTAATATGATGCTTACTCCAGTGACACCACTAGGTGTGGTGTTTGCATCAAGTCATTTTGGGGTGCTTTATGGAAATGCTTCCTAGTAGGGAATTCCCTGACTTCACACTTTCCAGAGATGATGCTCTCTCTCTTTTTCTCTCTAATACTTACAAGAATGGACTGCAAGGCTACATTTAGTCAGGCGATACCATCCCCAGCACATGGTGGCTTGTTGGTGTGAGGTCTAAGGATTCCGGTCATTTGAAACGAATGGCCTCCTAGATTTGTGGCATTTTTCTGTATATGGAGAATAGGTAACTAAAATAAGTGGTAACTGTATTTGCATGTGATTTGTATGTGATAGTTAACATTTAAATTCTCTTATGTACTAAAATTTTTTTGGTTGCCACATTAAGCCTCTTTATCCTGTAAGGCACAGAGTGTCTTTCCACCTCAATTTTTGCTTTAATGTATGAACCCTAATGGGACCATAGTTCAACTAAAGGCACCTAACTCATGAATGATATTTGCTCCATGTTTGAACAACAAATGTTTTAACCCACTGTCTTCACTAATATTGTAACTACTGTCTTACAGATTGACTTGATGCACAACATCACAAAGGCGATTTTTGAGGTATGAGCTTTAGAAACTTACCTCTCATGTGGCATGTACATCAGGCTTTAACTTCAGTTTGATCGTTTTGGGGAAATTTATGCATTTCTTTTTTTTTCTCTCCATGATATTTTTAGAATATTAAAGGGGCTGTAGAGGTATTTTTGGTTCCTTGCTAGGATTCTTAGACTTAACAGATAGATTTTCTTTTTTCACTAAATTGAGACACTAATTCTGGCAGATGATATCCCTTTCAGCTCTTCTAACTAACTAGCCTAACATTCATGCCTGCTTCTTGGAGTTCAAATCTGCAGTTTCTATTTTGTGGCTTTGATTGCCTCATTTTAAGTGCTCATTTCCGTTCTTCAACAGTTCTCTATTTATTGGACTGGGATGATCTTGTTGGTGCTAACAGCCTGACATTGACATTTTTTGAAACCTAAGCAGTCAAGATTGTATAAAAATAGAAATTTCTTATAAATGCTAAACCATTTTGTGCTTTTAGGTTCAGAATGCTTACAGCCTGAGTTCTGGTTGGGGATGCTTTGATCAATTTGTATTAAAATAATTTGGCAACTAGGGAGTTTTGAGGTATTTCTGAGACGGTGGCTCTATTCCAGTTTTTTTTGTTATATTTCTGAAAACACAGATTTTTTTTGGGAAAAAAATCTCAGTGTTCATAACTTAGGGGATTTAGAAACCTTATTTCTAACCAACGGGGAAGCTGCTCCTGGTTTTACAGTTTAGTTTGAAATCAGAGGCTTCCTAGTTGGAAACACATTGTTGGTAGCAACAGATTACCTGCTTTCTTCAGTGAAGTATTTAAGTTGCTCTATATTGACTGTAAAAACTTGTTTTGATTATATTCATATACTCATGAACTGTTTGTACATTGTCTTTTAGACTGGAAGCTTTGAGTTTATTTTGTATTATGGTCATAACAACTTTTAACATACCCTGCAAACTAAGTGTTTCTTTATAATTCATTATCTTATTTTAGCCTCACAACAACCTTACATGTTAGATAGGTATCATCCTCATTTTATGCAAGAGACAACCAAGGCTTGGAGATCAAGTAATTTGTGCAAAGGCACACATACTTTTCAGTGCTGGAGCTGGGATTTGAGCCCAGATCTTTTTTTAACTTGTATTCTCTGCTGCCTTATGGTACTACTGTGTCACCAGAAAATGATAGAAACATTTAACTCTTAATAGTAAAGGTAGTGTAGGAGATAAGTAAACATGATGAAAACAGGAAGTGAAGATACGTTTAAATATTGGCAGACTTCAGTTATCTTTGTGTTTCTGAATTAGTCAAGTGCTTATTTTATTCGCTCATCTAATAAGAGCTTACTGTGGCATACATATAAAGTTCAAACCCTGTCAGAAAAGATTATAAGCTCTCTTAACGTTTCAGTCTCCTTTCAGAAAGTAATGGTATGCTATGATTTATATAGACGCATGTTAAGTGTGCTATTTTTAGGTACATAAGGAATGTCTTTTCATTAGTTTAAAAAAGTTATGGTCCATTGAGTTAATATTTTAATGCTTATAGACTTAGTATACTCAGAAAATATTCTCATACATTTTTCTTGAAATTCCATAGATTTTATTTTCCCTTATGTTCGAAGTACTTAGCTTTATGAATAAGTGAACTCTGAATATTAGAAGATACTCCTTATGGAGCCTTAGTCATTTTAGTATGCTAGGTTTTGAATTTCATGAAGTTTCAGATTGAGATCCTTTATAAGTAATGACTTGTACCAGTTAGATATCCAAGTTTAATTGGACCTATTGTCTGCATTCTGTATTAACAGTGATTGCAGTAAGTGCAGATCAAGGTGTCCAACTGATTGAGCTCATGCAAAGTTTTATGTTTAGTATTTTTGGGAGCAAGGAAAGACTAATAAACTCTAAACGAAATATATACAGTATACAAACACTGCTGTCACTTTTACACCATAGAGGGAGGGGCAAAGCGTAGAGGAATAGGTTAGTTTCTGGCCTTGCCAGTGTCCTAAACTTTTCTAAAAGATTCAGGTTCTAAAAGGTTGAGAAAGCATTTTTAGTAAATATCATAGAAGTGATTTTCTTTTTCTTTTTCTTTTTTTTTTTCCTCAAAATTGTTCCTCTCAGGAGAAAATCAGTAGGGGAAGAACTTACTTGGATTTTTCATATGCTATAACAGATTATTTTGTTGTCTTCTTTCTTGATAGTTTATGATTGATGGCTGAAAGAGTAACACTCATGAGAAGTCTTGTAACTAAGCTCTGTTTTACTTATGAGGCAGTTGAAGCATAGAGCAGATACTTAGATGAGGACACACTTTTACCCTTGGCTGTACCCTACTTGTTTACTAATAAGCATCAGGTATTATTCTAAACAGTACCTGAATTTTAAATAGATTACGAACTACAACTTTCTGATATAACTTTATTGCATTTCTGATACCTTTTATTTTCTTAAAATGTCTTCTTTTTTACTTTTTAAAATTTTGATTGCTACTCTTTACAATTAAGGCATCTTCAATGGGGTCTTCAATACTACAGTACCTAATCAGTACTTAGAAAATAACTTGGTAAGACATTGCCCGTCCCTGACATGCTGCCAGTGTTTTTTATTTTTATGACAGGAAAGGCTGAAATGTTTTGACTGATTAACCGTCTCCATGGGGGAGAATTTAGAAAGAATTATTCTTATTATCAAGTCATGTGAGGAGAACACTGGACCAGAGTAACCAATTGTCCTGTTTTGCCTGGGACAGGAGACTTTCAATGCTAAAACCAGCAAAGTCACCCTAATCCCAGTAGTTATTCATATTTCTGAATGGGTCTTTAGAACAGTAGAAGAGAGTGAAAAGTTGGCATTTCGTCCATTGAGACTCTCTTCCCAGTGAAAGACTTCTTATTAGACGGCTGAGTGCTTACATATAATATATAGTGCATATTACACTAAATACAATAGTAATGGTTAAATGTAAAATTTGGGAGAAGAGAGGCTTGTTTAAAGAAAGATTTATTTATGTTATTTAAAGTTCTAATCTTAAACTTTTCTCTTTTTATAGAACTGATAGTGCATCAGCCGACCCAGGTAATTTAAAATATTCTTCATCCAGAGATAGAGGTGGTTCTTCCTCTTACGGACTGCAACCTTCAAATTCAGCTGTGGTGTCTCGGCAAAGGCACGATGATACCAGAGTCCACGCTGACATACAGAATGACGAAAAGGGTATATATATTTTCTTATTGCTACAAGCATGTTTTTTGAACCTACCTATCCCACCTTCCTGCCTTCTTACACCCCCAACTTTCTCGCTTTCTTCTAATATATTTAAAATATGAATAACAAATGCAGTGTTATTTCTGAAAACTTCATAGGACGTTTATCCACTTTATTATTTTTAAAATTTAAAATTTTTCCATACATAATTCATCAATGCAGTTTTCTTACAAAAAAGATACAATACTATTTTTGTTTTTATTTTCAAAAATATTTAGCTAAGGTTGAAGTTCCTCTTGGCTACTGTCTCTAAACTTCAAGAAAGTTTTAAAACAAGGTGCAAAATTTGATTTAATTTAGTTTTCATTTCTTTGCTTATTTTCCAATGAAGGGATCAAAATAAAATTAATTTAACTTCAAAGGTGTATTAAAAGAAATGAAAATGATTTTCAAGGCAGACAGTACAGGAAAAAGGTAGGAGAAGCAAAGGCTGGTTGAGCTGCAGATTGAGTCATAAGATCCTGAGCTATCAGGAAATTGACTGAATGAAACGAACAATCATATTTAAATGACGTACACATGGCTGTTTGTAGGTGGCTACGGTGTCAATGGGGGATCTGGGGAAAATACTTATGGTCGGAAGTCATTGGGGCAAGAGCTGAGGGTTAACAATGTGACCAGCCCTGAGTTCACCAGTGTTCAGCATGGCAGTTGTGCTTTAGCCACCAAAGACATGAGGAAATCACAGGGTAAGGCTGGGAAAACGGGGACCAATCACATACACCTTCCAAAGACTTGTATCTCCTCTTATTCTGGATGCCTCTTACTAATGCCTTGCAAAGGCATAAGTTGATTAGTCTACTGTGCAGGTAAAAATTGTTTACATTCTTTTCCTGTGAATTGTTAATTTCCCACTAGAAAGGCTATAGTACATTTTAAAAGAGAATTCTCTTAAAACAAGATTAGAAGACTGGATAAGATCTTACAGAAAAGGTTTACCCAATTATCGTGGATATTGAATGTATAGTGCATAGTAGGCTCCTACTACAGCAAGTCCTTGAACTCTTGGGCCTGTGGAGGATATAGATATATGTAGAGAGGGGGTACTTTTCTGTCTTTTTTTTTTTTTTTTTTTTCTCTCTTTTAAGTTCAGGGTACATGTGCAGGATGTACAGGTTTGTTATGTAGGTAAACGTGTGCCATGGTAGTTTGCTGCACAGATCATCTCATCATCTAGGTATTAAACCCAGCATCCATTAAGCTATTCTTGCTGATGCTCTCCTTCCCCCCGCCCCCTAGAGTGGGTACTTTTCTGGTTTTTTTGTTGTTGTTGTTTTCAATATATTTTTTTGAGACAGAGTCTTGCTCTGTCACCCAGGCTGGAGCGCAGTGCTGCAATCTCTGCTCACTGCAACCTCCGCCTCCCAGGTTCAAGTGATTCTCATGCCTCAGCCTCCCAAGTAGCTGGGATTACAGGTGCATACCACCATACCCAGCTGATTTTTGCATTTTTAGTGGAGACAGGGTTTCACCATGTTGGCCAGGCTGGTCTCGAACTCCTGACCTCAAGTGATCACACGTGCTCATTACAGGCGTGAGCCACCGGGCCCTGCCTTGAGTGGGCACTTTTCTAAAGTTAAATACACTGATAGCATTTCTGCCTTATGACATAGCCTCACTGTATAGGTGAGTGCCTTGGAAGTTCAGAGGATTGGCCGGGTGCAGCGGCTCACGCCTGTAATCCCAGCACTTTGGGAGGCCGAGACGGGCAGATCACGAGGTCAGGAGATCGAGACCATCCTGGCTAACACGGTGAAACCCTGTCTCTACTGAAAATACAAAAAATTAGCTGGGCGCGGTGGCGGGCGCCTGTAGTCCCAGCTACTCGGGAGGCTGAGGCAGGAGAATGGTGTGAACCCGGGAGGCAGAGCTTGCAGTGAGCTGAGTGCGCCACTGCACTCCAGCCTGGGCGACAGAGCGAGACTCCGTCTCAAAAAAACAACAACAAAAAAGAAAGTTCAGAGGATTAGAGGTAATGATAATTTTTTTCCTTAAAGAGAAATTTATCGGTAAAGCTGAGTTATGGGCTTTGTCAGATGTAATTACTTTTTGGACGTTTAGTTTTTGACTTTTTTTTTTTATTTTTTATACTGTGTGTGTGCTTCGTGTATCTTGGTGAAAATCTTTGTGCCTGTAGCTTTTATTGTTGGTATATAACTTTTAAAAAACTGATTTCTTTTTATGTTTTCACAAGTGGAATGAATTCAAAGGCTATGTATGCTGTTTGTTAAAATAGAGTGTTTGAAGCCTTAGACTTATGATATTATAGAAGCTAAACAGCGACTCTAAAGTAGTTCAGTAGAGAATTCCTCTTCTTCAAAGGCTCAGGGTCATGTAGTTTGCTAGTGACAGAATTGTAAGTAGAGCCTAATTTCCCAGCTGGTAACTTGATGACATATTTGGTATCTGTCCTTATTGAAATACTCTATGGGCTACGGATTTGTAAAAATCCTATTCTTCTCTCAGTCATTGTAGTTTCTTTTTTTTTTTTTTTTTTTTAACTTAAATTCAGGATACAAGTGCAGATTTGTTACAGTGGTAAACTTGTGTCATGAGGGTTTGTAGTATAGATTATTTTATCACCCAGGTATTAAGCCTGGTACCCATTGGTTGTTTCTCTTGATCCTCTCCTTCCTCCCACCCCCCACCCTCCAAAAGGATCCAGTGTGTGTTGTTCCCCCTTGTAGTTATTTATTTATTTATGAGATGGAGTATCTCCCTGTCACCCAGGCTGGAGTGCAATGGCGCGATCTCAGGTCACTGCAGCCTCCACCTCCCAGATTAAAGTGATTCTCCTGCCTCAGCCTCCCGAGTAGCTGGGATTACAGGAGCGTGCCACCACGCCCGGCTAATTTTTTGTATCTTTAGTAGAGACGAGGTTCCACCATGTTGGCCAGGCAGGTCTCCAACTCCTGACCCCGTGATCTGCCCTCCTCGGCCTCCCAAAGTGCTGGGATTACAGGTGTGAGCCACCATGCCCAGCCTTCTGGTTTCTTTTATTATCAATTTTTTCTCATACCTTAGAAATGAAACTGTCAGACCCTTTGTGATTTGTTGTTTACGTATGTATTGGCTAATTATGGTAAATAGCACAGTTGAAAATGTTTTGCAAAAATTGAGTTTTTTGTTTTGTTTTGTTTTTTGAGACAGTCTCGCTCTGTCACCCAGGCTGGAATGCGCTAGTGTGATTTCACTGCAACCTTTGCTTCCCAGGCTAAAGCGATCCTCCCACCTCAGCCTCCTGAGTAGCTGGGATTACAGGCATGTGCCACTGTGCCCAGCTAATTTTTGTATTTTTCGTAGAGATGGGGTTGTACCATGTTGCCAAGGCTGGTCTCGAACTCCTGTGCTCAAGTGATCTGCCTGCCTTGGCCTTCCAAAGTGCTGGGTAATTACAGGCAAGAGCCACCTCGCCCAGCAAAAATCTAGTTTTTAAAGGCATCGTTAATATACTAATAGTATTCACTATTGTTTGCTTGTTCTTGTGATTAAAAAATAAAGGGAGAAAAGTTGTGGTTTGCTACCTTTCTAGTGGAGGCATGCCTTGCATGTGGTAGATGATAATTAGACATTTGTTGAACTAAATGTGTGATTATGGCTCCCCAAAACTTCATCCCAGGGAAATGATGATAATGTGAATAAGAGGCTTTCCTCCAGTGGGATACCTAGATGATAAGTAGAAGCCTATATCCTGTTTTTACTCGATTGAGACTTTATCCATACCCCTTGGAAGTTGTTTAATTTACCTACACCCGGGCTCTTTACCTGCATGTTGAAAACAGTTTGGAATGGACCCAAAGAAAGTTGTTACTAAGGCCTTTCTTTTTTCTCTCCCAGCCAGTCCTCTGGAATGAGGTGTTCAGTTGGCCTAGGGTTATTCATTTCTTGTTTCCTTCAGCAAATATTTTTTTGAGGGTCTGTTATGTGCCAGGCACTCTGCTGGGATTTGGAATACAGAGTTGAACAAAAGAGCGATAGGACCTATATTCCCTGAGCTTTTATTGACCAGTGGACTGTGACTTTTGATGTAATTTTATTTTTGAGAGAGGGTCTTGCTCTGTCACCCAGGCTGGAGTGCAATGGGGTGATCTTGGCTCACTGCAACCTCCGCCTCACGGGCTCCAGTGATTCTCCTGCCTCAGCCTCCCGAGTAGCTGGGACTACAGGTGCACCCCACCTTGGCTGGCTAGTTTATGTAATTTTTTGTGTGTCTGTGGAGACAGGGTTTCACCATGTTGCCCAGGCTGGTCTCAAACTCCTGAACTCATGTGATCTACCCGCCTTCCAAAGTACTGGGATTACAGGCATGAGCCCCCATAATAATTTAATTATTATTTAAATAATTTTTAATTTTAAAAATTTTAAAATTATTTTAAAATTTAAAATTTCCTTTGCTTATTTATACTCAGTGGACAACAAAATGTTTATATATTCACAGAGAGATCGATGTCTTATTGTGATGAGTCTCGACTGTCATATCTTCTTCGGAGGATCACCCGGGAAAACGACCGAGACCGAAGATTGGCTACTGTAAAGCAGTTGAAAGAATTTATTCAGCAACCAGAAAATAAGCTGGTAAGTATAGTATGTTTGGAAATATGAGGATTTTTGTGTTTCCATAATAAACTAGGTAATGCTACCTTGAGTAGTTTAAGAATGGGGAAAGTCTGTATTATGATGATCAAGAACTTAATGCTCTCTAATATGTAATTTCTTTTTCTTCTTAAAGACAAGATCTTGCTCTGTCGCCCAGGCTGGAGTGCAGTGGCACAGTCATAGCTCACTGCAGTCTCAAACTCCTGGATTCAAGCTATCCTCCCGCTGTGGCCTCCTGAGTAGCTGGGACTTCAGGCATGTGCCACTACACCTGGCTGAGGTGGAAGAATCACTTGAGCCCAGGAATTCAGGGTTGCAGTGAGATATGATCACACCTCTGCATGTCAACCTGGGCGACAGAGGGAGTCCTTGTCTCTTAAAACAACAACAGAAATGTAACAAAGTATAGGAAGGGTTAAATTTTTTTCTTCACTTTCTTTACACCAATTAAGAACTTGATATGGGCCAGGTGTGGTGGCTCATGCATGTAATCCCAGCATTTTGGGAGGCCAAGGTGGGTGGATCACCTGAGTTCAGGAGTTCGATACCAGCCTGCCCAACATAGTGAAGCCCCCATCTCTACTAAAAATACAAAATTAGCTGGGTGTGGTGGCACATGACCGTAATTCCAGCTACATGGGAGGCTGTGGCAGGAGAATCGCTTGAACCCAGGAGACGGAGGTTGCAGTGAGCTGAGATCACGCCATTGCACTCCAGCCTGGGCGAAAAGAGTGAAACTCCATCTTAAAAAAAAAAAAAGAACTTGACAATGAGCAGGAGAAAATTAATGAAAATGGTCTAGTGAGGCAGATGACACTTGGATCAAAGCAAGTTTCTCCTCCTTCCAAATTTTATTATGAGTAGTTTCAAATATATAGCAAGTTGAAAGAATTTGACATTGAATCTGTTAAACCCATCATCTAATTTTTGTCGTTAACATTTTACCCTAAATACTGCCTTGTCACATATCTCTCCATCTATCCCTCCATCCGTCAGTCAATTTTTCAAATGGATTTCAAAGTAAATGAAACAAGCTTTTTGAGTTTATTTTTTTGTTGATGATCACAGCTCTATGTTTCCAGTGGGTGAATTTCTTTCATAGGCTGAAAGGAAACATGACATTCCTGATACATGCTCATTGGGGAGTGGGAATAATAAAGAAAGTAAAGTACTGTTGAATTAGAATTTGGAGGGAAGACAAGTAAAAAAGTACACAATGCTATTCTTAAAAGTATAGGAATTTGAAGTTTTTATAAATGTGTTTTCTTTTAAAGGTACTAGTTAAACAATTGGATATCTTGGCTGCTGTACATGATGTGCTTAATGAAAGGTAAGTAACTAATAATGGTTCGGTTTAAATGACTTTAAAATATATTTTTAGAAATTACTTAACAATACACAAGAAGACAAACCCACTGGCTTTGTTTATGAACATTTATTGACATTTCAGTGGGTCTTGTCATTTTTATCTGCATTAATTATGTGTTAATTACGGTTGAATACAAATGGAATCCACTTGAAAAGAATATTTATTTTTTGAGCCGGAGTCTCACCCTGTCGCCCAGGCTGGAGTGCAGTGGTGCGATCTCAGCTCACTGCAACCTCCACCTCCCGGGTTCAAGTGATTCTCCTGCCTCAGCCTCCCGAGTAGCTGGGACTACAGGCGTGCACCACAACTGCCAGCTAATTTTTGTATTTTTAGTAGAGACAGGGTTTCACCATGTTGGCCAGGCTGGTCTGGAACTCCTGACCTCAGGTGATCCACCCACCTTAGCCTTCCAAAGTGTTGGGATTACAGGCATGAGCCACCGTGCCTGGCTGGAATATTTTATTTTTTTAATTTGCTAGTCTCACTGGATAACTGAGTCTTGACTTATGGAATGGCATAAACTCTTGATGCAGGCATGAAGAATAAAATTAGTTTTTGTAAACAAGAGAATTTGAAACTGCTTAGAGAATAGAGGTAAAAAGGAATTTCCTTCTTTGGGTAAGAGTGGATCCAAACCATATATTCTCTGGCTATTAGAGTCTCCAGAGGTGTGTGGTCATTTTTTGTTATGGTGATTCCCAAAGATTTGCAGTGTTGGCAAGTACCCAAAATTTATCTCAGCTGGTCATAAACCTTAGTGCCTTTTGATGGTTTTGTTTTATAGAGTTACTTATTAAAGTTCTATGTAAATCATTACTGTTATCCTTTTAAGTTTCTGTATTTAACTATTACCATTTTTTATTTTATAGTCATTACATATTGGATATTATGTAGAATGTAGTTATGTATAGAGTGTTTTATCTACTTATTTGTTGCTGCCCTTTTCTGAGAGTTATTTAATACAGTTTGAGATGGAATTTAGCATTTTTGGGCCTTCCCTCACTGTTTGTAAATAATTGATTTTGTAAAAAGAAAGTGATGTCAGACAGATACTTGAGGGCAATGCAGGCTAGACAGAATGTAGTATTTAGAGTGGAGAAAATTTCAACCTTTTATGTAGTTTGAATAGAAATTTAAAAAACCACTTAAGACATTCTTTTGTAAGATGTATTACTCGTGTCATCATAGAAAACTTAAGCCTTTTGTGTGTGTTTTTTGTTTGCATTAAAATAAACACAGTAGCAAATTGCTTCAGGAGTTGAGACAGGAGGGAGCTTGCTGTCTCGGCCTTCTTTGTGCTTCTCTGAGCTATGAGGCTGAGAAGATCTTCAAGTGGATTTTTAGCAAATTTAGCTCATCTGCAAAAGATGAAGTTAAACTCCTCTAC
The DNA here is from genome assembly GCF_000001405.40 of Homo sapiens. Classification (NCBI taxonomy): domain Eukaryota; kingdom Metazoa; phylum Chordata; class Mammalia; order Primates; family Hominidae; genus Homo; species Homo sapiens. The sequence continues at coordinate 22,462,269 of NC_000016.10, forward strand.
TTATGTGCCACCTACAAAGCACTAGAGACTGTAGGAGAAAAGAAAGCCTTTTCATCTGTAATGCAGGTAAGAATGAAGGGGGAAAAAATGCATGATATACTTGGGAAGAAAATTGTCCCTTTAACACATGTCCTTGGAGGGGAGCTTGAAGAAGGGAATCATAGAATAGGGGTTATCTACTGATAGGAAATATGTTTTAAAAATTCCTCTTTCTCAGTTTGAGTAAAGGATACACTGTTCAAGGATCAGTGCTACATACATATATGCATATATGTGGAGAGAGAGGGAGAGATTTCTTCTAAAAAATTGGCTTACACGCCAGGCGTGGTGGCTCACGCCTGTAATCCCAGCACTTTGGGAGGCTGAGGCAGGCGGATCATGAGGTCAAGAGATCGAAACCATCCTGGCCAACATGGTGAAACCCCGTCTCTACTAACAATACAAAAATTAGCCGGGCGTGGTGGCACGCGCCTGTAGTCCCAGCTACTCAGGAGGCTGAGGCAGGAGAATGGCTTGAACCCGGGAGGCCGAGGTTGCAGTGAGCCGAGATCGCACCATTGCCTGGGAGACAGAGCCAGACTCTGTCTCAAAAAAAAAAAAAAAAAAAAAAAGATTTTTTTCCCCTTTGGTTTTTAGAAATGTTTTTTTTGAGATTGCTTAGGACCAGAATTTGCAAAGTTGAAAATAGGAACTCCACTAGTAATGCCGGATAGAAGAGTGCTTCACATTTGTAGAGGGAGACAAGAACTAAATATCACAACTTCTTTCTGAGCCTTTTGGTTTGCTAACGTGCCCCAAATTCTTATTCCAAATGGTATAAGATAATTATGTGTAAATGAATACTGGCTCTACTTAGTTGTATTTCATATTTGTGTATCTGAATATATTAAAATGTCATTCGTTTTTTTTTTTTTTTATGCAGAGTCTTGCTCTGTTGTCCAGCCTGGAGTGCAGTGGCATAATCTCGGCTCACTGCAACCTCTGCCTCCCAGGTTCAAGTGATTCTCCTGCCTCAGCCTCCCGAGTAGCTGGTATTGCAGGAGTGTGCCATTAGCCTGGCTAATTTTTGTATTTTTAGTAGAGATGGGGTTTCATTGTGTTGGCCATGCTGGTCTTCAACTCCTGACCTCAAGTGATCCTCCTGCCTCGGCCTCCCAAAGTACTGTGATTAGTGTCATGAGTCACCACACCTGGCCTAAAAGATCATTGATTTAGTTTTGAGTAAGATTTTAAGTGATTAAATTATGGTATTGTTGTGTTTGGAATATCTGATATTAGGGTTTTTTTTTTTTTTTTTTTTTTTTTTACAGTTTTTGATATGCTTTATTTTGGGTATGTAGTTTAAAAAATATAAAGGAAATATAAGGAATATTCTTTTTTTTTTTTTAAAATAAAAAATGTATTTTTAACTGGGCATGGTGGCTCACTCCTGTAACCCCAGCACTGTGGGAGGCTGAGGCTGGTGAATTGCCTGAGTCCAGGAGTTTGAGACCAGCCTGAGCAACATGGTGAAACCCTGTTTCTATCAAACAAAAAAAAAAAAAAAAAAAAAAAGGAAAAAAAATAAGTTGGGCATGGTGGCATGCACCTGTAATCGCAGCTACTTGGAGGCTGAGGCAGGAGGATCACTTGTGCCTGGGAGGTTGAAGCTACAGTGAGCTATGGTCAAGCTACTGCACTCCATTATAGGCAACCCTGTCTCAAAAAAGCAAAACAAAATGAAACATTTTCCCCTTGATTATAGAGGTTTGAGAAAAATTTGAGGGAAGATTCAGAAAATTACCTGTAACTGAACAGAATGCCACCAGCTTGGGCTTATTCTGCATGCATAATTATGAACATTTTCCCAGCTCTTGTGAAAATTCTCACATTCATAGAAAGATAGATGCACCAGTAAAATAAATACCTGTAAATACGATAATAATTTCATAATATATGCTTCACCTAGATTTACCAGTTACTAATATTTTGCCACAGTTTTATTTTCTCACACACTTTTGTTGAGCATCTGAAAACCATACACATGATGACAGTTCACCCCATAATGTTTTAGTATGCATCTCCCAAGAATAAGGTTTTTCTTCTGTATAACAAGAATATTGTAATCATACCTAAGAAAATGAATTTTATTACATATGTGTTCTATATTCAAATTTCTGTAATTACCCCAAGATGTCTTTTAAATGATTTTTAGCATTGATAGTCTGTGCCTGTGTAGATTATAACATTGGCTATTGCAAAATAATGGTTTTCTTTTTCTCTTTTTTTTTTTTTGAGACGTAATCTTGCTCTGTTGTCCAAGCTGGAGGGCAGTGGCACGATCTCGGCTCACTGCAACCTCCGCCTCCCAGGTTCAAGCAGTTCTCTTGCTTCAGCCTCCTGAGTAGCTGGGATTACAGGCATGTGCCACTGTGCTCTGCTAATTTTTATATTTTTAGTAGAGACGGAGTTTCATCATGCTGGCCAGGCTGGTCTTGAACTCCTGACCTCAGGTGATCCACCTGCCTCGTCCTCCCAAAGTGCTGGGGTTACAGGTGTGAGCCACTGCACCCAGCCTAAAATGATGGTTTTCTGATTCTAGCATTTCTTTGATAAGATTGCTATGTAAAGCACAGCTTTTCCTTTTTTAGGGAAAAATGTTTTTTAACAGCTGCAAAATAAATATTCTTTCAATGGAATGACAAATAGTTATTTATTATTTTATTTTTGCCATATATTTATTTTAAAAATTTATGTATAATGGTAACCTGAGCCTGCATGTTATTCATGTGTGGTGCCATACTGATCTTCCTTAATTTTAATATGAAGCAAGTACTAATATACTAAAGCATAAATTATATAAAATTTGCTTTATATTTTGGATTGCAAAGTAATTGTTGTACTTTATAGAAAAGTTTCCCAAATCCATTTTACTTTTTTGTATTTGAAATTTAATCACAGGTAGAATCTTAAAGAGAGCATTTAGGGATATTGTAAACAGATGTTATTAAGGACTAATGTTAACTGATGTCAAAGGACTAATATTAACAAACATTGAAGAAGAGAAAACAGTATCTGTTTTTAGCTTAACAGCTTAGTGGAGCGAAATATTTTCAGTTTATTTATTTTATTTATTTATTAATTTTTTTTTTTTTTTTTTTTGAGATGGAGTCTGGCTGTATTTCCCAGGCTGGAGTGCAGCGGTGCAATCTCAGCTCACTGCAACCTCTGCCTCCTGGGTTCAAGCAATTCTTGTGTCTCAGCCTCCCAAGCAGTTGGGATTTACAAGTCAATTCTTTTTTTTTTTTAACTAAAACTACAGAATCTATTTTTCTTGGTCTCATACTCAGGTTTTTATGTAGGCACTTCGTAAATAATGAACCTAATTTGCTTGTTTTCTCCCTATTTTGTTGAATGTTCACGGTTTGTAACTTTTATTTTTAAGCTTGTAATGACCAGCCTGCAGTCAATTCTTGAAAATGTGGATACACCAGAATTGCTTTGCAAATGTGTTAAGTGCATTCTTTTGGTGGCTCGATGTTACCCTCATATTTTCAGCACTAATTTTAGGGTGAGTTCCTCATTCCGCTGTTCAGATCATGGGGTGAGGGGGATGGTTGTGTGTGTGAGGAACTGAGGAATCAGATGGAAAACAGTGCCTCTGCTCCTTTGAATATAATCAGTGATATTTGAGGTTCCAGGGTTAAATGCCGCATTTTTCTTTCTGACGTTCGTACCTTAAAATATTTGAAGAAAATAAACTATTTCATTGTTGTCAGAAATGTAGTTCTTTTATTTTCCTGCCCCTCTCCCCTTTCTAAGTTTCTAGAATGTCAAGTAGGTAGAACATAGATGCTCCTTTTAGGATCTTTTGCTGTGAAATGGTCCACAGGTGGATTGCAGTAATATCTTAAAATGATTGGCCCCCTCTCTCTTTGTTTCCATCAAGGATACAGTTGGTATATTAGTTGGATGGCATAGAGATCATACTCAGAAACCTTCGCTCACGCAGCAGGTATCTGGTAAGTCTTGCAGCCTATACCAGTTATTTAAATACTGTCGGGGAGGAGCAGTGGTCCCCCAGTGACCATCTATCAATACCATTTCTTTAATAATGCAAGAAAACTAATTCAGAGAAATGTTTTATTGTAAATGAACATGACTTGTTAGCTAAATATATATTTTCAGAGGAAATTACTAGTAGGTGGGTAGAGTAAGTACAGACAGGACTTACCCAAGTTATTTGTAGTTTGTACTGGTAGGAAAGTATATGGTAAGAATATATTGCAGTGGCAATACCCTGAAGTGGACAATGGAAGATCCAAGTTATTTGTCACATTTTATTGTTTTTCTGGTTATTTTTTTAAAAAAGGAAATATAGGGTTAATTTGGAGAATTGTCATAAATGAGAAGTGGTTTTGTTTCCCACTTTTTTGGAGTTAAGTGAATGACTAGCGTGGCTCATTTGCACATTTCAGCTTGTTTCAAGTGTCATAGTTTCTCGTAACTTACTTGGTGTAATAAACTTTTGAAAATAAGATATTCAGGTGATAGTGGTCTGTTTCATTTTCACTGAGGAGATGAGTATACACCTTTAATGGTTAGATGTGGCCCTGGGATTAGCCGGGCCAATGGTAGATTGTGGCATTTTAGTCTTAAGTCATGTGTAGTGACAATATAGATATGAAATTTACTGAAAAAGTAAGGAAATAACATTTACCTGTTAATTTCTGCAGAAATTAAGGAGGTATTAATTAAAGAGGTATTGGTTAATCGTGATCAGCATGTTTAGCAGTCTTAATTTTATGATATAGGACATGTTTTAGGGTATGCTGCTTGAAAACCAGATACTTTTTAAAAGAAGCCTCTTATATTTTTTAATTTGGATTTTTTGGTGTTTTTTCTCCCCCCTACCCTTTCACAATTTCTTACGCGATTCCAAGGGTGGTTGCAGAGTTTGGAGCCATTTTGGGTAGCTGATCTTGCATTTTCTACGCCTCTACTTGGTCAGTTTCTAGAAGACATGGAAGCATATGCTGAGGTGAGTATATAGAAAGCTGTTTCTTAAAATTTTGGTTAAGAAAAAATCTTAAATTGTGCTAGATTTATTTTAAAATGGCTCAGACCTCCTGACATTTAAGCAGAAATTACAAGCCCATTGCAATATTTTGAAAAATTTTTTCTTTTTGAGACGGAGTCTCGCTCTGTCACTCAGGCTGGAGTGCAATGGCACGATCTCAGCTCACTGCAACCTCCACCTCCTGGGTTCAAATGATTCTCCTGCCTCAGCCTCCCGAGTAGCTGGAATTACAGGTGCCCGCCACTACGCCCAGCTAATTTTTGTATTTTTAGTAGAGACGGGGTTTCACCATGTTGGCCAGGCTGGTCTCAAACTCCTGACCACTGGTGATCCAGCCGCGTCGGCCTCCCAAAGTGCTGGGATTATAGGCATGAGCCCCCGTGCCCAGTCAGTATTTTAAACATTTATTTCAGATGTGTTTAAGTTACCAGGAGAATTACTGGAGAGACTAAAAGAAACGTTGCAAGCTTCGTATTTCGCAAAGCTTTACATACTCTCGGTAGCTGGTATTTTTCTAAAGACATATTTTGTTATTTATTTTTATTTTTTGTTCCCAGTCTTCAGAGTCTTAAAGCAAATTGATGTTGTGTTATAAAAAAACACAAAACACCAAAAGCTCCTAAAGATTTTCCTCTTACATATGTACAGGAGATCTTGAATCGTACTTTGGAGGACAAGCCTTGGCTTCAGCCAGCTTTTGTGGCTGTACGAATATAGCATAGGAGCTTTAAGAGCGCTGCTGAAGCCTCTGTTACTGGTACTTGGCTTTTCTGGCCCCACTGTCATGGCTTAACTCTGTGCCATCTCTTATCTGAATCTCTTTGTGTTTCTCCCTTATTCAGATCAACCAGTCAAGGCTCCCATAAAGATTTTGGCCTCATCTTGTTTTTTTCATCTTTGCTGCTTGTAGTCAACAGGAATTCAGTACCTTTAGCTGTACTGATGTGTTTACTCTTTCCTAGAAAAGCAAGGAAATGTTTTGCTTCTGCGTTGTTTTTTCTTTGCCCCCACACCTAGAATGTCTTTTTTCACAGCCCACGTTTAAAGCTGATCTACCTCTCATAAGCCACACATTCTAGTTTGTAGAGATGCTTCCCCTTGTTATCCTTAAGATCTCATTCTCTTCTGTTATTTTGGTGCTTAATTTTAGGTAGATGTATACATTGGTTCTGGTATCCTAGTTTTTGCGAATCTTGTCCTTTTCATATATCGTACTTCTTCAGTTACACATCTGTAGACCAGGTCTTGTAATCTCCCTTTGCTCTTCATGTGCATGCTCTTGGTTTGGAGGACTTACTGTTGAGCTGAGTGGCTCAAAGAATACCTAGAATGAGATTTTTAGCCAAAAACTAATTCAGGAGTGGCAAAAGCTTCCGTCTTCATTTATACCTACATATAACTAGAGCATATGTGCTAGAATTTATTTTTCCCCAACAGCTTTCTGAGTTGATTTAAGAGATTATTTCCTTAATTTGTTGTCTATTGGGTTTAATGTTGGCTTTTTGAAATAATTAGGTAAAACCCATTTTTATATTCAGAGTCATGAATATTCTCATGGGCCACAGTTCTCTTTCTAAAAGCCTAAAAATCTATTCTAAAATGAATTGATTGAAATATTTTAGAGTTTTTTTTTGTTTTGTTTTGTTTTTTTAAACAATGTACTACTTATTAAGAATGCTGTGAATTCACATCTAGGACCTCAGCCATGTGGCCGCTGGGGAATCAGTGGATGAAGACGTCCCTCCTCCATCAGTGTCATTACCAAAGCTGGCTGCGCTTCTCCGGGTATTTAGTACTGTGGTGAGGAGCACTGGGGAAAGCCTCAGCCCAATTCGGGCCCTCCAATTACTGAGGCATACGTAACAGATGTAAGTGCTTTTGGGCATTTGAAGTGTCATTCAAAAATAAAATTGTTTTACATTGTAAATGCTTCTCTTTACCAGGTGAACTGTTATTAATCCTTCATTTGTTTAGCATGTATGTATGTATGTATATATGTATATATTGTCTGACTGCTTTCTTAAACAACCAGAAAAGCAGGGAATCCTGTTATATCTCATCCTCCTTTCATCCAACTCCCCTACCCTCCCATGACAAAAGGCCACTCTGAATTTTTAAATCTTATTCTTTCATTTTTAAATAATATTTCTTATAATTTTACTTTTAAATTATTGGGTTTCCTTTTAGTTTTTCAACATATTACGAATAGCACACTATAGGAGAAGCCTCAGAAAGTAATCTTCTCTGAGCATAAGATGGAACTCATATGAAAACTTGTGTATCTTTATATTCTTTGATAGCCTGATATCAAAGAACATAAACAAATTAAAAATGAGGTAGCTAGATTGCCACACTTCAGCAGCCTCAGACATTAGCTGCACTGTATATAGCACATCCAGTGAGGGTTCAGTGGAAAAGACACAAGAAATGAACCCCAGGCATTGTACTCTGCTTTGAATAAGGAGAAAGAAGCATGTGTGATACCGTCATAAAAAATTTAATCTAACTGATGAAAATTTTACCGTTAGGATAAAACTTGCTTTTAGGAGCATATACTTTTGCTGAACATGTTGCTAAATAAAATAGGATATTGATTATATAGTAAGTTGTGTACTTGAGCAGAAATGTCAGAACTTAAAGATAAATGAAACCAGCATATCGGTATTTTAAACCAATATGGTTTCAAAATGGTTTAATATCTTTGCTTCATTTTTAATGTCTAAAAGGTGGTTGTTTGAAGACTGTACAGAGTTGAAATAAAAAGCCGTTAATTCAGACATAAAATAAAGGGGACATAATTTATAGGATAGGTGTATATTGATTTATGAGGATCTTTTAGGCCTTTGAGAATGGTAGAATGGTGGGGTTTTTATTTTTTTTATTTATTTTTGGAGCTGGAACCTCACTCTGTCACCCAGGCTGGAGTGTAGTAGTTCAATCATAGCTCACTGTAGTCTTGAACTCTTGGGCCCAGGTGAACTTCCCACCTCACTCAGCCCTACAAGCGGGTGTCACCATACCCAGCTTTTTTTTTTTTTTTTCCTTTTTAAAGTGGGGTGGTGCCATCACGACTCAGTGCAGCCTCTATCTCTTGGGCTCAAGTGATCCTCCCAGCATAGCTCCTGCTAATTTTTTATTTTTGTAGAGATGGGGTCTCAGTGTTTCCCAGGCTGGTCTTGAACTTTTGGCCTCAAGCAGTCTTCCCACCTCAGCCTCCCAAAGTGTTGGGATTATAGACATGAGCCACTGTGCATGCATGGCCAAGAATGCTTCCCCCTCCGCCCTCTCCCCTCCACTCTTTTTTTTTTGGAGACATGGTCTCTGTTGTCCAGGCTGGAGTGCAGTGGCACGATCTTGGCTCACTGCAGCCTTGACCTCCCAGGCTTAAGTGATCCTCCCACCTCAGCCTCTCAAGTAGTTGGTGGGACTACTGGTGTGAGCCACCACACCCAACTAATTTAGAAACAAATTTGGTAGAGATGAGGTGTTGTTATGTTGACATGGCTGGTCTCAAACTCCTGGACTCAAGAGAACCTTCCAGCTAATCCTCTCAAAGTGCTAGGATGATAGATGTGAGTCACTATGCCCAACCTCTAAGGATACTTTTAATGAAAACTATGGGTAGACTAAATAAAATCCTGTATGTATTGGTTGTTAAATATTATAGAAATATTTTTTAACATTTGCTCTGTTTTCTCCCCTATTTTATTAGAAATTTAGTACACAATTATTGGCCATTATAGTTAAGTGGGGGATTTTGTGTGTGTGTGTATTGGAAATAATATGATTTTTGAAGATATTATGTGGCAAGCATGAGAGTGCTTATCTTTCAAAAGAGACCATCAGTAGATAGAAACTTTAATAAGCTTAAAGTGACTTGTATGTTCAGTTTTGAAAGATTGATTCCCAAAAGCCCAAGAGCTAGCTTGTAGTATGTGTGGGCAGGCTATTCCCATGCTGTCAATACCATTACTGTCGTGGTGTATTTCATGATAAAGATTCTGAGCTTCAGCCATTTAGTGACATTGGGAGAAACGAAGTTGGGTATGTGGGAAATAGAGGATGGCAGCTTCCATTTCCTGTCATAGTAGCACTTTAGGATTTTTTAGCCAAGATCATGTTTACATATTGTAGTAAAGGCATCATTATTATTCAGCTACTGAGAACTAGAATATTAAGAGACTGCTGGCAAGGCAAGCAGTTAATTTTCAGTTGAAATTGCATTAAATAGAAAGTATTTTCTTGCTTTGTGGAAGCACGTGAATTTTTTTAAAAAGCTGCTGGTTTTCCCCATTTACAGGTTCTGTACAGAGTAATGAGATGTGTGACGGCTGCAAACCAGGTGTTTTTTTCTGAGGCTGTGTTGACAGCTGCTAATGAGCGTGTTGGTGTTTTGCTCGGCAGCTTGGATCCTAGCATGACTATACATTGTGACATGGTCATTACATATGGATTAGACCAACTGGAGAATTGCCAGACTTGTGGTACCGATTATATCATCTCAGTCTTGAATTTACTCACGCTGGTATGTGAATTATTCTTTTCCTTTTTAATGTGTTGGTTTATTCAGGCCCTTAAATGGATATGTAAGAAATTAAGGGCTTTGTCTGGGTATGGTGGCTCATGCTTGTAATCCCAGCGCTTTGGGAGGCCAAAGCAGAAGGGTTGCTTGCATCCAGGAATTCTGGCACAGCTTGGGCAATGTAGTGAGACCCCATCTGTACAAAAAGTCAAAAATTAGCTTGGTGTAGTGGTGTGCACCTGCAGTCCTAGCTACTCGGGAGGCTGATGGAGGAGGATCGATTAAGCCCAGGAACTTGAGGTTGAAGTGAGCTCTGATTGTGCCACTGCACTCAGCCAAGGTGACAAAAAAGGCCCTGTCTCCAAAAAAGAAAAAAAATAAGGGTTTTGCTTTATTATATAATTTTTTTAGAGTACATTCATCAGTCTTATAATCTGTGCTTTCATTTTAGTGTCTATTTACTTTTATTTTTAATGCAATTTTTTTTTTGAGACAGGGTCTCACTCCGTTGCACAGGATGAAGTGCAGTGGCATGATTTTGGCTCACTGTAGCCTTGACCTCTTGGGTTCAGGTGATCCTCCCACCTCAGCCCCCCAGGTAGCTAGGACTACAGGCGTGCACCACCACACCTGGCTAATTTTTTATATTATTTTGTAGAGATGGAGTTTTGCCATGTTGCCCAGGCTGGTCTTGAATTCTTGGGCTCAAGCAATCCACCTGCCTTGGCCTCCCAAAGTACTGGGATTATAGGCATGAGCCACTCTGCCAGGCCTCTATTTTTAGTGGTTGATAGCTAGTCTCAGTGTAGCTTTACTCGTTTTTTCTGAGGAAACATTGCTCTACGCACCAGATTCTTTTTTTCTTTTCTTTTCTTTCTTTTTTTTTTGGTCACAGGATCTTGCTGTATTCCCCTGGCTGGAGTGCAGCGGTACAATCAGAGCTCACTGCAGCCTCAAACTCCTGGGCTCAAGTGATCCTCCCACTCAGCCTCCCGACTATCTGGGACTACAGATGCATGCCACCATGCCTGGCTAACCTTTATATTTTTTGGAGAGAAGGGGTCTCGCTACATTGTCTAGGCTGGCCTTAAATTCTTGGTCTCAAGTAATCCTCCTGCCTTGCCCTCCCAAAGTGCTGGGATTACAGGTGTGAGCAATCATGCCTGGCCTCCTTTAATTTTTTTTTTTTTTTTTTTTTTTTTTTTTTTTGAGACGGAGTCTCGCTCTTTTGCCCAGGCTGGAGTGCAGTGGCACAATTGTATTTTTAGTAGAGACGGGGTTTCACCATGTTAGCCAGGATGGTCTCGATCTCCTGACCTCGTGATCTGCCTGCCTTGGCCTCCCAAAGTGCTGGGATTACAGGCGTGAGCCACCGCGCCCGGCCGGCCTCCTTTAATTTCTTAACCATAAATATCCTCCCCCCACTTTTATTATGGACGTTCTGAAGCACATAAAAATAGGGAGCATAGTATAATAAATTTGTACATATTTAACACTCAGCTTCTATAATTAGAAACAAATGGCCCATCTGGTTTCATCTAGGCCTCTTTGCTATCCTTTCATCTCCAACTGGATTATTTTAAAGCAAATTCTAGATGACATTCTGCTGAGCATTTCTGCCAGAATTACACCTCTCTTTGCTAATGTGAAAAAATGCCCATGATAACTGTAAAATACGTGTGTCCTATTTAGGTGTCTAAACACTTTAATGTCACAGTATTAAGGCCTTAAAATATAGCTTAGATATATTTTTCTAAATTAAAAGACTTCATTTTTTAGATATACAGAAAATTGAGCAGAAAACAGTGAGTTCCCATATACCTTCTTCATCCCAACAGTTTCCCCCTCATTAACATATTGTGTTAGTGTGGTACATTTATTACAAAGGAGTGAATATTGATATATTATTATTAACTAATTTTATAGTTTACTTTGTGTTATGTATTCTATGGACTTTAACATGTGTAATGACATGTTTCCCCTATTACCAGTATCATACAGGATAGTTTCACTTCCCTAAAAATCTTTTATGTTCTACCCACTCCTTCCTCGTTCCCTCTCCCCACTCCTCCCTCCCCCCATCTTAAGCCCATGGCAACCCCTGATCTTTTTACTGTCTCCATCGTTTTGCCTTTTCCAGAATGCCATGTAGTTGGAGTCATATAGTATGTAGCCTTTTCAGTTGGCTTCTTTCACTTACCAGTGTGCCTTGAAGGTTTCTCCATGTCTTTTTGTAATTTGAGAAGCTCATTTTTTAAAAATTTTATTCTTTTAGATTGTTGAACAGATAAATACGAAACTGCCATCATCATTTGTAGAAAAACTGTTTATACCATCATCTAAACTACTATTCTTGCGTTATCATAAAGAAAAAGAGGTAAGTAATACACTGATAATGAATTTTGACAACTTGAGTCACTGAAGAGTTGGACCTAATGTTGCTTACCCCAGGCTATATAAGTGAAATTGAGTGAAATGTGAAATGTTTGATTTAGAATATAGTGATTGTATTTGTTCTTTTAAATTTATATTTCTTGATAATCATACTGAATACTTTCATGAATGGTGTGCCAGATACTCTTTTCAGACTATGCATCTTTTGCTGTTATTAAATTTATTAAATTTTCATAAGGGTAAAACAAGTTGACACATTTATAAAGTTATAAATTAAGAAGTACTGTATATTTGGTAAACAAAAATGACTGGCTTTTCAACCACCCCCTAGTCAAATCCACCACAGACTTTCCTGGTAGATTTAAGAAACCCAGTCTTAAACTGCTGTTTGCATATGTCTTTTGATGTTGATTATTAAAAAAAAAAAACAAAAACGGCCATTTTGGAAATTTCCTATTGACAGTTTTCATTTATAGTACTCTTTATTTGTGATAAAACTTAATAGATTTGAAATAGCATACTGATCTGTGTCAGTTTTCTGATTGGTTTTTAAAAAATTAAAATATTAAATGCTACAGACAGTGAATTGATCGATCTTAAATTTATTTGTATCATCAGCACTAATACAGATAGTGATTTATTTTCCATATAATTTTAGAAGATTTATTTTCCATTTATCACTTCCTTGAATTTTTTGTTTTTCAGGTTGTTGCTGTAGCCCGTGCTGTTTATCAAGCAGTGCTCAGCTTGAAGAATATTCCTGTTTTGGAGACTGCCTATAAGTTAATATTGGGAGAAATGACTTGTGCCCTAAACAACCTCCTGCACAGTCTGCAGCTTCCTGAGTCCTGTTCTGAAATAAAACATGAGGCTTTTAAGAATCATGTGTTCAATGTAGACAATGCAAAATTTGTAGTTAAATTTGACCTCAGTGCCCTGACTACAATTGGAAATGCCAAAAACTCACTAATAGGGGTGAGTCTTTAATTGTAATGACTTTGTTTTATCCACATTACATATTTATGTATTTCACTGTTATGTCAACATGTCTGCAGAATCACTGTATGTAACAAACAGCCATATTTAAGACATGCCTGGATAAATAAAATTGGTAGGAATGTTTTCTTGCCATTATATTTAACTTTTCTTCTTTTTCCTTGACAAATCTTGATAAGTTTTTTTATATTAGTTTTATTTTCTAGAAAATGTCTTATGAATTTCTCCTATTTGCTCTAGCATGCTTACAGAAAATGTCAGTGTTTCTTACAGCTCAAATTTGTATAGTTGTTTTAAAATGCGGTCTCTTTCTTCTTCCCCTGGTACTTTTTTCTTTCTGTGTACTGAAGTTAGTTCTTATACATGGTCTTATATTTTGGCTGTCTCTTTTTCCCTAGGAACATTCATACAGGTTGAATATTCCTTATCTGAAATACTTGGGACTGGAAGTGTTTTCGATTTTGGATTTTGGAATACTTTTTTTTTTTTTTTGGAGATAGTGTTTTTACTCTTGTTGCCCAGGCTGGAGTGCAATGGCGCGATCTTGGCTCGCTGCAACCTCCGCCTCCCGGGTACAAGCGATTCTCCTGTTTCAGCCTCCCAGGTAGCTCGGATTACAGGCATGCACCACCACCCCTGGCTAATTTTTTTGTATTTAGTAGAGATGGGTTTTCACCATGTTAGCCAGGCTGGTTGTGAACTCCTGACCTCAGGTGATCCACCTGCCTTGGCCTCCCAAAATGCTGGGATTACAGGTGGGCACCACCATGCCCAGCCGGAGTTTGGAATATTTTCATAACACTTACTGGTGAGCATCCCTAATCTGAAAATCCTAAATCTAAAATGCTCCAAAATTTGAAACTTTTTGAGCACCAGTATGATGCCCCAAGTGGAAAATCCCACACCCGACCTCATGTGATGAGTCCAAACTGTTGTATGCCCAAAATTATTTAAAATATTGCATAAAATGACCTTCAGGCTATGAATAGAAGGTGTCTATGAAACATAAGTGAATTTCGTCTTTAGACTTGGGTCCCATCCCCCACATATCTCATTTTATATATATGCAAGTATTCTCAAATCCAAACATATACAAAGTCTGAAACACTTCTGGTCCCAAGCATTTTGAATAAGGGATACTGAACCTGTAGTCTTCCTTTTGGTGGTGGTGGGGGGACTTTTTTTTTTTTTTTTTTTTTTTTTTTTGGGGGAGACAGAGTCATGCTGTTGTCAACTGGGCTGGAGTGCAGTGGTGCAATCTCGGCTCACTGCCACCTCTGCCTCCCGGGTTCCAGCAATTCTCCTGCCTCAGCCTCCCGAGTAGCTAAGATTACAGACACTTGCCACTACGACGGGCTAATTTTTGTATTTTTAGTAGAGACTTGGTTTCACCATGTTGGTCAGGCTGGTCTCAAACTCCTGACCTCAGGTGATCCACCTGCCTCAGCCTCCCAAAGTGCTGGAATTACAGGCATGAGCCACCGCGCCCAGCCCGTGTGGTTTTTTTTTTTTTAAGTAATTCGACATGGCCCTGCTCTTGATTTGTATTTATTGTTTATGGTTTGTGTATTTCTTCTTCCTATTGGACCACACAGAGTTGAAAAACATCATTTTTAATAGAAAATAATAGGTGTAGGCTGGGCACGGTTGCTGACACCTGTAAACCCAGCACTCTGGGAGGCCAAGTCAGGCTGATCACCTGTGGTCAGGAGTTTGAGACCAGCCTGGCCAACATGGTGAAAGCTCGCCTCTACTAAAAATAGAAAAATTAGCCAGGGGTGGTGGTGCACACCTGTAATCCTAGCTACTTTGGAGGGTGAGGTAGGAGAATTGCTTGAACCCAGGAAGTGGAGGTTGCAGTGAGCTGAGATCACACCACCGCACTCCAGCCTGGGCTACAGAGCCAGACTCTGTCTCAAAAGAAAAAAAAAAAAAAGAAAGAAACAAAGAAAGAAATGGATGTAATTAGGGAATAAAGTTTTTAGGAGGAAGAAGGTAAAATTTGATGTTTGCGCTTCAATGTGCTCCGTGTTGTTTGATTGGATTGCCTTGTATAATTCCATAGCTGCTTCGCTTATTACCAGTTACAGTTTATGTTTGAAGTCACAATAAACTCTTCTTCAAACATGAAAGCTTGATTTTTGAGGAAAATTATTCACATTATTTACAGATTCAAAGATGTTTATGTCCTGTACTCTAGAAATAAGGAGAAAGTGGGTGGGGATGGGGCAGTCAGGTGGAGTGGAGTGTCTTGGCAGTGTAAAGGAAAAAGATGGATGGAAAAGGTGTAGGGTGGCAGGGTGTGCCTCTGTTTCCTTATTGAACAGGGCACCTTGCCATTTGCAGTATATGGAAAATTGAGGAAATACAGTCTACTTCCGCAAAAGGCACATACAAAGGGCTCTGTTTAGACCAGAGATCAGCAAACTATGGTCTGTGGGCCAAATACAGCCCAGCACCTGTTTTTTGTCTGTTATTTTAAGTGTATAATTCACTGATTTTTACTATATTCACAGAAGTGTACAACCATCACAACACTAGTGCCTGTTTTTGTAAAGAAAGTTCTTGTTGGGCTGGGCGCAGTGGTTCACGCCTGTAATCCCTCGGGAGACTGAGACAGGCAGATCACCCAAGCTCAGGAGTTCAAGACCAGCCTGGCCAACATGGTGAAACCCTATCTCTACTAAAAAAATACAAAAGTTAGCAGGGCATGGTGATGGGCACCTGTAATCTCAGCTACTTGGGAGACTGAGGCAGGGAGAATTGCTTGAACCCCGGAGGTAGAGGTTGCAGTGAGCTGAGATCGCCCCATTGCACTCCAGCCTGGGCGACAGAGCGAGAGACTCCGACTCAAGAAAGTTTTCTTGGAACACAGGTACTCTCATTCCTGTGTTTTGTGTGTGGCTGGTGTTTTGTTTTGAGAGAGAGAGTCTTAACTTTGTCATCTAGGCTGGAGTGCATTGGTATGATCTCGGGTCACTGCAACCTCTGCCTCCCAGGTTCAAGCGATTCTCCTGCCTCAGCCTCCCGAGTAGCTGGGATTACAAGTGTGCGCCACCATGCCCAGCTACTTTTTGTAATTTTAGTAGAGATGGGGTCCCGCTGTGTTGCCCAGGCTGGTTTCAAACTCCTGGGCTCAAGTGATCTGCCCACCTTAGCCTCCCAAAGTGCTAGGATTACAGGTGTGAGCCACAACACCTGACCTGTGGCTGTTTTCTTACTGTAGCGATAGACGAGGAGTTGCTGCATTGCATAGAGATGCTATATTGCACGCAAAGGCTTTACTGACTTCACAAAAAAGTATTTGTCCCAGGTGTAGTGTACTAGATCCCTTCCAATCTGTAATTTTAATTTAAAAATGTCCAAATACCCCTGTTTTGAAGGATAAACTCTGTATGCTTGTGCTTATTTTGGAGAAGCCATAAACTTACTTTGTTTTGTACATGATCAGATGTGGGCGCTATCTCCAACTGTCTTTGCACTTCTGAGTAAGAATCTGATGATTGTGCACAGTGACCTGGCTGTTCACTTCCCTGCCATTCAGTATGCTGTGCTCTACACATTGTATCCTCATTGTACCAGGTACTGTATTCACAAATTTTTCTTAAGAAAAGAACCCCACAAAACATTTTATTTTTTTAATGGATAGATTTTGAAGATGTATGTTGATTTAACTTTGGACTTGCTTGCTTTCTTTGATTAAAGATGAAAAGATAATCTATGCTTTGTCTTTCAGGCATGATCACTTTATCTTTAGTAGCCTCAGTTCTTCCTCTCCTTCTTTGTTTGATGGAGCTGTGATTGGCACTGTAACTATGGCCACAAAGAAACATTTCTCAATTATATTAAATCTTCTGGGAATGTTACTTAAGAAAGATAACCAGGACACGAGGTAACAGATATTATATAGTATTAACCATTCCTAACTTTGTTAATTTGCCTTTATAATTTGAGAAGAAGAAATGTGGATTACAAAAAATTTAAAAAAATGTGGATTATAGAGGTGAGGTAGAGCAGCTTCTTTATTGTCAAACACCTTATAATTTGGTTTTATTATTTAATCTAGGCTTTCTTATTCTTTCTGAAAAGAAATACATGAAAAACCTCAATCCCCCACGCCCAGTGTTTCATAGAAGAATATATATAGATTTTTAATATTCTTTGCTTTTTTTTTTTTTAAGACGGAGTTTTGCTCACTGTAACCTCTGCCTCCCAGGTTCAAGCAATTCTCCTGCCTCAGCCTCCCAAGTAGCCGCGATTACAGGTGCCCGCCACCACACCTGGCTAATTTTTGTATTTTTTTTTTGTATATATGTTAAGGTTTAATACCCAAAGTATATAAAAAACTTCTACAATTCAACAACAAAAAGACAAAACATTTTAAAACAAAATGGTTGTAAACAAACAACAAAAAGACAACCATTTTTGTCCATCTTACAATGGACAAAAGGCTTGAATAAACATTTCTCCAAAGAAGATAAACAAATGGCCAATAAGCACTTGAAAAGATGTCAACATCATTAGTCAATGGAGACATACAAATTAAAACTCCAAGCTATCACTTCACACTTACTATGATGACTATTATTAAAAAATGGAAAATAACAAGTGTTGTTGAGGATATGGGGAAATTGAAATCTTTATAAGTTAGCAATAGGAATGTGAAATGGTGCAGCTGATGTGGAAAACAGTTTGGCAGTTCCTCAATAATTTTTGTATTTTTAGTAGAGATGGTGTTTCACCATGTTGTTGGCCAGGCTGGTCTTGAACTCCTGACCTCAGGTAAGCCACCACGCCCGGCCTCTTTGCTATTATCATGCTGCGTTGGGAGGTTTTCTTAAAAGGCACACAACAATTTTGACAGTAATTTCTATAGTTTCATTTTTTATTTTTATTTTTTATTGTTTGAGATGTTTGAAAAACCAAGAGAAAACCAATGTAAGAAGACTAGGCTTTTAACTTTTTTTTGTTTTTGTTGTTGTTTTTTTTTTAATGTACAGTCAACTGTATATTTTGTGTTTCAGGAAACTGTTAATGACTTGGGCTTTGGAAGTAGCTGTTGTAATGAAGAAGTCCGAAACATATGCACCTTTATTCTGTCTTCCGTCTTTCCATAAATTTTGCAAAGGCCTTTTAGCCGACAGTAAGACTCTGGTTTTTTTTTTCTATTTTGTTTATCAGTCCTTAAAAGGGTCTTTGGTAATGGGAGATGGTCATGAATCGAGCTCTTTTCCTGACCTGAAGATGTGTAATCCTCATTTTAATGACAGATACACAGTCTTGATTTTTTTTCATTCTTAGTATTAGAAAAATGTTTTGAAGTGATTGTCACATTTTTAAGCTAACGTGAATGTTTATAGTTTACATATACTTTTACATTTTCTCTCAGAAAAAGTTTTGTGTGATGACCCATCAGTTACATTACGTGGGTTTTGTTGAATGTGTCATTTTTCCAAATGTGACAGTCAATGAGGATTCTGGACAAGAACAGTGCCTAGTCTATAGTAGGCACTCACTCTTTGTTGAATGAATGAATGGATTCAGATAATTATGACAAACTGGGATATAATTTCTTTTGGCCAGCTGAAAGTAACTGTCTTTTAATGTTTAATAGCTCTCGTTGAAGATGTGAATATCTGTCTGCAGGCATGCAGCAGTCTACATGCTCTATCCTCTTCCTTGCCAGATGATCTTTTACAGAGGTATGAAATTAAGATCGTGTCTTTTGACATTAACCCTAATAACCTGGAACTGTTAACACACCTGCTTTGTCTATTTCGTTCTTTCATAGATGTGTTGATGTTTGCCGTGTCCAACTAGTGCACCGTGGAACTTGTATTCGACAAGCATTTGGAAAACTGTTGAAATCAATTCCTTTAGGTGTTTTCCTAAGGTATAACAGTTGTTTTGAAGCAAAGACATTCTGTGATATTTACAGCCTCTACTGGTTGTCTACTTTAGGAGAAGACAGATCACCTATTAGAGCATTAATGACACATCTTTTATGGCCCTGCTTGTCAGTGATTGAAGTGATGTCAAATAACCAAATTTTGCAGGTCTGCAAGAAAATTAAAAATTTTTAATGAGCTTTATAGGCTCACAATAATTAGTATAGAATAACTCATGTAGTGCCAAAATATGTTTCTTAGTAGCTCAGATATTTGAAAAACTAAACAGTAATCTTTTATTGTTTTTGATCAAGTTGATTTGGGAGCTTTTAAGAGCCTAAACTTGATCCTTTTGTAATAGATAAGCATAATGATTGGGTTTTTATGTTCACATGTTTGATATGCCTCCCTCAAATCCTCTTATGATGTCGGCACATGACCCATCTGAGGTGAATAAAAAAAGGATCTAAAGTTGTAATCACATCTCTGTATCCATTTGAAAGTCTCAATTTTACTATATTTTTACCTCCAGTGAGTTAATAAGTAAATAATCCACTTACAGTATGTGCTAACCTTTTAAGCTAAAATATTTTGCATAACAACAACTTTATTTTCTGTCTACAGCGATAACAATCACACAGAAATTCAAGAAATTTCTTTAGCATTAAGAAGTCACATGAGTAAAGCACCAAGTAATACATTCCACCCCCAAGATTTCTCTGATGTTATTAGTTTTATTTTGTATGGGAACTCTCATAGAACAGGGTAAGACATTTCTTTGACTATTTTATCTGGGAAAGAAAATTTTAAGATTCCCTTGACTTTACATGCAGTTTTGAAGAGAAAATATGTTTGGGGGTGGCAGAGTATCAAGTAACATTCTTCTCATATGGGTTATTTCAGTTTTCATCAATAGGAAAATTGCTTTGAAGATAGCATCTGTAGAAACAAAAATGGGCTTTGAAATTGAGTAATGAAATGTGGTTAACAGTTAACTGATGTGATGTCATTAACACTTTGGGGAGTGGGGTGGGGGTGGAGATATTCTAGAGATGCTTAGTTGCATTGAATGAGTTTCATTCCTGACTGGCATGAGCCGTTTACCCTAATCATCCTTCCACACTGTACCTCATCCTGTTAACTATACAAGACCTCAAAATGAGAGGGGGGGACATAATGCTTCTCAATTTCATAGGTTTTGCCTTTTTTTGGAGTAGGGAAAATTACAGTTCCTTATTCCCATTCCCCTTGCATTTTTTTTTCATTATTAAAATGAAGTTGTCATTGTCTTTTAAATATGAAACTACTTTTCCCAGGAAGGACAATTGGTTGGAAAGACTGTTCTATAGCTGCCAGAGACTGGATAAGCGTGACCAGTCAACAATTCCACGCAATCTCCTGAAGACAGATGCTATCCTTTGGCAGTGGGCCATATGGGAAGCTGCACAATTCACTGTTCTTTCTAAGCTGAGAACCCCACTGGGCAGAGCTCAAGACACCTTCCAGACAATTGAAGGTAACTCGCTCAAGCTTTATGATGTGAATACTTTCAAAGCCTTATTGAGAAATAATGGATTTTTAAATCTTTGTTAAAGATTTGAGGGTATATGATTTTTTTTGAAAAAAGTCAATAATTTTCAGGTTTGTTTGTTAGAATAAGCTTTCATTGAATAATTGCATTGGAAATATGTTTGTTTTTTTTCCAAAACTTATGGGAGTTGTGTGGAAAAAATATATATTTTTTTCCCCTAAAATGAAAGATCTTTCATGTTGGGATTTTTTATTTTTAAATGATGGGTAGACAGAGGATACTTGATAAATGTGAATTGGTCATAAAAAACTCACACTTATTCTAGGAACTTTTAAGATTTTTAAAAATTCAGAATGTTGTCTTTGCTTTCAGGTATCATTCGAAGTCTCGCAGGTCACACATTAAACCCTGATCAGGATGTTAGTCAGTGGACAACTGCAGACAGTGATGAAGGCCATGGTAACAACCAACTTAGACTTGTTCTTCTTCTGCAGTATCTGGAAAATCTGGAGAAATTAATGTATAATGCATACGAGGGATGTGCTAATGCCTTAACTTCACCTCCCAAGGTTGGTTTCCGGGAGATAGTGTTGTTTTATAGCAGTTTAATGGTCACAGCTGGCAGTATGTGCAGAGCTGAAATCACAATAGACTTGTGTATTTGGTTTATATATAGGTGAGACATCCTTACCTACAAATTGAACCAGTCCTGAGCTTTTCTTTCTCTTATCGTAAAGGTCATTAGAACTTTTTTGTATACCAATCGCCAAACTTGTCAGGACTGGCTAACGCGGATTCGACTCTCCATCATGAGGGTAGGATTGTTGGCAGGCCAGCCTGCAGTGACAGTGAGACATGGCTTTGACTTGCTTACAGAGATGAAAACAACCAGCCTATCTCAGGTAAAGTGGTGTGTTTGAAATTCATTTTAAGTCTGTTAATAAGAAAAACATGGTTTAATTCCTTTGGTATGATTTAATCTATGGATAAAATAAGTTAAAGCTTGGATTCATTTTCAAAGGTTTTGATCCTGTATTTTGTAAAAGCAACAACTGCCAGAGTTACCTATTTTATTCGTGTTAAAACAGTGTTAGAAGTCAAAATAATGTTCATGTTTTTGTTCATGTTAAAACAATATTCATGTTAGAACACGTTAAAACTCTATTTCTTCCGTGCAAAGTTTAGAACTTTAAAGGTAATTCTGAAAATTTGTTTATGGGGGAAAATTTTTATTTATTTATT
Source organism: Homo sapiens (assembly GCF_000001405.40). Lineage (NCBI taxonomy): Eukaryota > Metazoa > Chordata > Mammalia > Primates > Hominidae > Homo > Homo sapiens. Next base: position 22,483,901 of record NC_000016.10, read on the forward strand.
TATTTTTTTGAGACACAGTTTCACTCTGTCGCCCAGGCTGGAGTGCAGTTGTGCGATCTCGGCTCACTGTAAGCTCCGCCTCTCGGGTTCAAGCCTCTTCTTGCCTCAGTCCCTGGGATTACAGGCACCCACCACCATACCCGGCTAAGTTTTGTATTTTTAGTAGAGACAGGGTTTCACCATGTTGGCCAGGCTGGTCTCGAACTCCTGACCACAAGTGATCCGCCCACCTCGGCCTTCCAAAGTGCTGGGATTACAGGCATGAGCCACTGCACCTGGCCAGGAGAAATTGTTTTTATAACGTATGACAAATGCTTGAGTAATTCCTGGCTTGAAAGTGGGCTCACAATAAATAACTGGAATCCAAAAATAACAAAATGTTTAGCAATTCAGGTAATGTCAAGCAGTATTCAAACACATGAAGTTAATCATTCCTTAATTCCTGTTTATTTATATTTCATTTTTGCTTTCTTTTTACTCCATGTGTTATTCCTACAGAGGTCACAGGTTAAATGTTTTTGGGTAACTTTGGGGTGGGGGTACAAACATCCATGTGCTGCTAAGGTTCTGTTAGTCACCCTTTGTGGCTATTTTATATGTAACATTTTAAAGAATTCTGAGCTAAATAATGTGAAAATTGTGACAATAATTGTTAAATACATTTGGCTTTAAGCAGGCACAGACTGTGATCAGTTGTAAATTTTATAGGGATTTATGTTTTAATGGTATTGGGTGACTAACTTTTCTGAATGCGTTTTCAGGGGAATGAATTGGAAGTAAGCATTATGATGGTGGTAGAAGCACTATGTGAACTTCATTGTCCTGAAGCTATACAGGGAATTGCTGTCTGGTCATCATCTATTGTTGGAAAACATCTTCTGTGGATTAACTCAGTGGCTCAACAGGCTGAAGGGAGGTAGGTTGGAGGGAAGGAAATGGGTGATAGAATTACTTTATGTTTAAGTTCTTTGTATTACTCACTGACATTGTAGCCAAATCTTAAAACAGCTTTGTTTGCTTTCAGCATTGAAGCTTGCTATAAATCCCTTCACCAGGAGGCATCTTCAGTTTGTTCTTCAGTTAGCAGCAATACTGGAGTGCCTTTCTTATTTAAGAATTAGTGGCAAATCACACTGTAAAACAAGACCTGTCAGTTGTTTTATAAATGCTTTTGAACTTGATCCCTAGTTGAGCTCCTTCCCCCTCAGAGTCTGATACAAATTACCCTTTATTGTCAGAGTATTTGCTCGTTAGTCCTGTGAACTCTACATTCAGACTCATTGCTTCCTCCGGGTAGAGGAGCTTGTACCATAATATTCTGTGTCCATTTATGTTAGTTTAATGAAATCTTGCGAACTTAGGAAAATAAAAGAACTGCTCATACTTCCATATCTTTGTAGTAACTTCTGTTGTGTGTCCTTTTGTAGTCCCATATTTCCATATCCATACGCTTTGTAATTCTTTTTTCTTTCATGTCGTTTTCTCCATTCTTCACCAAAACATCAGCGTACATAGGCACATGGTTTTATGATCTGTTTTTCCCACTCAATATTTAAAAAAACAAAATTTGCCATGTTAGGTAGGCTGGGTTCGGTGGCTTACATCTGTATTCCCAGCACTTTGGGAGGCCGAGGCAGGCGGATCACCTGAGGTCAGGAGTTCAAGACCAGCCTGGCCAACATGGTGAAACCCCGTCTCTACTAAAAATACAAGAAAATTAGCCGGGCATGGTGGCGAGTGCCTGTAATCCCAGCTACTCAGGAGGCTGAGGCAGGAGAATCGCTTGTACACGGGAGGCAGAGGTTGCACTGAGCTGAGACAGTGCCATTGCACTCCAGCCTGGGCAAGAAGAGCAAAACTTCATCTCAAAAAAAAAAAGTAAGTAGTTAGATAAATAAAGAAATAAGACTGCTTCAATTTGCTTTTCAGGTTTGAAAAGGCCTCTGTGGAGTACCAGGAACACCTGTGTGCCATGACAGGTGTTGATTGCTGCATCTCCAGCTTTGACAAATCGGTGCTCACCTTAGCCAGTGCTGGGTGTAAGAGTGCCAGCCTGAAACATTGTCTGAATGGTGAGCGTTCAGCATTTTTAAATAAAGCAAAAGTTATAGTAATATATTTCGTACTGATGATCTTATCATGTTTTTAGGTTTCTGTGCTCTTTGAAATATTTCTAATTGATCTGAATCTCTCTCTTCTTATTTTATAAAATACTTTCAGGTGAATCCAGAAAAAGTGTGCTGTCCAAACCGACTGACTCTTCCCCTGAGGTTATAAATTATTTAGGAAACAAAGCATGTGAGTGCTACATCTCAACTGCCGATTGGGCTGCTGTGCAGGAATGGCAGAACGCTATCCATGACTTGAAAAAGAGTACCAGTAGCACTTCCCTCAACCTGAAAGCTGACTTCAACTATATAAAGTAAGGCTTTCTGTTTCCAGTTATAAAACAAATTTCCAATAACTATGATGTTTTTCCTATGGCAAAAAAAATATTAAAATTGGTCATATGCAGTAATACTCAAAATGGTTATATTTCTAACTTACTGCCATTATGAAAATGACAACAGGAAACTGACATCAGAGATGAGGGAAGGTATTTGTATAATGGGAAAACACTGCTGAGATAGTCATTTGGTATTAATTTTCAGAACCTGTCGTTCTAAAACCTTAATACAGTTTGAAGATTATGCCAGAGTGAATATAAAGAAAAATTTGTACTGCTTTAGAAAGAATCACATTTGATGGCTTTGTTTCGAAATGAGGTCTGAATATATCAAAAACATTTATTCTAATGAGGACAGAGTTTGTGAACATCTGTAAATTAAACTTTCTTCTCATTCCTCTGTGCTTTTATTAATTCTGTAATTCAAAACTGAGCACTCACTCTGTTGCAGACACTTGGCTGGGAAGATAAAGGTCATTAGACTTTGTCTGATACCCTTGCCTTCTACTGCTAAATGGGTTAATGTGTAATTGCTTCACTGAGCATGTGCTGTGACCCAGGCAGCACATAAAACAGACACAAATTCCAACCTTTTAAAGCAAAGATTAGATAAAGATTATTGATAGAAGGACTAATTGGACCTCACTCACCTTTTCTGTGCCATAAGGAAAGCAGTTAGGTAAAGCTGACCTTCTTTGGAGGGAAGACACAAGGTCAAGACATGCCCATCAGGATGCCCTTTGGGCCTAGACCTGATGTGAGAATGATGGGCTTGGAGTGTTCTGGAAATAGCTGGGAGGCCTGTGTGTTTAGGAGCGCCTTAAACAGTAGGATATAAGGGCAGAGAAGTAGCTGGGAACTGAGAAAAGAACTTTGGCTGTTATTCTAGTAAGACTGAAAATTTCAGGTGGGATTTGAACAGAGTTGTGTTGTGATCTGACTTGGTTCATTCTGCTGTGGTGAAGAGACTGGAGGTGCGGGGCAAGTATGGAAGCATGGAGACCATTAATTTATGGGGGCAATGGTAGAGGGAAGAGAAACAATGCTATTAACTGGAGTAGGAGCACACAGAGAACAAGCCATGTTTTAAGATTTCTAATGAAATGTGCAGATGAGATTGTTGGGTAAGCTGTTAAGAATTGGATTTTGAACTAAGGAGACAGTCTAAGCTTGAGAGATTTGCAGATGATTAGTACACAGAAAAGGCCCTCTTTCCTTTTCAGTCTCTATACTCTAGAGCCTTTGTAAGCAACCAAACCAGAGAGAAGCCTCTGGAGAATAGTGAGTGAAGAGGAAGGAAGGCCTGGGTCAGAATCCTAGTTTAGCATTTTTGTGAAAGGATAGAAGAGGAAGCCATTCAAAAAAATACAGGGACATTGAGAAGGGAAGTGCCCTAGATATAGGACATCCAGATGGGAGTAGTCAGCCTTGTCAGATGCTCTAGGGATTATAAGGAAAAAGAGTTTTGTAGAGAGACAGAAGAAGCTAGATTGAATAGTATTGAGTGGTAGAGACATTTGAAAATGAAAAGCTTGAGGTAAGTTATTTGGTCAGTGAGTTTTTCTTGAAGTCGAGGATAGGAAGCTGTTGCTGGAGGGAAATATGAGATGTTTATTTTAAATGTTGGAGAGATTATGTTCTTTTGGCCAAGGGGAAGGAGCCACTAGAAAGCAGAGGTTGAAGAAACAGGAGAAAGAACATTGATAGATTAACTGGCCCTCACCTTTTCTCTGCCTCAAGGAAAGCAGTCAAAGTTGGTATAGACAGAATTTCGGCAGTGTATGGTGGATTGGGGGTAGGGGTAGAGGAAATTAAAGCCTGTGTTTTTTTGTTTATTTGTTTGTTTTTTCTGAGGACTGAGTCATTAGCTGAAAGCATAGGGCATTATAGAGCATAGTGGGGACTTGGGGAACCTGCCACTGGAGAGGACTTAGGACCTTTTAATGGCAGAAATGATGACTGTGTTGGCAGCAGTTCATCAGTGCCCAGTACTCAAGGGTCCCCCTGAGAAGCCAGTGGTTGCACTGATCTAGGTAGAATCAGGCACAGAATAAGTCAGGTGATGTGCCTTTCTAGCACTGGCCTCAGGCTGAGTTATAAGGGAAGTTACACAGCGAGAGGGACAGGCAAAGATGGAAAAGAGAGAGAGTGAGAAACAGTGTCTTCTTCCTGGCTGGAGAGCCCGTGTCATGAAAATGGGGACAGGGTAAGGGATCTGAAAGGAGCAGCATAGAAGCTGGGAGGATGAGGCCTGTCTTCCTGGCATTGATGCTGCAGAACTACAGGAAAGAATTTCAGAGGTGTCATTATTTTTCATATAAGCAGATGAAAGAGAAGAATTCTTTGAAAAAAGAAAAGTAGGTGAAAAAGGGAGAGACGGAGGGATGCCAGCAGTGAAAGAAGCCAGGACTGAGATACAAGATTGTGATGCTGGGAGAGCTGTGCAAGGGCTCATGCTGTAGGTGAGGAGTGAGGCTGCACAGGGAGCTCACTGGCAGCTTGGAGAGAACTGGGTGTCAAAGTTGTCCTGCAGAGGTCTACTGTCAGTGTGTCAGGCTCTGAAGAGAACAGGCTGCAACACATGAAAACAGGAAGGAGACACAGGGGCGAGTCAGCTCCACTGAAAGTCTGTAGCTGTGACTTTCTGGTTTGCCACTCCAATTTGAGTACTAATTAAGTGGTAGTCACATCTTCAACATAAAAACCAAAATAATGGCATCCTCGTGGAAGGAATTTTGTCAGAAAAGTGCTGTGTACTTTGCTGTCTTCCTAGGATTTGTTCTGTTTTTGTTTGTTTGTTTTTTTTAATGGTTCCACAGGCTGCATAGGAATACAAGCTAACCAATATTTTAATTACAGATCATTAAGCAGCTTTGAGTCTGGAAAATTTGTCGAATGTACCGAGCAATTAGAATTGTTACCAGGAGAAAATATCAATCTACTTGCTGGAGGATCAAAAGAAAAAATAGGTAGGTATTTGAGAAAATAGTTTTAAAGTTATTTTAGTGGACAAGTTGCTCAAAATGTTTGGCTTAGTATATTTTACTGGAAAATCTGGAAGTTATTTTACATTTTTGTGGGGGCAGAATCCCATGTGAAGCAACAAATTTAGGGCTGCCCTATTTATGTTTGATTTGGGAAATGAAAAGCACTTAAAATTAAGTCAAATAAAAAAAATGACCACCTTAATACTTTGAGATTTATCTAGCCATTTTGTTTGATAAAGGACAAAGTAGTGTTTCAGCTAAATATTTTTCTTGATTTTCATCTTGATGTGGCTCGTTAATTAAGTTCTTTATCACAAATGGAACACTTGATAAGATGTTATTAAAAAGTTTAATGAGTATTCTGGATTGAGCAAGATTTGCTAATGCAGGTCTAGATTTGTCCCCTTAAATAGTAGATTGACTTACCGATTTTCTTTTTTGTTGAGACAGAGTCTCACTCTGTTGCCCAGGCTGGAGTGCAGTGGCGCGATTTCGGCTCACTGCAACCTCCGCCGCCCTCTGAGTTCAAGCGATTCTCCTGCCTCAGCCTCCTGAGTAGCTGGGATTACAGGTGTCTGCCACCGTGCCCAGCTAATTTTTTGTATTTTTAGTAGAGACGGGGTTTCATCATCGTGGCCAGGCTGGTCTTGAACTCCTGACTTCGTGATCCACCCACCTTGGCCTCCCAAAGTGCCGGGATTACAGGCGTGAGCCACCACGCCTGACCTCGACTTACTGATTTTTGAGCCTTTGAAGGCAACTGCTTTTTAGGGGTCTGAGGTACAGTAATTTTGTATGAAGTATGATTTTTATATAGCTCTCAGTAATGCTTATAGTGTTTAACTGCCTGAAATATTAAAGGAGCTGTTCATTGGTGATTAGTTTTTAATAATGCCAAACATAAATCAAAATTTATAATAAAAGCACATTAACTTAATGACATTTCATTTAACTTCTGTAGACATGAAAAAACTGCTTCGTAACATGTGAAGTCCAGATCCAAGGGAACCTCAGAAATCCATTGAAGTTCCATTGTTAAGAAGTTCTGTTTGTTTGGCAACTGCTTTAAACCCGATAGAACAAGATCAGAAGTGGCAGTCTATAACTGAGTAAGTTTACTCTTACGGAGGTAAATGTACATTGTGTATATCATGTGATAAACATACATGGGGTGAAGAGGGCTGGAAGGAGAGTTACTAGATTACTAAATACTAGTGCTAATAGCTTCATTTTAGTTGTAGAAGTCATATGATATATGAATGCTGCTTGCCAACAAAAACTGAGGTTGAAATGAAATAAAATGTAAAAATCCCCAAAAGCAAATGTCTTGACTTGCTGATACCATTTTATTATAGAGCAGGCTGCTCCTCTTACTGCCCCCTAACTTTGGATGTCAATTTGATAGCATCTTATCAATTGCTTTATTCTTTGAGTGGTTATGAATTGTAATTTTTATTAATTGACAGTAAATATTTTGTTTCAGAAATGTGGTAAAGTACTTGAAGCAAACATCCCGCATCGCTATTGGACCTCTGAGACTTTCTACTTTAACAGTTTCACAGTCTTTGCCAGTTCTAAGTACCTTGCAGCTGTATTGCTCGTCTGCTTTGGAGACCACAGTTTCTAACAGACTTTCAACAGAGGTCTGTATATTTTTACAAGCACACTCTTATGACTATTAATGGTCATTACTGTAGAACAAAGACCTTATTTTTTGAGTTTTTTGGAATAGGATTTGTAGTTGGGCAAGCTGGTAAATCCAGAAATCTAACATGCTGTTTTCAGGCAGTCTTTCATTTGGGAAGTACATGGGGCAGATGGAAGAACCTGAGATAATCGCAAGGATGGCAAATTGCTCAGTTTTTTCTTCTATTTTTGGGGTGGGAGGTGGTGTATGTAAAGACAGTTCCTTTAGGCAGATCACGTAAATTTTAGATTTGCTGCAAACAAAGATCTCTCCTCTTCATCCTAAATGGGGTAAAGTTCGACCAGAGATGGGGGCTTCTGAATGAATGGTGATCTTCGAGAACTTCATAATAAAGCATTAGTTGTAATGTTTTTCTGCAGTCTGCTTTATAGTAAATGTGCTGTGACTTTTTTTTTTGTAATGTGCTTTATTAAGTATATTGATAAATTAGACTTAATATTCTGAAGAAGATTTCCCTTCAAAACAAAAGGCTTTCTCTTACTGTGTGCTTGCCTCTTGTGAGTAGAAGATAAATGATGTAAGGGTATAGTGTAATAGATAAAACTACTGCAATCAATCTGAAGTAGCCAAACTATATTGCAGTCTTGGACTTAAGACTTGCTATATATCTGCAAACATATCAACAGCCTGTTTTACGTTGAGTAATTTTGGTTTTTCTCTGGCAGGACTGTCTTATTCCACTCTTCGGCGAAGCTTTACGTTCATGTAAACAGCATGACGTGAGGCCGTGGATGCAGGCATTAAGGTATACTGTGTACCAGAATCAGTTGTTGGAGAAAATTAAAGTTAAGTGGTTTTCCTTTTTTTTTTTTTGTAAGAGAAAATTAAAGGTGGTTTTTTTTTTTAAATTTTGCTTTATTGAGGTTTATATTACACATTCTAAGTGTATGGTTTGATGAGTTCTAACATGTCTTCACTTGTGTGACCACCAATACGATCGAGATAGAGAACAGCGTCTTACCCCAGAAGGTTCCCTTGGGATCATCTCCTCATTTGCCCCTGTCAGCAGTTACTGATTTGCTTTCTGTCACTATGGATTAGACTTGTCTTTACTAAAGTTTCATGTACGTGAAATCATAACAACATGTTCTCTTGTGTTTGGCTTCTCTTGCTCAGCATGATATTTTTACGGTTCACCCATATTGCATGTATCAGGAATATAATCCTTTTTATTATTGAGTAGTGTTCTATTGTATGTATATACCACAGTTTATTTCTCCCTTCATCCTTTGCTAGATTTTGGGGTTTTTTCACATTGCGCTATTCAGTATAAACCTGCTCTCAACATTCATGTGCAAGTCTTTGAGTGGACATATATTTGCGTTTCTCTTGAGTGAATGCACCTTGTTGGGTCACGTGGCTTAACTTAAAAAAATTTTAATCACTGTGGTGCATATGTAGTGATTATTAGTGATTATCTCATAATTTTATTTTCTTGTTTAATGATGTTGAGTGTATTTCATTTGTATTTTAGTTTGCAAATGTTTGTTCAAATTCTTCACCTGTTTTTAATGAAGACGTACGACTTATTTTTGTGTTCTGAACATAAGTTCTTTGTCACATAAAATGTGCTATGAATGTTGAGTTTTAAGTACTCCAAATGAATGGCTAGAGAATTACTATTTGTAGAAATATTTATATGTCAAAGGGATGCTAACAATTTACTTTATTGCTCTAAAATAGAAAAGTTGCCAGAATGCTGTGGAGTTTTAGTGGAAAACATGATAGCTGGTGTTACTGAGTAAATTTGAGTGTTAAATGTCAATGTAAGCTAACGGCCAAGATAGGGACCACTGCAGGGTGGTTACTTGCAGCTGTGACTCAACTGGTCCTTCACTGCCAAACATACCTGGGGTTGGATCATTGGCCTGACGTTTGCAAATTGAGGAACCTTAGGGCAAATCAGTGAACTTCTGAACTGCCTTCGTCTTCAGTTATATGGGGATTTCCCCACTTTTGAGATCCTTGTAAGGATTATATGAGATGAAGAGATGAGACAAGGTATATAAAAGTCCTAGCACAGAGCGTGTCATATAATATGGCTTCACAAGTACCCTCATCTCCTTTCCAGTCGTTTTTTGTTTTTGTTTTTGTTTTTTTGAGACCATCTCACTCTGTTGCCCAGGCTGGAGTGCCTCTTCATTTTTATTTCTTTATTCAGCAAGTATTGATCAAATGTGCTTTGTACCAGGTACTGAGCTCTTCGTTGGGATATAATGGTGATCAAGGAGATTGTAGATTCTGGCAGGGAAAACTGACATCAAACACGGCGACCCGACATAGTGAGACCCTGTCTCTACTAGAAGAACTTTAAAAATCACCTAGGTGTGGGCCGGGCACGGTGGCTAACGCCTGTAATCCCAGCACTTTGAGATGCTGAGGCAGGTGGATCACGAGGTCAGGAGATCGAGACCATCCTGGATAACACGGAGAAACCCCGTCTCTACTAAAAATACAAAAAAATTAGCCGGGCGTGGGGGCGGGCATCTGTAGTCCCAATTACTCGGGAGGCTGCAGCAGGAGAATGGCATGAACCCGGGAGGCGGATCTTGCATTGAGCCAAGATCACGCCACTGCACTCCAGCCTGGGCGACAGAATGAGACTCCATCTCAAAAAAAAAAAAGAAACCAAGGATATAGAATAAAACAAGAGTGTAGATTTGGGCATTGAGGCCTTCAAATTGGATTGTTCTCAATGTCCAGAAGAAAAAAAAAATTTAGAAGAGACCCAAATCAGAAAACAAAAGTTGGGCTGAATTCAATGCGAATTATTTTCTAGCTCAATATTAATACTGCTTATGTCAGCTGAATTTCAGCCTTTCAATAACAGCTAGTCAAGTATTTTTTTAGTTGGTTCCTATTGATCGTCATCTTATTTTAGTGGAATCCATTATATTGAAGATGTCAAGTTCCTCATTTCCCATACAAAGAATGTGAGATTCATCTTTCTTGAATCTTTGCTAAGTGTTGAAGGGGACTTTTGGCATCTTTTCAGGAGGACTATAATTGGGCCCTCTAACTAAAAAGTCTCCTATGCCCCTTAGATAGATGAGATTTTTTTTTTTGACCTTGTACCCACCAACATTGGTGGGAGGCTCAGAAGGGACTGTGTTTGTAACTTTGTAGCACTTTCTAAACAGTGACCTGTTGTATGGGCATTATAGGACAGTCCGTGGGGTGGGGCGGGGGATGGGGGAGATGGACAAATGAGGTCTGGTTTAAAGAATGAGAAGTGTGACCAGGCATGGTGACTCATGCCTGTAATCCAGCACTTTGGGATGCTGAGGCAGGAGGATCACTTGAGCCCAGGAGTTTGAGGTTACAGTAAGCTATGATTGTGCCACTGGGCTCCAGCCTGGGTGACAGAACTAGACCCTGTCTCTAAAAAAAGAAGAAGAGGTGTGTATCCTTCTAAATGATAAAACAGATCACTCCCCTGCTTACATAAAACTTTCCGGTGGCTGGCCAGGCACGGTGGCTCACGCCTGTAATCCCAGCACTTTGGGAGGCCGTGGTGGGCAGATCACGAGGTCAGGAAATCGAGACCATCCTGGCTAACGTGGTGAAATCTTGTCTCTACTAAAAACACAAAAAATTAACCCAGGTATGGTGGCATGCACCTGTAGTCCCAGCTACTCGGGAGGCTGAGGCAGGAGAATCGCTTGAACCAGGGAGGTGGAGGTTGCAGTGAGCTGAGATTGCGCCACTGCACTCCAGCCTGGGTGACAGAGACTCTGTCTCAAAAAAAAAAAAAAAAAGAAAAAGAAAAATTAGATGGGTGTGGTGGCATGTGCCTGTAATCCCAGCTACTGGGGAGCCTGAGGCAGGAGAATCGCTTGAACCTGGGAGGCAGAGGTTACAGTGAGCCAAGATTGCACCACTGCAGTCTGCCTGGGTGACAGAGCTAGACTCTGTCTCAAAAACAGAAAAACAAAAAAACAACTTTCCAGTGGCTTCTCACTGCTCTGAGAATAAACTCCAGGCTCTTCCATTGCAACCAACAGGATCTGGTGATTCGACCCCAGCCCCTCTTTCCAGGCCCTCATCACCTTGATCCTCCCTTAACCTATCCTGCTCCAGCTGCACTGGCTGCCTTCCTATTCCTCCAGCATACCAAGATTGTTTCTGCCACAGGGCCTTTGCATCTGCTGTTCTCTTCGCCTGGACACCTCTTGGTTCTTTTTTTTTTTGTTCTTTGAGATGGAGTCTCACTCTGTCGCCCAGGCTGAAGTGCAGTGGCGCGATCTCGGCTCACTGCAAGCTCCGTCTCCCAGGTTCATGCCATTCTCCTGCCTCAGCCTTCCGAGTAGCTGGGACTACAGGCATCCGCCACCACGCCCGGCTAATTTTTTTGTATTTTTAGTAGAGACGGTTTCACCGTCTTAGCCAGGATGGTCTCGATCTCCTGACCTCGTGATCCGCCCGCCTGGGCCTCCCAAAGTGCTGGGATTACAGGTGTGAGCCACCGTACCCGGCCATAGAGCAGCCTCTTCCTTTTCCTGTTGGGTCTCTGCTCAAATGTCATGTCAGAGAGGCAGACCTCTGGGGCGGTCTATCTGAGGGAATGCACCCATCTCCCTTCCTCTGACCAGTTAGTTACCTTGCTTATTCTTTCAAAGCTCTTACCACCACCTGAAGTCATCTATCTGGTTTGGTTATTTTATTGTTTAGTAGCAGTCTTTATTTTATTATCATTATTATTTTTTGATGGAGTCTCACTCTGTTGCCCAGGCTGGAGTGCAGTAGCATGATCTCGGCTCACCAGAACCTCTGCCTCCCAGGTTCAAGCGATTCTCCTGCCTTAGCTTCCTGAGTAGCTGGGACTACAGGCACGTGCCACCATGCCCAGCTGATTTTTGTACTTTTAGTAGAAACGGGGTTTCACTATGTTGGCTGGTCTTGAACTCCTGACATCAAGTGATCCGCCCACCTCGGCCTCCCAAAGTACTGGGATTACAGGCATGAGCCACCACGCCAGGCTGGTAGCAGTCTTTCCTAGAATGTGGATGCCTTGGAAAACAGGGGCTCTGCCTTGTTTCCCTAGAACCTAGAATGGCATCTGGCACACAGCAGATGCTACATCTATTGTAAATGAATGAATGAAAGAAGTGTCCTTGCAGCCACACTGGCAGCCGTAACATAGTGGTTATAAATCTAGACTCTGGAGTCTCAAGTGCAAATGTCATTGGCCTCTCCTCCAGCCTCCTCAAGGGGCACTCAATGACTGGAAGTGCCCTGATATGACTGTGGTTGGACTGACATGACTGCCAGATGGTGGGACTTGGTCTGGAGCAGAGACTACTTGGAATGGTAGAGGCAAAACTCAACAGCCCCTGGAGCTGCGCTTGTGGTGGAGCTGGACCCTGATTTTAGCTGGACCTTGTTTTTAGAGACAGGGTTTCCTTCTGCAGTCTCAATCTCCTAGCCTTGATTGATCCTCCTGCCTTGGCCTCCCAAAGTGCTGGGACTACAGGTGCATGCAACCACACCTGGCTAATTTTCTTCTCTTCTTTCTTTTCTTTTTTTTTTTTTTGATGGAGTCTTGTTCTGTTGCCCAGGCTGGAGTGCAATGGTGCCATCTCGGCTCACTGCAACCTCTGCCTCCCGGGTTCAATCCATTCTCCTGCCTCAGCCTCCCAAGTAGCTGGGACTACAGGTGTGTGCCACCGTGCCTGGCTAATTTTTGTATTTTTAGTAGGGATGAGACTTCACCATGTTGGCCAGGCTGGTCTCGACCTCCTGACCTCAGGTGATCCACCCACCTTGGCCTCCCAAAGTGCTGGGACTACAGGCACATGCAACCACGTCTGGCTAATTTTCTTGAGTTTTAGTAGAGACTGGGTCTCGTTATGTTGTCCAGGCTGGTCCCGAGCTCCTGAGTTCAATCGATCTTCCTGCCTTGGTCTCCCAAAGTGCTGGGCCTACAGGCGTGAGCCACCATCCCCAGCCCAATTTTTGTATATTTTGTAGAGACACAGTCTTGCTATGTTGTCCAGGCTGGTCTCAAACTCCTGGGCTCAAGGGATCTTCTTGCCTTGGCCTCCCGGAGCACTTAATTACAGGAATGACTGCATGTGCTGTTGTGCCTATACTTTCTGGAGATACGTTGTTAGGAATTTATGTAGTTGGCCGGGCACGGTGGCTCACGCCTGTAATCCCAGCACTCTGGGATGCCGAGGCAGGTGGATCACCTGAGGTCAGGAGTTCGAGACCAGCCTGGTCAACATGGTGAAACCCTGTCTCTACTAATAATACTAAAATCAGAGGTTGCTTGCAGTGAGCCAAGATCATACCATTGCACTGCAGCCTGGGCAACAGAGCGAGACTCTGTCTCAAAAAAAAAAAAAAAAGGAATTTACATAGTTGAACAACTATTCTTTGGACATCTTTTAGTCCAGTAGACGGTGTTAAACTTGAAGACAAATAACGATTTGACCTGTGATATTTGTTTTTCCCTCTTATCTTCTAAGCCCATTCATCCAGATCATTCATCACCTTTAAAGGCATCCCCAGAGGGAGGCAGGTCTGGACAGAGCTGAAGATTGCACAGGCCATTTGCAGGCTGGATTAGTTCTGTGGTGACCCACCTGTCTGACTCGAGTTATTTTTTTCCCATGTCTGGACAAGACTGACCTCTGCCCAGCAACTCAGGCCTGGATTTAGTCCAAGGGCCCTCAGTGGCTTTTTTGTTTGTTTGTTTTTTCAGGAAGTGAAGAATTTAGAGGGATAAAAGGCGGAAATAACTTTTCAGCCTCTGACCTTTGTAACAATCTAGTTTCCTTTTAAAGGAGCATTGTTTGGGCCTGGGGCCACCTAGACCTTCTGATGCTCTTTCCCCACCCTTGGAGGAGGAGGAAAGGAAGAAAATGGGCCCTGAGCGATCACCACATACCAGGCCCTGGGGGTCTAGTGGCGAAGGAGGCAGGTAGGGTCTCTTGCTTTCATGGAGCTTCTAGTCAAGCGAGACGCACTAAACAGTAAAGGGACAAATAGGATTACTGGAGGTAGCCCTAACTACTGGGACAGAAACAAGATGGTAAGATAGAGAAGGAAGAGTGGCCTGCTCAGATGGGGTGGTCCAGAGGCCTCTCGGGGGAGGTGACTCCTTTTTATTTTATTTTTTTTGAGATGGAATCTAGCTCTGTCGCCCAGCCTGAAGTGCAGTCGTGTGTTTCATGCGCGTCCGTGTGAAGAGACCACCAAACAGGCTTTGTGTGAGCAACATGGCTGTTTATTTCACCTGGGTGCAGGCGGGCTGAGTCCGAAAAGAGAGTCAGCAAAGGGTGGTGGATTATCATTAGTTCTTACAGGTTTTGGGATAGGGGGTGAAGAGCCATGTTTTGCAGGCAGGGGTGGATCTCACAAAGTACATTCTCAAGGGTGGGGAGAATTACAAAGAACCTTCTTAAGGGTTGGGGAGATTACAAAGTACCTTCTTAAGGGTGGGGGAGATTACAAAGTACATTGAAGAGTTAGGGTGGGGCAGAAACAAATCACAATGGTGGAATGTCATCAGTTAAGGCTATTTTTACTTCTTGTGTGGATCTTCAGTTACTTCAGGCCATCTGGATGTATACGTGCAAGTCACAGGGGATGCAATGGCTTGGCTTGGGCTCAGAGGCCTGACAGTGTGATCTTGGCTCACTGCAAACTCTGCCTCCTGGGTTCAAGCAATTTTTGTGCCTCAGCTTCCCGAGTAGCTGGGATTACAGGTGCCCGCCACCATGCCCAGCTAATTTTTGTATTTTTAGTAGAGACATAGAGTTTCACCAGATTGGCCAGGCTGGTCTCGAACTCCTGTCTCACGTGTCTGTGTGAAGAGACCACCAAACATGCTTTGTGTGAGCAACATGGCTGTTTATTTCACCTGGGTGCAGGCGGGCTGAGTCCGAAAAAGGAGTCAACAAAGGGTGGTGTGATTATCACTGGTTCTTATAGATTTGGGGATAGGCGGTGGAGTTAAGAGCAGTGTTTTGGGGGCAGGAGGTGGATCTCATAAAGTACATTGTCAAAGGTGAGGAGAATTACAAAGAAACTTCTTAAGGGTGGGGGAGATGATAAAGAACCTTCTTAAGAGTGGGGCAGATTACAAAGTACATTGATCAGTTAGGGTGGGGCAGAAACAAATGACAATGGTGGAATGTCTTCAGTTAAGGCTGTTTTCACTTCTGTGGATCTTCAGTTGCTTCAGGCCATCTGGATGTATACGTGCAGGTCACTGGGATATGATGGCTTAGCTTGGACTCAGAGGCCTGACATTCCTGTCTTCTTATGTTAATAAGAAAAATAAAACAAAATAGTGGTAAAGTGTTGGGGTGGCGAAAATTTTTGGGGGTGATATGGAGAGATAATGGGCGATGTTTCTCAGGGCTGCTTCGAGTGGGATTAGGGGCGGCATGGGAACCTACAGTGGGAGAGATTCAACTGAAGAAAGATTTTGGGGTAAGGGCTGATACTGTGGGGTTGTTAGAAGGAGCATTTGTCATATAGAATTATTGGTGATGGCCTGAATATGGTTTTGTATGAATTGAGAAACTAAACAGAAGACACACGGTCCGAATAAGAGAAGGAGAAAAACAGGTATTAAAGGACTAAGAATTGGGAGGACCCAGGACATCCAATTAAGAGAGTGCCCAAGGGGGTTCAGCATAATTATTTGCTTGGTTGGCAAGTTTTTGGACTCTATCCTTGAGTTTTTTTATGTTGTCATATACCAGGCCAGATTGATTTAGGTAAAAACAACACTCTTCATTTAAAAATATACAGAGTCGTCCTTTTTCAGCAATGAGTAAATTGAGGCCTTGGCGATTTTGGAGGAAAGAGAATTGCAAAGCCAGCAATTGTTTCTTTTTTTATTTATTTATTTACTTATTTTTTTAAATTATACTTTAAGTTATAGGGTACATGTACACAATGTGCAGGTTTGTTACATATGTATACATGTGCCATGTTGGTGTACTGCACCCATTAACTCGTCATTTACATTAGGTGTATCTCCTACTGCTATCCCTTCCCCCTCCCCCACCACACAAGAGGCCCCAGTGTGTGATGTTCCCCTTCCTGTGTCCAAGTGTTCTCATTGTTCAATTCCCATCTGTGAGTGAGAACATGCGGTGTTTGGTTTTTTGTCCTTGTGATAGTTTGCTGAGAGTGATCGTTTCCAGCTTCATCCATGTCTCTACAAAGGACATGAACTCATCCTTTTTTATGGCTGCATAGTACTCCATGGTGTATCTGTGCCACATTTTCTTAATCCAGTCTATCATTGATGGACATTTGTGTTGGTTCCAAGTCTTCACTATCGTGAATATTGCCGCGATAAACATATGTGTGCATGTGTCTTTATAGCAGCATGATTTATAATCCTTTGGGTATGTATCCAGTAATGGGATGGCTGGGTCAAATGGTATTTCTAGTTCTAGATCCCTGAGGAATCGCCACACTGTCTTCCACAATGGTTGAACCAGTTTACAGTCCCACCAACAGTGTAAAAGTGTTCCTATTTCTCCACATCCTCTCCAGCACCTGTTGTTTCCTGACTTTTTAATGATCGCCATTCTAACTGGTGTGAGATGATATCTCATTGCGGTTTTGATTTGCATTTCTCTGATGGCCAGTGATGATGAGCATTTTTTCATGTGTCTGTTGGCTGCATAAATGTCTTCTTTTGAGAAGTGTCTGTTCATATGCTTTGCCCACTTTTTGATGGGGTTTGTTTTTTTTCTTGTAAATTTGTTGGTGTTCTTTGTAGATTCTGGATATTAGCCTTTTGTCAGATAAGTAGATGGCAAAAATTTTCTCCCATTCTCTAGGTTGCCTGTTCACACTGATCCTAGTTTCTTTTGCTGTGCAGAAGCTCTTTAGTTTAATTAGATCCCATTTGTCAGTTTTGGCTTCTGTTGCCATTGCTTTTGGTGTTTTAGACATGAAGTCCTTGCCCATCCCTATGTCCTGAATGGTATTGCCTAGGTTTTCTTCTAGGGTTTTTACGGCTTTAGGTCTAACATTTAAGTCTTTAATCCATCTTGAATTAATTTTTGTATAAGGTGTAAGGAAGGGATCCAGTTTCAGCTTTCTACATAGGGCTAGCCAGTTTTCCCAGCACTATTTATTAAGTAGGGAATCCTTTCCGCATTTCTTGTTTTTGTCAGGTTTGTCAAAGATCAGATGGTTGTAGATGTGTGGTATTATTTCTGAGGGCTCTGTTCTGTTCCATTGGTCTATATGTCTGTTTTGGTACCAGTACCAGGCTGTTTTGGTTACTGTAGCCTTGTAGTATAGTTTGAAGTCAGGTAGCATGATGCCTCCAGCTTTGTTCATTGGGCTTAGGATTGTCTTGGCAATGCGGGCTCTTTTTTGGTTCCATATGAACATTAAAGTAGTCTTTTGCAACTCTCATCAGCCCAGTTTAATATTACCTATTTATTATAATGTAATGCTGCTCGCACAACTGAGAAAATACTGTTGCTTTACCCCCTCCAGCTCTGTAGCAGCCACGCAGAAATCATAGAACTGTAAACATATGCTAATTACACAACCTATGTAGGCAATCAATATTAAGAAAAATTTTTACTGCCCGGTATTTCTGTGGTTGAAAATGTAGAGTCTAATTTTGATCCGCAGTAACATCTAGGTTAATGTTGATTCAGAAGGAAAACGTTTGTTGTTGCCATGAGAAGAGGCATTGAAATGCTGAATCACCACCACAAATGTTACCACTATTAATATAAGGAGATACATAGGAAGATGGAATTAGACCATCTCGGACCACCAGGTTTACAATTCCACCTGCAGATACATGCAAGAAGTATTGTCACAATACTTATGTCACGTTATTCCGTTGAGGTCATCACCAACTAAGCTTATAATTAATGTGTGGTCAATTTGGTCAATGTCACCAGCGTAGCATACTAACAAAAACAAGGGTTGCAAAGTCAAATGCCTATAAGGCAGAACGTAAGACGGTAGGAAGCAAAGTCTATAGGGAGCTATATAATAGAGGCTGCAGATTCATGGCAGATTCTAAAGCACAGCAGTCCCCAACATTTTTGGCACCAGGGACCGGCTTTGTGGAAGACAATTTTTCCACAGGCGGCAAGGGATGGGGCGCAGGATGGTAATGGTCTTGGGATGAAACTGTTCCACCACAAATCATCAGGAATTAGATTCTCATAAGGAATATGCAACCTGGATCCCTCGTGTGTGCAATTCACAACAGGGTTCATGCTCCTGTAAGAATCTAATGATGCTGCTGATCTGACAGGAGGCAGAGCTCAGGCAGCAATGCAAGCAATGGGGAGCAGCCAGAAATACAGACGAAGCTTCAATTGTTACCCACCATTCACCTCCTGCTCTGTGGCCCAGTTCCTAACAGGCCACAGACCAGTACATGTCCATGGCCCAGGGGTCAGGCACCCCTGCTGTGGCACATTGCTTAATAGAGGACTGTAGCAGCCATGTGCCCTGACCTTTCCTTTTTTTTTTTTTTTTTTTTTTTTTTTGAGATGCCAGAAACCCAGAATTTTTTTTTTTTTTTTTTTTTTTTTTTTTTTTTAAGACAAGGTCTGGCTCTGTTGCCCAGGTTGGAGTGTAGGAGGGCGATCTCAGCTCACTGTAACATCAACCTCCCAGGCTCAAGCAATCCTCTCACTTCAGCCTCCCACGTTGCTGGGATTACAGGCACACTCCACTACACCCAGCTAATTTTTTTGTATTATTTGTAGACATGGGGTTTCGCCATGTTGCCCAGGCTAGTCTGGAATTCCTGAGGTCAAGCTGTCTGCCCATCTCAGCCTCCCAAAGTGCTGGGATTGCAGGAGTGCACCACCACACCTGGCCTGAAACCCAGATTTTATTTATTTATTTATTCATTTTTTGAGATGGAGTCTTGCTCTATTGCCTAAGCTTGAGTGCAGTGGCGCGATCTTGGCTCACTGCAACCTCCACCTCCCTGGTTCAAGCGATTCTCCTGCCTCAGCCTCCCAAAGTGCTGGGATTACAGGCATGCAACACCACACCCAGCCTGAAACCCAGATTTTTAATATGAAATCAAAGTCTTCAGACCTTGTAGGTGTCATAAAAAGCACGCTGAGGACCACTAGTTTGCAACTGCCAATCTAAAATATCATAGACATTATATCACTTCAACCACGAAAAAAAAAGTATGTGAGGCAGAAAATGGAAGCAACCATGCCTAATTTATTGTTGAATACTTTTTCCGTATACCAAGAGCTTCCTTTGCACTAGCATCTGAAACTATATCCAGAATGACACTGGTTTTCATAAAAGTGTTGATCCTCACACCTCTTTATAGTCTTGCACCTAGCACAGTGGAGTGAAACACTTTAAATAGCACTTGTTCCTTGAGTATATATGGAAAAAAGTGAAGTATTGATAAGTGCTCAGCTAATATGAGCAGCATCTCAGGAGTCTCCAATTCTTGAATTACCAGGGAGTATTTTTACCATTTTCCCCCAGTGAAAGGCCTATTTTGAGAGACTTACCCTCCAAAATGAATGTATTAAGTCATGTTCCTTTTTTTTTTTTTTTTTTTTTTTTGAGACAGGGCCTTGCTCTGTTGCCCAGGCTGGAGTGCAGTAGCATGATAGTTACAGGAAAGGGGTCCCAATCTAGACCCCAAGAGAGGGTTCTTGGATCTTGTGCAAGAAAGAATTCAGGGTGATGCCACAGTGTGAAGTGAAAGCAAGTTTATTAAGAAAGTAAAGGAGGAGGGGCACGGTGGCTCACTCCTGTAATCGCAGCACTTTGGGAGGCCGAGACAGGTGGATCACGAGGTCAGGAGATCAAGACCATCCTGGTTAACACGGTGAAACCTCATCTCTACTAAAAATACAAAAAAATTAGCCAAGTGTGGTGGCGGGTGCCTGTAGTCCCACCTACTCTGGAGGCTGAGGCAGGAGAATGGGATGAACCCGGGAGGCGAAGCTTGCAGTAAGCCGAGATCGCGCCACTGCACTCCAGCCTGGGTGACAGAGGGAGACTCCATCTCAAAAAAAAAAGAGAGAAAGTAAAGGAATAAAAGAATGGCTACCCCATAGACGGAGCAGCCGTGAGGGCTGCTGGTTGCCCATTTTTATGGTTATTTGTTGATGATATGCTAAACAAGGAGTGGATTTTTCATGCCTCCTCTTTTTAGACCATATAGGGTAACTTCTTGATGTTGCCGTGGCATTTGTAAACTGTCATGGTGCTGGTAGGAGTGTAGCAGGGAGGATGATGGGAGGTCAGTCTTGTCTCTATTTTGGTTTTGGTGGGTTTTGGCCAGCTCCTTCACTGCAACCTGTTTTATCAGCAAGGTCTTTATGACTGGTATTTTGTGCTGACCTTCTATGTCATCCTGTGACTTAGAATGCCTTAACCATCAGGGAATGCAGCCCAGTAGTTTCAGCCTCATTTTTCCCGGCTCCTATTTAAGATGGAGTTGCTCTGGTTCACACACCTCTGACATGATCATTGCCCACTGCGGCTTCCACCTCCCGGGTTCAAGAGATCCTCCTGCCTCACCCTCCCAAGGTGCTGGGACTACAGGTGTGTGCCACCAGCTCAGCTAATTTTTGTATTTTTTGTAGAGATGGTGTTTTTCCATGTTGCCCAGGCTGGTCTCAAACTCCTGGGCTCAAGCAATCCTTCTGTCTCAGCCTCCCAAAGTACTGGGATTACAGGCATGTCCCACCATGCCCAGACTAATATTTACTTTTAATCAGACTAAGATAGGGTTACTACTTGAGTTGCTATGGCTCCAGCTGAAAGAAAGCCCGTGCAGTCATATCACGCGTAAACATTTGCTTTATGCTAAAAATATGGTGGACCTGGCATTACAGCTATTACAAATCTCCTAAGATGTCTCGGGTAGTGTATTAGTTACTTTTCATACTGCTATGAAGAAATACTGGAAACTGGGTAATTTATAAAGAAAAAGAGGTTTAATGTACTCACAGTTCCACAAGGCTGGAGAGGCCTCAGAATCATGGTGGAAGGCAAAGAAGGAGCAAAAAGGTATGTCTTCCATGGCAGCAGGCAAGAGAGCACGTGCAGGGAAACTGCCCTTTATAAAACCATCAGATTTAGTGAGATGTATTCACTATCACGAGAACAGTATGGGAAAAACCTGCCCCCATGATTCGATTACCTCCTACCGGGTCCCTCCCACGACACATGGGGATTATGGGAACTACAATTCAAGATGAAATTTGGGTGGGGACGCAGCCAAACCATATCGGGTAGCAACAACCTAGGGTCAGTTTTGCAGGTGGTAAAGCCATTTACCAAGATAGTTGTAGGTAAAGAAGGGCAGATTTATTAGAGAAATTGTGAAAATATGTTGCAGTGGGCAGCTCAGCAGAGAAGGGGCTACCTGCAAAGAGGCAAGGGCTGGAGGAAAGTTTTATAGGGTCCTGCTGAAGGGTGCTACGTGTGGAATGAGGTCATTGTGCCCGCAGGTTGTTTGTGATTAGCTGTCTCTAACAATTGTTCATACAATAATTGTTCATTATTGTTCTCAACTTGGGGCTCTCCCCAACCTGGGGACCCTTCCTTATTGTTGCTTACTTATCAGGTCTCCACATAAAGGTGTGGAAACTTCATTCATTCATATCTTCAACACAAATTGTAGGTAGCCTGTTTTTTAAAACATTTATTCAACAAATATTTAGTCCAAGCCACTATTACTTACTACCTTCTCTACTATTGTATGGACTTTTAACTATCTCTGACACTATTCACTATTCTTCCACATTCTCTATTATTTATACCTATGGTAAAATTTGCCAGTTTGACCATACAACTAATACTCACAGGGAATATATAGAGTCTAGAAGAAAATATACAGGTCCTTAAAGGCTGCCCTGCCAACAAAACCATAACGCAGGAACAAACATCACAACTATGCCAAATAATCAATCCTACAATGTCCAAAATTTTACTTTAAAACTGGAATTACCAGACTTCCTTTCTGCATTAACCAGTTTAACTAGACAGTAACGAAATATTCCTACTTTATGCTGTGATAGTTTGTTTGTTTGTTTGTTTGTTTATTTATTTATTTATTTAAGACAGAGTTTCGCTCTTGTTGCCCAGGCTGGAGTGCAGTGGCACGATCTCAGCTCACCACAACCTCCGCCTCCCAGGTTCAAGCGATTCTCCTGCCTCAGCCTCCCGAGTAGCTGGGATTACAGGCATGTACCACCACGCCCGGGTAATTTTGTATTTTTAGTAGAGACGGGGGGTTTCTCCATGTTGGTCAGGCTGGTCTAGAACTCCAGACCTCAGGTGATACCCCTGCCTCAGCCTCCCAATGTGCTGGGATTACAGCTGTGAAGCCACCGCGCCCGGCTGCTGTGATAGTTGAGATGTAAACCAAAAATAAAATTCTAAGCCACCCAGTCCGACTGAATGGACCCTTCCTGTTGAGCAAGGACATTCCAAAGTAAACTGAAAAGACCAGCTTAGGCCATGATGGGAAGGGGAGGTGTCAACATGCCTCATTCTACCTTCCTCCCTCTGGAATCCAGACACAACTGACCAGCATTAACATTAAAACAGAGATCTTAAGCTGGGCACAGTGGCTCATGCCTATAATCCCAGCACTTTGGGAGGCCAAGGTGGGATCACCTGAGGTCAGAAGTTCAAGACCAGCCTGGCCAGTATGGTGAAGCCATGTCTCTACTAAAAATACAAAATTAGCCGGACATTGTGGTGCACGTCTGTCATCCCAGCAAGGCAGGCGAATCACTTGAACCCAGGAAGCAGAGGTTGCAGTGAGCCAGGATCATGCCATTGCACTCCAGCCTGGTCAACAGAGCGAGACTCCGCCTCATTAAAAAAAAAAAAAAAAAAAAAAATTAGCCGGGCGTGGTGGCGGGCACATGTAGTCCCAGCTACTAGGGAGGCTGAGGCAGGAGAATGGTGTGAACCAGGGAGGCGGAGCTTGCAGTGAGCCGAGATTGTGCCACTGCACTCCAGCCTGGACAGAAATGCATTTCATAATGCATTTTAATTGCATTAGCAGTGATTTAATTTTTTTAGATGCTAAAACTTATGGGTGAAAGTGGATTAAATGTAGCCAAATGCAACATCAAAATCTTCAGGCACAAAAACCCATTAACTTTTTCATACTCTCAGAAGGTGAACCTAATTTCAAATGAAAGCTGCCTCCAGAATATATTGTTAAGCGTATTCTAGATATAATTCATTTTGGCAAACATACTGTAGAAATTCACATAACATTTTACTGTACTAAAAGTAAATTGCCCATGTAACAAAAAATATCTTTTCAGAGCTTGAAATGAATTTTAAAGGATGACTGATGGTCCTTGGAAGAGAAACAGTAAACAAATAAGGTTTGTAGCAATGATGTATGAGTTAGAAATTGCAGTTCCAGATGATCTCTTTATTAAAGAGACGATCTACACTTAATTTGGTCAAGTGTTATGAACATAGTTCATGTTAAGTCTCCATTTAAATACAACCTGAAATACCAAAGTTAATTTTCTTTTCTTTCTTTCTTTTTTTTTTTTTTTAGAAGGAGTCTTGCTCTGTTGCCCTTCCTGGAGTGCAGTGACGTGATCTTGGCTCACTGCAACCTCCACCTCCTGGGCTTGAGCGATCCTACTGCCTCAGCCCCCCAAGTAGCTGGGAGGACAGGCGCAAGCCACGGCACTCAGCTAATTTTTGTATTTTTCGTAGAGATAGGGTTTCACCATGTTGCCCAATTTGGTCTCGAACTCCTGAGCTCAAGTGATCCGCCCGCCTTGGCCTCCCAAAGTGCTGGGATTACAGGCATGAGCCACCGTGCCTGGCCAGAAAATTGTAAACACACACAAACTCTCAAGTGGCCTAATTCCCTCTCACCAAACCAATCACAATACAGATAAAAGAGAATAACTTGTGTTCATTTTTGTACAAACAAAAAAGATATAAATTGTGAATGATGCATGATTTTTAATTACAAGTAAACTGGGCAAATGCTTCTGCATTATTTAAAGCTAAAAGGTGATCAGTGGAAACTTTCCTCTGTTAGTACTCTAATACTTTTTATATTTATCGGCTCACTACAACCTGTGCCTACCAGGTTCAAGCGATTCTCCTGTCTCAGCCACCTGAGTAGCCGAGACCACAGGCACGCACTACCATGTCCGGCTAATTTTGTATTTTTAATAGAGACAGGGTTTCACCGTGTTGGCCATGCTGGTCTTGAACTCCTGACCTCAACCGATCCGCCTGCCTTGGCCTCCCAAAGTTCTGGGATTACAAGCGTGAGCCACAGCGCCCAGCCTTATTATAATTGTTACTATTTAAATCTCTTTTGCTCTCTCCTTCAAGAGAGACCTCATCCCATTCAGTTGCTTCCATTTATTTATTCATCTTCTGCCTCCTGGGCTCGAGAGATCCTCCAGCGTGAGTCTCCCAAGTAGCTGGGACTACAGGCTCACACCACCAAGCTTGGCTAAATTTTGTAGGTTTTGGAGAGACAGGCTCTTGCCACGTTGCCTAGGCTGGTCTCAAACTCCTGGGCTCAGATGATCCACCTGCCTTCGCCTCCCAAAGCACTGGGACATGAGCCACCACGCCCAGCCGCAAGTACTTTTACACAAAATGCAAACACCATTCTTCCATCATAAAAGTGATACCACAGCTTCCGTGAAGTTTTGCCAGGTAGTACTCATAATTACCTTGGGTAAACTTTTTGATGTTAAACTGTATCTTCTTATTACGAGTTTTTCCATTGTATTAACTGCTTTTACAACAACACAAATAACAAGTTATTTTACAAACCATTTAGAAATTTCTGTACTATGGTCCCAGTAATGTAAAAATATATTAATGCCTATTACATTCAGATAAATTATACACTTGGAAACCACATACTTATGACTTACAGAAACTTACATAAACAAATTATAGAAATTATATGCTCAATTTTTAGGTATATAGTCTTAAATTAAGCTTAAATATACATTCTCAAGATAAATTAACAGTTCAGGGCTTCACAACTTGAAATCTGTGGAAGATGACATTGGAGACAACAGAACTCTGGTGGAATTCTTAGATGGAATTTGCCGAAACTTTTTTTTTTTTTTTTTTTGAGATGGAGTGTCGCTCTGTCGCCCAGGCTGGAGTGCAGTGGCGCAATCTCAGCTCACTGCAAGCTCTGCCTCCCGGGTTCACGCCATTCTTCTGCCTCAGCCTCCCGAGTAGCTGGGACTACAGGCGCCCACCGCCACGCCCGGCTAATTTTTTATATTTTTAGTAGAGATGGGGTTTTACTATGTTAGCCAGGATGGTCTCGATCTCCTGACCTTGTGATCCACCCGCCTTGGCCTCCCAAAGTGAAACTTTTCTTTAAAATAGAGATGGGATCTTGCTGTATTGCCCAGGCTGGTCTCAGACTCCTTGCCTTAAGCAGTCCTCCCACCTCAGCCTCCTAAAGTGCTGGGATTACAAGCGTGAAGCATTACATCCAAGTGAAACTTCTTGAGATGGTTACATAATGTCTAAATCTGCTGGTGTAGAAGTTAATAAAGTGTAGAACTGAATAAATATTAAATATTAGATCAAGTTTCTCATGTTTATCTTAACGTATAACGATTTATCTTAAAGCACTGATTTTCACAAAATAACATCAGTGTGAAATTGGAAAAGAAGCCAAATATTTTATTTCATGTATCTGGGAAATGAGGTGCTTTAGTCAACTGAATCTGCCCAAAACTAAAAAGCATTAATTAAAAAGTACTTAACTCAGAAATTATAAAAATAGCAGACATCAATAAAATACATTCTACACAGAATACGCCAACCATACACTACTCTTTTTTGATAATAAAAAATGTATTTACTGAGCCAGTTGTGGTGGCTCACGCCTATAATCCCAGCACCTTGGAAGGCCAATGAGAGTGGATCAGTTGAGGCCAGGAGTTTGAGACCAGCCTGGCCAACATGGTGAAATGCCGTCTCTACTAAGAATACAAAAATGAGCCGGGCACGGTGGCACGCACCTGTAATCCCAGGTACTCCGAAGGATGAGGCAGGATAATTGTTTGAACTCAGGAGGTGGAGGTTGCAGTGAGCCAAAATCATGCCACTGCACTCCAGCCTGGGTGACAGAGTGAGTCTCTGTCTCAAAAAAAAAAAAAAAAGAAAAAGAAAAAAAGTCAGTTGCAGTGGCTCACGCCTGTAATCCCAGCACTTTGGGAGGCTGAGGCAGGCGGATTACAAGGTCAGGAGATCGAGACCACCCTGGCCAACATGGTGAAACCTCCTCTCTACTAAAAATGCAAAAATTAGGCTGGGCACGGTGGCTCACACCTGTAATCCCAGCACTTTGGGAGGCCGAGGCGCGGAGATCACGAGATCAGGAGATTGAGACCATCCTGGCTAACACAGTGAAACCCTGTCTCTACTAAAAATACAAAAAATTAGCTGGATGTGGTGGCAGCACTTGTAGTCCCAGCTACTTGGGTGGCTGAGGCAGGAGAATGGCGTGAACCCGGGAGGCAGAGTTTGCAGTGAGCCGAGATCCCACCACTGCACTCCAGCTTAGGCGACAGAGCCAGACTGTGTCTCAAAAACAGGAAAGAAAACAAAAGAAAATTTGGACTATTGCCAATTACAAATATTTTTAGAGAAGAATTCAAAACAGTAACTGTGGATGATGGAAACAATAGTTATGATAAAAGTCTGATGAAACTTCCCAGTTCACAAGGAAATTTACTTATGTGCAGCATTTTAAGACAGTAATCAGAATCATGACTGACAGCATCATATCAGGGCCAGCAGACTTTTATAAATTTCATACAATCTTCAGAAATAATAACTTTTTTTTTTTTTTTTGGATAGATTCTACCTTTGTCACCCAGGCGGGAGTGCAGTGGCATGATCTCGGCTCACTACAACCTCCGCATCCTGGGTTCAAGCAGTTCTCCTGTCTCAGCCTCCCGAGTAGCTGAGATTACAGGCATGTGCCACCAGGCATGGCTAATTTTTGTATTTTTAGTGGAGACAGGGTTTCACTCTATTAGGCTGGTCTGGAACTCCCGACCTCAGGTGATCCACGTGCCTTTGTCTCCCAAAGTGCTGGGATTACAGGCATGAGTGACGGTGCCCAGCCATTCGTGACATGTTTATACAAATATAACTTTAGCAAATATTTAGCATAACTATCAAAATTACAAATCATATTAAATTTGTATAAATGTATGCAATTTTTGGAACACGCATATCAACAACATACCCATAAATATAACTGAGATGAGATCTAATGTCACCTCACTTGACAGTGCCCTCCCATGCAGTATCGCCACATTTGACAATGCCTGCCCATTTAATCTACCAAATAAATCGAATCACTTAATACCTCTACAAGATGAGAGATACATTCTTTAGACTCCCCAAGGGATGCAGCTGAAAAAAATCCCAAAGTTAGTTTTAAGCCAAAAAGACTTGATTTAGGATTTTGACACTGGAGAAACCCATCAAAGATGTCAAGTTTGAAAACACTTGATCAAAACAGAATCACAGGTCACTATTAAAAGAGTATTAATTTAACCAGAGACTTCCAAAGCAATACAGAAACTTACATGGATATAAAAACCCTAACCCTTTTAAAGGTCAGATTTGCTAAGTGATCAAAAGGGGTACTTGAATTGAATCGACACAGGAAGAGTGTGTACAGGGTTATGAGTGTAGGCAGGTGGTTACTTTGGTCATATCTCCATTTGCCACCTGATTACACATGAGAATGGCATCTTTACTCACCAGAAAGCCAGTATTATAGGAGGTGTAGGAGGCATTCTTGGACTTGAGACAAGAACATTGTTGTGTAGAAATTTCATTGACTGTGTTAAAATTATTCTCCATGGGCTGGAGAACACATAACATGGCCTTTAGAATGAGACGGGCATTGATTGGATGCAAGGTCTCCACACTTACTAGCTGTGTGACATTGGACAGAGTGCTTCATCATTCCGAGACTCAGTTTTTAAAGGAAAAACAACTAACTACCTTGCAAGCTTGCTAGCAGGTTTAAGTGTAATAATGTGTGGGAATGACTGCACCGTGACTAACATGCAGTGACAGCTTAATTAATGTTAACCCTTATCATTATCATATAAGAATGTGAGTTACATAAGAGAGGAGTCCTGTCAGTTCGTTCTCTGCTGTGTCCCCAAGACCATGAATCATGGCTGGCATGTAGTAGGCATTTAATAATATATGTTCAACAAGTATTTGGCAGTCTTGGAGGGCAGAAAAGGAGGTGGGGAAGATTTTTAAATAACATTTTTTAAAAAGTCACATTGTCCTACAATACCGATTTTTCTTGCATATTTAGGAAATTGAGGGTTTTTTTCTAAAACATGCGGACATATGGGAAATAGGATGCAACATTTGCACTAATGTTTCAGACACAGTTAGAGGTTTCCAAGAGATTTTGCGCTGGGGAGGCTGCTTGCTACAAGCTCCCAAAGCTCTGGGAGGACATAGTATTCATTCCTCCCTCAGCAGAAGCGGTGAGGCAAGAAGCTCTGGGGAGCACCCAGCGTTGGACTTTTAGCATAGTGTGTCAGGTCTTCATAGTTTGGGCCCAGGGCACAGAGAAGTCACAGCTCTCCGGCATCCTGTGACCTTTACCCTCTTTGCCAAGGGAAAATGTGGCCCACCAAAGCAAGAAACTTGAGGGCATGGGTCACCCCAGCCCTGGCATCTGCCCAGAGCCCGAGAAGGAAGGAACAATGATCCTCCAGCTACCTCACGGGGCTGGCACAGGTGACCACTGCCCTGGCATCACCCAGCTGTGTCCGGCAGCCTGAACCCCATCTGTGGGGATGCGAGGAGGAAAATACAAAAGTCCTTAGGTGAACACTGAGAAGGCAGATGCAGCAGAAACCTCCAGGCCAGAACTACCCAGTCTTGGACCTATGGTGGAGATAGAGCATAGCTGGCGATCATGTGTACTTACACTCTAAGGTCACCTGGTTGCACTATGGCCTCATCTGTGGCTCTGAAAATGAAGATTTGGAAGGAGATCATCACAGCTAATGTTTAACAAGCCCCTCCTGTGTGCCAAATCATTCACCCCTCACCACAACCGAATGAGCTAAGGATTCTCATTATATATAGTTTATGGAGAGGGAAGTGCAGACATAAAGAGGTGAATTATCTTACCCAGATCACACAGCTGATAAGTGGTGGAGGCAGAATAGAATCTAAACAGTGTGGCTCCGGAGCCCACATGCATTGATTCGACAAGTGTTTATTGAGCACCTGCCGCGGACAAGGCCTTGTGTGATTAAATAGGGTTATAATTAGTAATATAAAAATGAGAAATCACTAATGCTTTTTAGACTTAACATTTTGTTTTTTTGTAGGTTTCAGGCACAGAACTGTATATCCAATAATAGTGAAATGGATCCCACTAATTATGACAGAAATGATGATACATTTAAATGACTTGGATGTTTTATAGGTATGATCTCGTGAAATCTTGAGAGAAACTGAATGACGAATGAAACTATTGTTCCTGTTTCACACAGAAGAAAACTGAGGTTAAAAGGGGTAAAGTAATTTTGCATGGCATGAAGTAGAAATTCAAAGTACAGGAATTTGAACTTGGTTCTGTCCTTTTCTGAAGCCCTTGACCACTATAGACTCAAACATCACCTTGTTTTTCCACTCATTCAACACTTTTTTTTTTAAATTATCTAATAGGTTGGCACTCATCATGAGCCCCTGTTCTCATTCTGCAAATGGTGAAGCTCTCTATTGTCCTGACCCCACAGTTCCTGTCCCATGACCAGGGCCAGCTCACCAAGGAGCTGCAGCAGCATGTAAAGTCAGTGACATGCCCATGCGAGTACCTGAGGAAGGTGAGTGAGTGCAGACAGATGGGGCCTGGTGCCCTTGAGCAGTTCCCGGGTCTCAGCTGCCACACATCTCATAGCCGGTGATGCTGGGGGAAGCTTACGCAGTCACAGTACTGGCTTCTTCCTCTTTTTCTTTCCATACAAGTGGCTTAGGGATGGGGTAGAGTAGTTGACTTATTTGGATGAAAACCACTATCTTCTGTCAGAAACTCAAAAGGAATCATTGCTGGCATGGTAACCTAAAGAAAAACAACCAGACAAGTGCCCAACGACACTTAAAAAGGTGATTTATTATCTTGCCAAGTTTAGGCTGGGCATGGTGACTCATGCCTCTAATCCCAGCATTTTGGGAGGCTGAGGCTGGTGGATCACCGGAGGCCAGGACTTTGAGACCAGCCTGACCAATATGGCAAAACCTCGTCCCTACTAAAAATACAAAAATTAGCCGGGCATGGTGGTGTGAGCCTGTAGTCCCAGCTACTCAGGAGGCTGAGACAGGAGAATTGCTTAGATTCAGGAGGTGGGGGTTTTAGTGGGCCGAGATCACGCCATTGCACTCCAGACTGTGCGACAGAGCGAGACTCTGTCAAAAAAAAAAAAAAAAAATTATCCTGCAAAATTTGAAAAGGAAATTCAAATCAACAGCTTCTAAACTACTTTTTAACATGACTCATAATAATACATTCTATAGTACATATGTATGTTCTATAACTTTGAATAAAAGAGTTAACCACATCACATTTATTTTATAACATGTAATACATATTTTTTATTCTCCTTCATTTGTTTTGAATGCTCTGTGCAGTCTACAAAAAGTCCAATAGTAATAATTAAATTAGTCATTAAGTTGAACATTATCTTGTCTTTTAAAATGATAATCTCAAAAATGATCTTTTATTTTTGAGATTTATATAGATACACACACACACACACACACACACACACACACACACACACACACACACACACACACACACACACATATTTTTTGAGACAGAGTTTCACTCTGTCCCCCAGGCTGGAGTGCAATGGCACAATCTTGGCTCACTGCAACCTCTGTCTCCCGGGTTCAAGCAATTCCTCTGCCTCAGCCTCTGAGTAGCTGGGACTACAGGTGTGTGCCACCATGCCCAGCTAATTTTTGTATTCTTAGTAGAGATGGGGTTTCACCATATTGGCCAGGCTCGTGTCAACTCCTGACCTCGTGATCTGCCCACCGCGGCCTCCCAAAGTGCTGGGACTATAGGTGTGAGCCGCTGCACCCGGTCCAAGTAAAATTATTTTAACAATATACTATGAAGAGAAAAACACTGGCTATGAAAGAATATGCATAGTTTTACCCTGTTTAAAAATAAAGATTGAAAGAATACATATGCAAATAAGTTTACTTTTATTTTTGGTAACACTTTACTGCATTGTCTGAATATTGACAATCAGTATGCATTATGAAGCTACCTGGCTAACATTGTGTACTCACTGTGTGTGCCAGGCCCTGGGTTCAATGCTCTACATGCACTTATATTTCATTTAATTCTCTCTGCAACCTGAGATGGTATAGCCACCTCATTTTACAGAGTTGAAACTGAGGCTCAGAGACTGAAAGTTAAGCCTGAGGTTGCAGTCAATAAGAGGCAGAGCTGGAACTGAAACCTACCTGTGTCTGACCACCAGTTCGTGTTCTGACGGCAGGCTAGTCTGCATCACAGAGTGTGGAGTAGATGGTGCATGCCTGCTAGGATGGGCTAGGTATCACTGTAGGTAAGAAACAGCCCCAAACTATGGAAATGTACACCACTGAAGGCTCTTTTCCTGCCCATGCTGCACATCCTCCATGGCTCTCCTGTGCCCTGTGCCCCACATGCCCTCATCCTGCCACGAGAATAAAGGAGCAGCCTCCATATGGGAGCTGTCAGCTGCTCTAAGAGATGAAGGAGAGAGTGGCCCGTCTCAATGGCTCCCAACTCTTTTGCCTCGAGGTGACACGCTTCACTTCCACGCACATCTCCTGGGTCAAAGCAAATCCCATGGGTACATCCACTTTCAAGTGGCCCAGGAGAGAACCTGAAATACTCGGTGGACTCCATTAAGGCCGTCATATGGTGTCAGCCTGCATGGGAGACTGTGGAGGGGCAGAGGAGGAGAGTGGGGAACTGATGGGAAATGACAGGAGGACTAAGTCACCGCAGATTTGCTTTATCTTCAGCCAGGTGGAGTTTGTCCCAGAGCCGCACAAAATCATCACCAGCATGATTAAACGGAGTAGACTTCAGAAAAAGCAGTTTGGTCGGATGTAATCAGCAGTGAACTCAGAATCAATTGAGTGACATTGAGTCAGTAAATCTCTGACTGCCTCAGTTACCCCATATGATAGTTTTGAGGATGGGAACATTGAGAGAGTTGATTTGGAAGGATATCAAGAGTAAAAATTCCAACATTTTTAGTTCCTTTAAGTTAAATCCAGGCACTGTCTTTCCTGCAAGTCTCCTGTTCCTTTCAGATTGCACAGGTGAGAGTGCTCAGATTAGGGCTGGAGGTTGTAAACCATTGCTCCCACACTGACAGTGCCCCCGTGTCGTGCGTGTATTCTGCGCATTTTCCTGTGCTAAACACTCTCCCAAAACATCGTGGGGCCTGATTCTTCCTCTTTGTTCCAATGGCCCTGGGTGACTCAAGTGCCCATTCAATGACCAGGACACAGAGGTCTTAGAGAGATGCTCCTTGAGGCCCCAGGTGCGAGCCTGTACCCTGCCGGAGCATGAGGCAAGGGACAGGGCATCGTCTGTGGGGATAGTGGGGGTAGTGGGGGTAGTGGTCAGCCAGATTTGGTGACTCTACTTGCTCACCAGACGATCCTACACCTGCCACCTCCGATGGATCCACTGCCTCTGTGCCTGCCTGTACTGCTGATGCTCCAGTGGATAACTCAGCATCCCAGCCTAGGCCCAATGCCACTGAAGATGGACCTGCCCCCTGGGGACCCAGGAGTCCTACCACTCAGCTGTCCCCAGGAGTGCCCAGACCCTCATTCTTATCCAGGACCTAGGAGCCCTACCCCTGGCCTTCCCTCATCAGCCGTAAATGATGATTTACTGCTGTTACCATCATCACTGCCTTCAGTGACCAAGGGCCTTCCAAGGTGCCAGCTCTGGAACGAAGGATGCCCTTGGGAGGTGATGACACTCAGGTACACGGGTGCTCAACAGATTGCTTCCTCCTATCCTCAGACGGTCTTTGCATGCATGCAGCCATTGGCACTCCCATTGTGTGGAAGGAAACCAGCCCAGGGTCACACAGCTGGTCAGCAGCAACATAGCTGGTCTCAAATCTAAGGTGCCTGACCATGCCTCCATGAGGGACCGCCTCCAAGGGAGGTTGATCCTGGCTTTGGGGAGCCTTTCCTGGGCTGCACGAATAACCTCCATTGTTCGAGACCCCAAACTCTGCTCACATCTTCCTTTCCCTATCTCTGCTTGGGCTATGATCACGGTGACTCTAGCAGCCCTTCATGGACATTATAGTACTCTCTGCCATTCACTTTTGCTCTAATCTGACTTCAACCCCCACTTACTTGGTCTCTCCTTTTACAACCACCACAACCGAAATCTAGGGCTGCTTTTTTTTTTTTTTTTTTTTTTGAGACAGAGTCTCATTCCATTCTGTCACCCAGGCTGGAGTGCAATGGTACGATCTCGGCTCACTGCAACCTCCGCCTCCCGGGTCCAAGGGATTGTCCTGCCTCAGCCTCCTGAGTAGCTGGGATTACAGGCGTGTGCCACCATGCCTGGCTAATTTTTGTATTTTTAGTAGAGACGGGGTTTCACCATGTTGGTCAGGCTGGTCTCGAACTCCTAACCTCGTGATCCGCCTGCCTCAGCCTCCCAAAGTGCTGGGATTACAGGCGTGAGCCACCATGCCCAGCCAAATCTAGGGCAGGAACATGGCTGCAGCATATAAAAAGAATTGAATTCCATACTTTTGTTAACCCTGTTTTTTGTTTGTAGTTGTTGCTGTTTTTGAGACAGAGTCTCGCTCTGTCGCCTAGGCTGGAGTGCAGTGGTGCAATCTCGGCTCACTGCAGACTCTGCCTCCCGGGTTCAAACTATTCTCCTGCCTCAGCCTCCCAAGTAGGTGGGACTACAGGCGCCCACCACCACACCCGGCTAATTTTTGTATTTTATTAGAGACAGGGTTTCACCATATTGGCCAGGCTGGTCTGGAACTCCTGACCTTGTGATCCGCCCACCTCGGCCTCCCAAAGTGCTGGGATTACAGGCGTGAGCCACCACACCCAGCCCCTGTTTTGTTTTTGTTTTGCTTGCTTCTTAGGGTTGTTTTTCTATTTATGGTAAAGGCATTGGCTTTCCATTTGTAGCATCAATAGAATATTTCCTGTTTACAATAACCTTATGTCATAGTAAATGGTAAAGGGATTTAAAGCAGTGGTTTTCAGCTGCCAGAGGCCTGAGAGAGTTTGGGCATACTCTGTGTGATCGGGCAGAAGGCCTGTGGGAAGTTTAGCAGAGGACAGGGCCAGGAAAGGTGATGGACAGTGGGGGTCTGTCCTGGTCACCAGGCCCCTGGGTCCTGCCCACCTGCTTGGAGCTCCCCACCCATCACACATGATGCTGCCAAGCCCTCTGGGTATTGTGGGCAAATACCTTAGGAGAGAAGCTGATGAACTTTGTTTCTTGAAATGCACAGATTCCTTGGACGTCCCTGAGAGCTCAGTCATGAAAGTCAACTTGGTTTTCTCCCCCTCATTTGGGTTCAGAATTTAAAGTCCACACACACAGGCAGTAAGATGATATAGATAAGGACGTCATCACTCGGTTTCGGATGTTAAAATGTCTAGGTGGGTTAGCGGTGATTTGAGATCACACAACCTTGTGCCACAAAGAGGAATTCCCAGGCCAGAGGGAGACATTTTATTGCCATGTTATGATCTCATCATTGAGTTGAAAGGCAATCTTGTTTCATTTTGGATTCTTTCTTATGTTTATGTCTTATAAGGGCACTTTGAATTTCCAAGCAAATAATAATTTTGAATTAGCTTTTAATCATTGACTTCTAGCACAGTTATATGATCAGAAACATGCTGTGTGATTTGATTGCTCTCAAATATATTGAGATTTGCTGGAACAAAATAAGTCAGGTTAATTTTTGTAAATGTACCAGGCATGCTTAAAATGAATGTATCTACATTTGTTCCTGAGATACAGGTTGATGGACGGATGGCTACATGGATGTGATGGAGATGGTTTACTATCGGGACCTTCCGCACCCTGCTGATGTTTTGTTGCTTAGGATATGAATGGCTGAGCGGAGGCTGTAAAACCTGGCACTCTGCTTGGGTATGAGGTTCTTCCTGCCATCCTGCCATCATTTGTTTTTTATGTTTTGTCGCCATAAGTGACCTTGAGGAACCCTGGGAGCTCAGGAAGGAAGGAGCGCCCAGAAGCAGGGACAGGGAGCTGGTTGGGGAGGACCAGAAATCAGGTTTGTGAAGGTTCCAGAGAGGACCTGTCTTTGGGAGGAGTGTGGGAGACTGAGATGGGGGAGGGGTCATTGGAATGATGCGGGCGCTACTTGGCATTGTCCATTGTGAGGCACTGTCCATTGTGAGGCACCACCGGGGTCATCAGGGATTGGTGGAGAGGGAGTATAAAGCCCCAGGGTTGGTAAGGGAGGGCCCAGACCGAAGAAGGTTTGGTGGATAGCAGAACCTTTTTGTCTCCCTCTGATTGCTCCTAAGCCTCACGCTCCCTTGCCCCGCGTGTCCTGTTGCTTCCCTGATCTTCTCCGTGACCTGTAGCTAAACCTTCCACCAGCGCTTGAGAACTTAATTTGAACCGGATCCTTTCCCAGACCCCTTTCTTCTTCTCCTCCTCCTCCTCCACCTCCTCCAGGTGCCCAACAGCCCCCTTCTCCTCCTTTCCCTTCCCTTACTTCCCCCCTTCCCCTCCCCTTCCCCTCCCCCTCCCCTCCCCCTCCCCCTCCCCAACTCAGATCCGGCCCCGGTCCCCGTCCCCTTCCCTCCCCCCTGCCCTAAGCCACCTCCACCTCTGTCCTGGCCGCCTCAGGGCGCCCTGAAAGGACCAGGACATGCGGGTGCGGTGGATGCTCTTTTGGCTCCTCTTTGGGCTCCTACTGGAATTTATCAGCCATCAGTGCATCTCTGTGAGTAGACGCTGGACCCGTGGGGTTTCTTCCTTTTTACTGGGCTGTATCACGTGGCATGAAATTACACAGCTCAGGCCTGTAATCCCAGCACTTTAGGGGGCCGAGGTGGGCAGATCACTTGAGTCCAGGAGTTGAAGACTAGCCAGGGCATCATAGCGAAACCCCATCTCTACAAAAAATTCCAATAAAGATTAGTCGGGCCTGGTGGTGCGTACCTGTTATCCCAGTTACTGGAGAGGCTGAGGTGGGAGGATCGCTTGGGCCCAGGAGCTGGACGTTGCAGTGAGCCGAGATGGCCCCGCTGCACTCTTGTTTTTAACAAAGAAAATGGACCAAAACAAAGTGAAATGTCATTTGATTTGTGTCATCTGGTTTGATGACTTTTTTTTTTTTTTTTTTTTTTTTTAGACAGAGTCTCACTCTGTCGCCCAGGCTGGAGTGCAGTGGCAAGATCTCGGCTCACTGCAACCTCCGCTTCTGGGGTTCAAGCAATTGTCCTGCCTCAGCCTCCTGAGTAGCTCAGATTACAACGCCTGGCTAATTTTTGTATTTTTAGTAGACCACCACGCCTGGCTAATTTTTTTTTTTTTTTTTTTTTTTTTTTTTTTTTGAGACGGAGTCTCGCTCTGTCGCCCAGGCTGGAGTGCAGTGGCGGGACCTCGGCTCACTGCAAGCTCCGCCTCCCGGGTTCACGCCATTCTCCTGCCTCAGCCTCCCAAGTAGCTGGGACTATAGGCGCCCGCCACTACGCCCGGCTAATTTTTTGTATTTTTAGTAGAGACGGGGTTTCACCATGTTCGCCAGGATAGTCTCCATCTCTTGACCTCGTGATCTGCCTGCCTCAGCCTCCCAGTGCTGGGATTACAGGCGTGAGCCACCGCGCCTGGCCAAAATATATAACCTTAAGTGTAAGTTTACTAACTTTGGAAAGTACATACACCAGCATAAACCAACCCCCTTTCAAGATCTACATTATTTTATTTATTTATTTATTTATTTATTTATTTATTTTGAGACAGTTTCTCCCTTGTTGCCCAGGCTGGAGTGCAATGGGGCAATATCAGCTCACCGCAACCTCTGCTTCCCAGGTTCGAGCGATTCTCCTGCCTCAGCCTCCCGAGTGGCTGGGATTACAGACATGTGGCACCACTCCCAGCTAATTTTGTATTTTTAGTAGAGATAGGGTTTCTCCATGTTGGTCAGGCTGGTTTTGAACTCCCGACCTCAGGTGATCCGCCCGCCTCGGCCTCCCAAAGCGTTGGGATTACAGGCGTGAACCACCATGCCCAGCCAAGATCTACACTATTATGTCACCCCAGAAAGTGAACTCTCAGTCTTCCCAGCCAGTCTCTTTCTTATCATAGGTTAGCTTGCTTATTCTGGAATTTCGCGTATACAGATGCATGCCATGCCATAGGTACTCTTTTGTGTCTGCTTTGTTCTGCTCAACACCATGTTTCTGAAATCATTACCATTGTTGTATGGTTCTCTAACTTCATCATTTCCATTTCAGACTCAGCATATGCTGAGTTCAACCTGTTGAAGGGCTATCTCTGTTTAATTCACCATCTTGAAAGAAACATTTAAAATTGAGATGTTTTCAAGAATATATAGTTAAATCCTGAGGAATCGACGTAGAAATGTTATCACAAGCTGTCTGAACTTACTCAGGGGAAGTCTTCGTCTTCACTCACATAAGAGTCTAATGGAATTAATATCAACAATCTTAGAGAAATCCCACACTATTCATGCCATTTTCATGATCTCCACCTTGATAATTTTTTTTTTTTTTTTTTTTTTTTTTTTTTTTTTTTTTGAGACAGAGTCTCGCTCTGTCACCCAGGCTGAAGTGCAGTGGTGCGATCTCGGCTCACTGCAACCTCTGCCTCCCGGGTTCAAGTGATTCTTCTGCCTCAGCCTCCCAAGTAGCTGGAACTATAGGCACGTGCCACCATGCCCTGCTAATTTTTTGTATTTTTAGTAGAGACGGGTTTCACCGTGTTAGCTAGGATGGTCTCAATCTCCTGATCTCGTGGTCCACCCACCTCGGCTTCCCAAAGTGCTGGGATTGCAGGCGTGAGCCACCACGCCCAGCCCACCTTGTTAATTTTTAAGCACTAAAATTTGATACTTATTTGTGAATGAAGTAATCTCTTCATTGTATTTTTTTTTTTTTTTACTTATGCTGAGATTTAAATGACAAAGATTCATATAATCCAAGAGAGAAGTATTATTTAGAGGGATTCTTTTACCATGTGATATATAATAAATGCATCCAATGTTATACATCAATTTAAAAAACAAGTAAATAACTTTAAAGAAAAGATAACTACTGGCCAGGTGCAGTGGCTCACACCTGTATTCCCAGCACTTTGGGAGGCCAAGGCAGGTGGATCATGAGGTCAGGAGTTGGAGACCAGCCTGGCCAAGATGGTGAAACCCTGTTTCTACTAAAAATACAAAAATTAGCCGAGCGTGGTGGCAGGCGCCTGTAATCCCAGTTACTCAGTAGCTGAGGCAGGAGAATCGCTTGAACCCGGGAGGCGGAGGTTGCAGTGAGTTGAGATCATGCCACTGCAATCTAGCCTGGGTGACAGAGCAAAACTTTGTCTCAAAACAAAAAGAAAAGAAAAGATAAGATAATTACTTTATACTTAGCTTGTCTTACCCATGAGTGACGGGCTGCATGTGGCCCAGGACAGTTTTGAATGCAGTTCAACACAAATTTGTAAACTTTCTTAAAACATTAGGAGATTTTGGCCAGGTACAGTGGCTCATGCGTGTAATCCCAGCACTTTGGGAGGCTGAGGCGGGCAGATTACCTGAGGTCAGGAGTTCGAGACCACCCTGACCAACATGGCAAAACCCCATCTCCACAAAAAATACAAAAATTTGCTGAGTGCACTGTCAGGCACCTGTACTCCCAGCTACTCAGGAGGCTGAGGCAGGAGAATCACTTGAACCTGAGAGGCAGAGGTTGCAGTGAGCCGGGAGCACACCACTGCACTCCAGCCTGGGTGACAGAGTGAGACCCCATCTCAAAAACAACAAACAAAAACAAAAACAAAAAAATGGCTGGGCACGGTGGCTCACACCTGTAATCCCAGCACTTTGGGAGGCCGAGGTAGGCAGATCGCCTGTCAGGAGTTCAAGGCCAGACTGGCCAACGTGGTGAAACCTCATCTCTACTAAAAATACAAAAATGAGTCGGGCATGGTGGCAGAGACCTGTAATCTCAGCTACTCGGGAGGCTGAGGCAGGAGAATGGCTTGAGCCCAGGAGCTGGAGGTTGCAGTGAGCCGAGATTGCACCACTGCACTCCAGCCTGGGCGACTGAGTGGAGCGGAACTCTGTCTCAAAAAAAAAAAAGAGGTTTTTTTTAGATCATCAGCTATTGTTAGTGTTAGTGTATGTTATGTGTGGCTCAAGACAACTTTGCTTCTTTTAATATAGGCAGGGAAGTCAAAAGATTGGATATCCCTGCTTTATACCAAGAAAGACAACACCCCACATTTGCAATGCCTGAAAACACTACCAGCCATCTGAAAAACATGTGACTTCTAACTTCTGTTCTTTTTTGTAGCAGTGGAATCCCACGGTGATATCTGAGGGATGTGGTTACCTTTTGGAGGAGGTTGACGGTTTCTAAGGATGATTCTTTCTGAGTGAAATATTGTCAGTGTCATTGACCTTTTCATTATTTCAACTATTATTATTCCAGGTTATCAATACTCTGGCTGACCATCATCATCGTGGGACTGACTTTGGTGGAAGTCCTTGGTTACATGTCATTATTGCGTTTCCGACAAGTTATAAAGTTGTCATTACCCTCTGGATAGTTTACCTTTGGGTGAGTATACTAACTTTCTGTAGAGGTATACTTGTAATCACAAATAAGAATAAATTATATAAAACAATTCACATTTCTGGACTTCATTATGAATATGTGGTTTTACCCAAAAAATCAGGGAAATGATTTATTAGTATAAGAATTATGAAAACATCTGCCATTTGCATTATGAAAATTAAATAGGTCGGTGTTTGTTTAATAGAATGTCAACAGAGCTTTTGGTCAAAAATAAGTTTTTTTAACCTTTGTGCTATTTATCACAAATGGAGTATGAGGTTTCGTCACTTAAATAGGAAATTCTTTCTAAACTCTTCTGCTTTATAGTTCTATCGTATGGGTGGAAGGAAAGCTTCCAATCTCCTCTCTGAAGATTCACTGCAGAAATGAGCTGACAACAGACAGCTTAACAGGAAAAGAAAAACATAGAACAGGCATAAACATGGGAACCAGCTGAAAAATGAGACTGCTAGAAGGGCCGGATGGCTGATGCTTAAAGAGCACCCTCTTCTGAGGGGAGAGGGAGATAGATGGAGATGTAGGCCATTTAGAGGGGCAGCAAATGATTTTTAGGGGAAATGAAAGAGGCCAAGGAACAAACAATTGGCCTGAGACAAAGTTCCTGTGAGGTCATAGGGACGAGGTGACAAACTGCCGGAAGGTGAAGGGCAGAACTGCACTGCGTCTCATGATGCAGAGAAAGCCCCAGAGACTCTTAGAACTGCCCTCCAAGAGAATCAATGAAAAGTGTGTCTGGGCAGGGTAATTTTGAATGACATCATTCAAAGTGCATGTTCCGACTTGGAACTGGAGAGAGATCAGTATGTCAAAAGTCTGTACTTGGTAAGAATTTGGCTGCTAAGTTGTGCCATAATTTGTCTTTTGAGCCTTTTTTCCTTTGGGTAAGTTGAGCTCTACATTTTGTCTTGCCATTCATGACAGTAAAAATGTGGTTGTCTGGGGGCTGAACCTCCTTCTGAACAATGATCCAAGATAAAAGTACTAATACCACAATGCTTTTTTATATTCAAGGGAAGAGGAAGTATGTTTCAGTTTTACCACCTAGATAATTACACGTCATTTGGCACTGCCTTTCAAGATATGTAGAAAACAGAAAATATATGAGTTATGAAGATATCTAGGCACATTTAACATTCTCTATGCCACTTAGTCCTGAACAGAGAATTTTCGGTATAAATTGGAGGAAGCTTTTTTCTTTTTTTTTTTTCTTTTCTCACCCCGAAGACGAGTCTCCTTCTGTTGCCCAGGCTGGAGTATAATGGTGTGACCTCGGCTCACTGCAACCTCCACCTCCTGGCTTCAAGTGATTCCCCTGCCTCAGCCTCTCAAGTAGCTGGGATTACAGGTGCCCACCACCATGCCCAGCTAATTTTTGTATTTTTAGTAGAGTCGGGGTTTTACCATGTTGGCCAGGCTAGTCTCAAAACCCGACCTCAAATGATCCACCCACCTCAGCCTCCCAAAGTGCTGGGATTACAAGCGTGAGCCACCACGTGAGCCAGGGGAAGTTTTTAAATTTACCACTTTTTAACAATTCCACTTAGGAAAGTTCAGTTGAGCTGTTGGACTTGGACAACTTCGCACCTCTCATCTTTGTCCTTGTCATCTAGTCATCTATACCATTACCTCCTTAGCAGGGACATCATGGGTGCCATGAAGCATTCATGCGTGATGGCATTTCTTGGCTTCTCATTTCTTCATGTGTTTGACATTTCCCCTAGCTCCAAACTGGGCCAGCTACCTTTCCTATGAAATCTAGCAGTAGCTGTGGGATTGACGTGGTTGCTCTTTTCATCTTTTTAGATTACCCATTGCTTCTCTCGAAATCCTAGTACATGATTTTTTTTTTATCCTATGTGCAGAAATCAGGAAAAAACAAATTCTACAAAGAATTTGAAAGATATTATTTCAGGCCAGGTGTGGTGGCTCATGCCTGTAATCCCAGCACTTTGGGAGGCTGAAGCAGATGGATCATTTGAGGTCAGGAGTTCAAGACCAGATGGGCCAACATGGTGACACCCCATCTCTACTAAAAAGACAAAAATTAGCCAGGCATGGTAGCAGGCACCTGTAATCCCAGCTACTTGGGAGGCTGAGGCACAAGAATCGCTTGAATCTGGGAGGTGGAGGTTGCCGTGAGCCAAGGTAGCGCCACTGCACTTCAGCACGGTTGAGAGTGACACTCTGTCTCAAGAAAAAAGTCATTTCAATGACCACCTCAGGAGATTCATAGGTATCTGACCCACATCTGAGATGGGATTTGCATTGCATTTTAGCTATGATGAGAAGAAATATTTAATATCTTAGAAGATTAAAAGCATACTGTGATAATATGGAAATCTTGGTGGGAATTCAGTCATTAGTGAGAATGTTTTGCGTTAAGTTCAAACCAGCCTCAATGAAGCTGATGTGAGGGAAGGGAAAGTGAACTCTGAGTAGAGCAGGGACAGAAGGAAGATGCTCCAGTGCAGATCAGGAAGGAGCAGGGGATGAAATGTTACAAATTCTAGAACTCAGAGAGCTGAAGGTAATTACTTCCTTTTCAAGTTGTGAAACATGTTAACCTGTGGTAAAATACTTATAAGATGATAATTACCATCTAACCGTGTTGAAGTGTACAGTTCAGTTGTGTGAAGTATATTCATGTCATTTTTTTTTTTTTTTTTTTTTTTGAGACGAAGTCTCACTCTGTCACCAGGCTGGAGTGCAGTGGTGGGATCTTGGCTCACTGCAACCTCTGCCTCCTGGGTTCAAGCAGTTCTCCTGCCTCAGCCTCCCGAGTAGCTGGGACTACAGGCGTGCATCACCATGCTCAGCTAATTTTTGTATTTTTAGTAGAGACGGGGTTTCACCATGTTGCCCAGGATGGTCTCCATCTCTTGACCTTGTGATTCACCCGCCTCGGCCTCCCAAAGTGCTGGGATTACAGGCGTGAGCTACCGCATCTGGCCTATTTTTTTTTTTTTTTTTTTTTTTTTTTTTGAGACAGAGTTTCAATTTTGTTGCCCAGGTTGGAGTGCAATGGCACAATCTCAGCTCACCACAAGCTTTTCCTGCTGGGTTCAAGTGATTCTCCTGCCTCAGCCTCCCGACTAGCTGGGATTACAGGCATGCACCACCATGCCTGGCTAATTTTGTATTTTTAGCAGAGACAGCGTTTCTCCATGTTGGTGAGGCTGGTCTCAAACTCCCGACCTCAGGTGATCCGCCTGCCTCGGCCTCCCAAAGTGCTGGGATTACAGGAGTGAGCCACCGTGCCAGCCTCATGTCATTCTTGTGTGTGTGTGTGTGTATGTGACAGAGTCTCATTCTGTCGCTCAGGCTGGAGTGCAGTGGTGTGATCTCGGCTCACTGCAACCTCCGCCTCCCAGCTTCAAACGGTTCTCTGCCTCAGCCTCCCGAGTAGCTTGGATTACAGGCGCCCGCTGCCATGCCCGGCTAATTTTTGTATTTTTAGTAGAGACGGGGTTTCACCATCTTGGCCAGGCTGGTCTTGAACTCCTGACCCCGTGATCCACCTGCCTCGGCCTCCCGAAGTACTGGGATTATACGCATGAGCCACCGTGCCCAGCCGTCATTCTTATATTATTATTTCCTAGGTGTCTCTCCTGAAGACTATCTTCTGGTCTCGAAATGGACATGATGGATCCACGGATGTACAGCAGAGAGCCTGGAGGTCCAACCGCCGTAGACAGGAAGGTATGGCTCTGTTGGAATCCGCATAGTGTGGAAATGAGTTTGCCCTGGAAAGGGAAAGAACAGCTTCTTGCCCTCAGGTTTCTCACCTTCTCCTCTCCTCACTCTCACCAAGGGCTGAGGTCCATTTGTATGCACACAAAGAAAAGAGTTTCTTCCTTTCGAGGAAATAAAATTGGCCTGAAAGACGTCATTACTCTACGGAGACATGTGGAAACAAAAGTTAGAGCTAAAATCCGTAAGAGGAAGGTGACAACGAAAATCAACCATCATGACAAAATCAATGGAAAGAGGAAGACCGCCAGAAAACAGTAAGATGTGCCTTGACACAAATACTGTTGTATGAACCATGTGCCAATCAAAGTAGACAACTGTAAAGTCCTTGAGAATATTTTCTACAATATTTGTGGCAAATTCAGTGGGTTCAAAATTGAGTTTGTCCTTTCTGCTTCATTAGTTTAAGCTGTATAATTCCTTTCCCTTCCTACATTCTTGTTTTCATTTTTTCGGAGGAAGAGGAGTTGCTAGTACTGGCATTGGTTTTCCTTTCTCTTTTTTTTTTTTTTTTTTTTTTTTTTCCTGAGATGGAGCTTTGCTGTTGTTGCCCAGGCTGTAGTGCAATGGCACAATCTCAGCTCACTGCCTTTTGGGTTCAAGCAATTCTCCTGCCTCAGCCTCCCAAGTAGCTGGGATTACAGGTGCCCACCACCACGCCCAGCTAATTTTTGTATTTTTACTAGAGATGGGGTTTCACCATGTTGTCCAGGCTGGTCTCGAACTTCTGACCTCAGGTAATCCACCTGCCTCAGCCTCCCAAAGTGCTGGGATTAGAGGCGTGAGCCACCACAGCCAGCCTTTTTTTTTTTTTTTTTTTTTTTAATTTTGCGATAGAGTCTCGCTCTGTCGCCCAGGCTGGAGTGCTATGGTGCAATCTTGGCTCACTGCAACCTCTGCCTCCCAGTTTGAAGCAATTCTGCCTCAGCTTCCCGAGTAGCTTGGA
This sequence comes from Homo sapiens, assembly GCF_000001405.40. Taxonomy (NCBI): domain Eukaryota; kingdom Metazoa; phylum Chordata; class Mammalia; order Primates; family Hominidae; genus Homo; species Homo sapiens. The sequence goes on from NC_000016.10 coordinate 22,528,663, forward strand.
TTACAGGTGTGTGCCACCACATTTGACCAATTTTTTTTTTTTTTTTTTTTTTTTTTTTTGAGACAGAGTCTCACTCTGTCACCCAGGCTAGAGTGCAGTGGCATGATCTTGGCTCACTGCAGCCTCCACCTCCCAGGTTCAAGCGATTCTTATCCCTCAGCCTCTTGAGTAGCTGGGACTACAGGCATATGCCACCATGCCCGGATAATTTTTGTATTTTTAGTAGAGGCGGGGTTTCACCATATTGGCCAAGCTGGTCTAGAACTCCTGACATGATCCGCACACCTCGGCCTCCCAATGTGCTGGGATTACAGGCGTGAGCCACCGTGCCCGGCCCAATTTTTGTATTTTTAGTAGAGACAGGGGTTCACCATGTTGGCCAGGCTAGTCTTGAACTCCTGACCTCAGGTGATCTGCCTACCTCAGCCTCCCAGTGTGAGCCACCGCACCCAGCCTGGATTGTTGAATTCAATGCTTGGGTCACCTCCAGATTCATTTTCACAGTCTTTCATGTTTTGGTCATATGACATTGTATTTTGCTGCCATATGACTGATCTTTTTTTGTTAAATGTGAGATACTTGTTAAAAAATGTTTAGCAATGAATTGAGGCCTAGTAGCATGTTATCTTGCTGCAGAAGAGATGGGAGTCTACTTCTGGGGGATGGTCAGGGGTCCTCCATACAGGCTGCAATTGAAGTCGTCGGTGCAGGCTCAGTCCCTACAAAGGCCAGGGTATTTCCTGTCCACCTTTATTCTGATGCATGACTCTTCTGGGTCTCAACCAGAGCCAGTGGACTTCAGTATGGGTCGCTTTCATTGGCAGACCCTCAATCCACTTGTTTTCCATCTAATCCCACGCATGTGTGCAAAAGCTGCTGTGCTTCTTTGCATCTCAGTAGTTCCTTCTGGAATTCAGCAATGAAACGCAGGGAAATGGGTTCCAAATGCGAGGCTGACTTTCGTCCTGGGTTTCCTTCTTCTCCATCTTCACCTCATGTCTGTTTACTGCCATGTTAGCAATTTGATGTATTCAATCATGGGTTTTATATTCTGTTTGGTGTCCCCCATTGTTCTCATCGGAGATCAGAAGCTTCAGATGCACTTATGTCAACTCAAGAGTAGAATGCTTCCTTAGCTTCCCTCCAGAGTCAGGTTTTGTGTTTCTAGTTCCCAAGTGCACAGCAGGAGTAGTGATGTCCTCACTGGCTTCTCATTTGCATTAAGCTGTGAGCTTCTTTAGCGTGGGGACAGGACCCTGCTCCCATTGCATTCTCAGCACCACACCACACACTCCTTGTTTGAGGCCACTCCAGACAGCATGTGCTGAAGGATGCCTTGTGGTCAGAAACAAGTTCATTAACTTTCTCTTTGAAGTGTTTTCGCCCCTGTTTCCTAGCGTTCTGGGAATTTTACACATCCTTCCTATAAAGCCAAGTATCAGGTGAGATCCTTAGGATCAGGACCATGAATCAAGTGGTATGAGGGCAACACAGCAAACTTACCCTTTTGAGGCCGTTTCCTTTTTCTGCCCTCAATCTCTGTGAACTGAACCTTGTTAAAGTCAGTCAACACCAGGGTGGATGGTTTGCCGTTGTCACCTATTTTCAGGACATAACACCCTGACTTAGGAGCCATTCCGATCATTTCTAATTCAATAGATGCGCCCAGCATTCAGATTGCCTTTTCTCTCAACCAGGATCTTTAAAGTCGATGACAAGAGTTCCAGTCCTGAATCATGGCAAAGTGCAGTAGTGAACTGCGGGGTTATTCTGGAAGGATCTCTCTATGGCTGATGGTCTCAGTTCCGGCATCAGCCTCTGACTGAGAATCAGGTCTCACACAGGAGGAGTCAGATGAGGAGCAATCCTCTGCTTCCGATGGAGTTAGTTGTGATGAATTGGTGAGGTCTGGTTTTTCACACTGAACTAAAATGAGCTTTCGCTGTGTCAAGCACAAGACTGACCCCAGAGACACACATAGTGCACCTCATAGAAGCTTTTAATAGTCTTTATATTTACTAAAGAATAGGACTAACTATGGAACTATGAAGATGAGCTGGAAATGACAGGTGACTTGCCAGCAGGCCAGAGTGTGACTTTTTTTTGTCCCTCAATGGGAGGTGTCAATTCTCCCTTCGGTTGTGAGAATCAGTTGGTTCATTTGTGGGAAGGTTGCAGGGGGGATCTTTGAATCACAGCCTTCAGATGCCAGAAGGGCAGAGGGAATCCCACACGGGCTGGTGGATCATGTGTGTGCATTTCTCTCCCTTCTAATCTGAGGAAACTAAGCGTGAAAGAATGTGAGCATGCAGAAAAGGAGAGGCAGGTATCAGAGGCAGAGGAAAATGGGAAATTGGATATGAAAGAAATACACACCTACAAGTGAGTTCAGAAACTGTACCCCACCCTCTTGGGAAACGCCCATTGGAGTGTTGTTTTTAACCTTTGTACAGTATTTAGACCCAGTAAATGCAGAAATAGAAACAAACGGTCAGAAGACATATCGTGAGAGAGAGCGAGAGAGAGTTCACAAAACAGAAAACAAAGTACCTTAATATTTACCAGTGACCAAAAGATGTGAAGTAGCAAAACGTCTCCTGACCCCATTGCCAGCTAGACTGTGTGGAAACTCGGTTCATACCAGCCATTCTAGGGGTGGGGTGAGTTGTTGTCATCCTTAGGAAAGTGTGTTGTTGTAGGATCAACCACATCCTTCAAAAGGACTATGCCTGTTTATAAGCCCAGCTGTTTCTGCCCTGTGAAACACGGTAAGGATATTAATACAAAGAGAATACAGCTTTATGATAAAAGATGCTCAATGAAGGATGAATTAGGGATGTACTGAGAATGGGGAAGGAAACTATCATCTCAGAAGTCAGCAGGCAGTAAGCAAGAGGAGGAATCAATACAGCAACAGTTTGGATCAGACTGTACAGTTTTTTTGTTTTTGTTTTTGTTTTTCTGAGATGGAGTCTCGCTGTGTCACCCAGGCTGGAGTGCAATGACGTGATCTTGGCTCACTGCAACCTCCGCCTCCCAGGTTCAAGTGATTCCCCTGCCTCAGCCTCCCGAGTAGCTGGGATTACAGGTGCCTGCCACCACGCCTGGCTAATTTTTTGTATTTTTAGTAGAGAAGGGGTTTCACCATATTAGCCACAATGGTCTCAATCTCCTGACCTCGTGATCCATCCGCCCCGCCCTCCCAGAGTGCTGGGATTACAGGCGTCAGCCACCGTGACCGGCTCAGACTGTACTCTTCTAGCCATCTGAAATACGTTTTCTAGGTAGAGATAGATTGTGTAAGGGTACAGTTGTGAGGATAACAGAAACATGGCAGATTATTTAAAATCATCCTGAAAGTGGTGCTTTATCTGATGAAAGTGATTGTAATCCATAGGAAAATGTTTCAACGTGCGCAAGAGTTGCGGCGGCGAGCAGAGGACTACCACAAATGCAAAGTAAGGAGCTTCCTCCCTGCAGTTGCAGGATAGTTCAGTGCTGATGCAGATGATGCCACGGCCCTTAGACTCTCTCAACATTCAATTTCTCATGTGTTGGCTTTTTCAGATCCCCCCTTCTGCAAGAAAGGCTCTTTGCAACTGGGTAAGTTTGCTTGTTTTCCTTGCTTTTGGACATAGTCTGCCAGGTCAGGACATGGATACATTTTTCTCCCTACAGCTCTGTGCTCAAGCCCTGCAGAGGGAGATGGCAGAGAGAAAGGCTGCCTACAAGCATCACAGTCCCATCCCTGTTGGTAACCGTGTTGCGCAAAAACACCTTCATCCCCACCCAGTGGGGCCCCTGATCTAATATTCTAAGTGTCAGAGGTTCCGTATTTGTAATAGCAGATGGGCCCTGACTGTAAACTAGTGAAGAGTGAATGTAACTTATTACCCACAGGGACAATTCCAAATGAAGGCCTTAAATGATGCTCAGCTAAGCTGGTTCTTGTGTGGCCTCTGTACCTTCAAAAGCTGCCGAGTCCTATGATTACACGTGATGGGACTTGTACACTTGAAGTGAAACACAGTTTTAAAACTTGCTTTGTTTAGAATTCCCACCTCATTTTTCCATGGACAAAAGTATTCTTTATGTCCTAGTGCACTTACAATTTGGTATTACCTGGGAGTGAAAAGAAATATTACAGCCATGCCTAAGTGACTTCTTGAGGTGAGATTGTTCTGTCAGAAAACCCTCTCCCAGTTCCCCTGCAGCTCTTCAGGAATCCACATCTCTCCAGAGCTCTTTGTTCTCATGGGTGGCACCTCCAGAGTGAAGAAGATCCTTTGTCAAGAAGGGAAACAGAAGGGAAATGAGAGGGTCCTGCAGGCAGAGCTGGAATCAACTTCCACTCTGCCTCTTGCAAGCTGTGTGACCCTGGGCACAATTTCTCCTTCCTCTGGAAACCTCTGTTTTCTTAGATTTGGAGCAGGGTGGTCACACTGACCTTGCAGAGTTCTGAGAATCAGAGACAGAACATAAAAGGCCTGGAAAACATTCTCCAAAAAGAAGCTGCAACATGTGTGGACAGTGGGCTTTTCATGCCTCTCTTACTGTCTCTTACTGTCTGTTGACCTGGTGCAAGAAACATGCTCTGGTGATGGCTGTGAGGGAGGAATGAGGATAGACATAGACACTCCTGTGTCTCAAACATGCTTCTTTATTACTCTGTTATGACTCTGTCTTCCCTGGGGCAGGACCCCAGCCTGCCTACATTTGCAGACAGACACAGTGGCATGTGGAGACAACAGTGTGTCCCAATGACTTTCCTTTACCCTCCAGCTGTCGGCAGTACTCAGTGGAAGGGTGATATTATGACACTGATACTGCTATTTTGAAACCTGGAGGATGGAAAGGTGCAAAAATCTATCACCAGCAACAGAAGGTGCAGACTGTGTTGGTGGCGGTAATTTTGTCCATCAAATGAATATGTGTGAAAACATTCCCTCCTTTGGCCCTACAGGTCAGAATGGCGGCAGCGGAGCATCGTCATTCTTCAGGATTGCCCTACTGGCCCTACCTCACAGCTGAAACTTTAAAAAACAGGATGGGCCACCAGCCACCTCCTCCAACTCAACAACATTCTATAACTGATAACTCCCTGAGCCTCAAGACACCTCCCGAGTGTCTGCTCACTCCCCTTCCACCCTCAGCGGATGATAATCTCAAGACACCTCCCGAGTGTGTGCTCACTCCCCTTCCACCCTCAGCGGATGATAATCTCAAGACACCTCCCGAGTGTGTGCTCACTCCCCTTCCACCCTCAGCGGATGATAATCTCAAGACACCTCCTGAGTGTCTGCTCACTCCCCTTCCACCCTCAGCGGATGATAATCTCAAGACACCTCCCGAGTGTCTGCTCACTCCCCTTCCACCCTCAGCTCTACCCTCAGCTCCACCCTCAGCGGATGATAATCTCAAGACACGTGCCGAGTGTCTGCTCCATCCCCTTCCACCCTCAGCGGATGATAATCTCAAGACACCTTCCGAGCGTCAGCTCACTCCCCTTCCACCCTCAGCTCCACCCTCAGCAGATGATAATATCAAGACACCTGCCGAGCGTCTGCGGGGGCCGCTTCCACCCTCAGCGGATGATAATCTCAAGACACCTTCCGAGCGTCAGCTCACTCCCCTTCCACCCTCAGCTCCACCCTCAGCAGATGATAATATCAAGACACCTGCTGAGCGTCTGCGGGGGCCGCTTCCACCCTCAGCGGATGATAATCTCAAGACACCTTCCGAGCGTCAGCTCACTCCCCTTCCACCCTCAGCTCCACCCTCAGCAGATGATAATATCAAGACACCTGCCGAGCGTCTGCGGGGGCCGCTTCCACCCTCAGCGGATGATAATCTCAAGACACCTTCCGAGCGTCAGCTCACTGCCCTTCCACCCTCAGCAGATGATAATATCAAGACACCTGCCGAGCGTCTGCGGGGGCCGCTTCCACCCTCAGCGGATGATAATCTCAAGACACCTTCCGAGCGTCAGCTCACTCCCCTTCCACCCTCAGCTCCACCCTCAGCAGATGATAATATCAAGACACCTGCCTTCCACCCTCAGCGGATGATCTCAAGACACCTTCCGAGCGTCAGCTCACTCCCCTTCCACCCTCAGCTCCACCCTCAGCAGATGATAATATCAAGATACCTGCTGAGCGTCTGCGGATTCCGCTTCCACCATCAGCCGATGATAATCTCAAGACACCTTCCGAGCGTCAGCTCACTCCCCTTCCACCCTCAGCTCCACCCTCAGCAGATGATAATATCAAGACACCTGCCGAGCGTCTGCGGGGGCCGCTTCCACCCTGAGCGGATGATAATCTCAAGACACCTTCCGAGCGTCAGCTCACTCCCCTTCCACCCTCAGCTCCACCCTCAGCAGATGATAATATCAAGACACCTGCCGAGCGTCTGCGGGGGCCGCTTCCACCCTCAGCAGATGATAATCTCAAGACACCTTCCGAGCGTCAGCTCACTCCCCTTCCACCCTCAGCTCCACCCTCAGCAGATGATAATATCAAGACACCTGCCGAGCGTCTGCGGGGGCCGCTTCCACCCTCAGCGGATGATAATCTCAAGACACCTTCCGAGCGTCAGCTCACTCCCCTTCCACCCTCAGCTCCACCCTCAGCAGATGATAATATCAAGACACCTGCCGAGCGTCTGCGGGGGCCGCTTCCACCCTCAGCAGATGATAATCTCAAGACACCTTCCGAGCGTCAGCTCACTCCCCTTCCACCCTCAGCTCCACCCTCAGCAGATGATAATATCAAGACACCTGCCGAGCGTCTGCGGGGGCCGCTTCCACCCTCAGCGGATGATAATCTCAAGACACCTTCCGAGCGTCAGCTCACTCCCTTTCCACCCTCAGCTCCACCCTCAGCAGATGATAATATCAAGACACCTGCCGAGCGTCTGCGGGGAGCGTCTGCGGGGGCCGCTTCCACCCTCAGCGGATGATAATCTCAAGACACCTTCCGAGCGTCAGCTCACTCCCCTTCCACCCTCAGCTCCACCCTCAGCAGATGATAATATCAAGACACCTGCCGAGCGTCTGCGGGGGCCGCTTCCACCCTCAGCGGATGATAATCTCAAGACACCTTCCGAGCGTCAGCTCACTCCCCTTCCACCCTCAGCTCCACCCTCAGCAGATGATAATATCAAGACACCTGCCGAGCGTCTGCGGGGGCCGCTTCCACCCTCAGCGGATGATAATCTCAAGACACCTTCCGAGCGTCAGCTCACTCCCCTTCCACCCTCAGCTCCACCCTCAGCAGATGATAATATCAAGACACCTGCCGAGCGTCTGCGGGGGCCGCTTCCACCCTCAGCCGATGATAATCTCAAGACACCTCCCTTAGCTACTCAGGAGGCTGAGGCAGAAAAACCACGCAAACCCAAGAGGCAGAGGGCGGCTGAGATGGAACCACCTCCCGAACCCAAGAGGCGGAGGGTCGGTGACGTGGAACCGTCACGCAAACCCAAGAGGCGGAGGGCCGCTGACGTGGAACCATCATCACCCGAACCCAAGAGGCGGAGGGTCGGTGATGTGGAACCGTCACGCAAACCCAAGAGGCGGAGGGCCGCTGACGTGGAACCATCATCACCCGAACCCAAGAGGCGGAGGGTCGGTGACGTGGAACCGTCACGCAAACCCAAGAGGCGGAGGGCCGCTGACGTGGAACCATCATTACCCGAACCCAAGAGGCGGAGGTTGAGCTGAGAAGAGGCCAGTGCACTCAAGCCTGAGCAATAAGAATAAAACCGAGTAGAACAAAATAAAAAATTCAAAAAACAAAACAAAACCCACACTCCAAAAACTAACAAAGAATAAATAAATAATATAAAAATAAAATAAATACTGCAGTCCTTATGTTATTGCTTTGTTTCGATATCTGGTATGATTGCCTGAGGGACCTGAGGTTTTTAATCATAGGGGTTTTTTTTTAATCTTTAGAAGTGGTTGGTTATGTAAAATATTATTATTATTTTTTTTGAGACTGGATTTTGCTGTGTCACCCAGGCTGGAGTGCAGTGGCTCGATCACAGCTCACTGCAGCCTCAACCTCCTGGGCTTCAAGCAATCCTCCTGCCCCAGCCTCCCAAGTAGCTGGGATCACAGATGATGTGTGCCACCACGCCTGGCCAATGTTAAAAAATCCTTTAACTTTTTTGTAGAGATGCACTCCTGGACTCAAGCGATCCTCCTACTTGTCCCGACCACCAGCCTCTTTCTGATAAACATTTACACTGTTTATTATCTGATGCCATTTCTATCTTCTTCCTTGTCGTCCAGACATCAAAGAATTAGGTTTCTTCAGGGTTTTCTTTTTCAAGTGCTCAGTGTTAAAGATCACTCACATTAGGGCCACACACCACGGCTCATGCCTGTAATCCCAGCACTTTGGGAGCCCGAGGCGGGCAAAGCACTTGAGGTGGGGAGTTTGAGACCAGCCCAGCCAACTTGGGGAAACCCCACCTCTACTGAAAAAAATACAAAAATTAGCTGCGCGTCATGGTGCATGCCTGTAGTCCCAGCCACTTGGGAGGCTGAGGCACGAGAATCGCTTGAACCCAGGAGGCAGAGGTTGTAGTGAGCCGAGATCACATCAGCACACTCTAGCCTGGGTGACAGAGCGAGACTGACTCAAAAAATAAATAAAATAAATATCACTTACATTAGATATACCCAAGGGGTGGTCTATAGAGACTTGGAAGCAGTGGTTATTGCAACAGGGGCACGGAAGTCATCTGGCTATGCCAGGATGCCCAGGGGATACTCGGGGTGGGTGGCATGGTGGTGCTGGGGACTCACCGCACAGGACGCTCTGATTGACGCACTGCCAGGAGTAGCGCTCTGTCTTGGGGCTGCAGCCGGCCTCCTCAGCTCGAGTGTAACATCAGTCGTGGCCATGGCAGCACCTGCGGATGTCACATGGGCAGGACAGCAGGTGGGTGAAGCTCTCTCCTGGCCCTCCTCTCTTGCCAGGACTATGGGTGACTGAAGACCCCCAGGGAGGCACAGCATCCTCTTATCTAAGATTTTTTTTTTTTTAAGAGACAGGGTCTTTCTCTGTCGCCCAGGCTGGACTGCAGAGGCACAATCATAGCTCACGGCAGCCTTGAACTCCTGGGCTCAAGCGATCCTCCCACTTCAGTGTCCCAAGTAGCTGAGACTACAGGCACACGCCAGCATGCCCGGCTGGTTTTTTAATTTGTATTTCCTTTGAGACAGCGTATCTCTCTGTTGCTCAGGCTGGAGTGCAATGGCTCAATCAGCTCACTTTAGCCTTGAACTCCCGGGCTCAAGTGATACTGCCACCTCAACCTCCCAAGTCTGCTACTACAGGAACACAAACTCCTTTTTTAAATTTTTTATGGATATGGGGTCTCACTATGTTGCCTAGGCTGGTCTCGAGCTCCCAGGCTCAGCAGTCCTACCTCAGCCTCCCCAAATGCTGGGATTACAGGTGGGAGCTACTGTACGCCTGGCCTTATCTAAGCTGTTTCCCTGAAAATCTCCGTCTTGGGTAATGATTCCATTGGCCCCACCATGCCCTGTCCTGCCTTCCTGGCTGTGCCCAAGCTTGGTCCCTGCCTCCCTGCCTCACTCTCTGGGTCTCGAGCTCCTGTGACACATGACTCCTCTCTCTTCCTGGAGTGATCCAAGCCCTGCCACTTCCTGACTTTGCCCACACTGTACCCTCTGCCTGGGGCAACTTCATGTCTGCCCATTGTCCCTTAGGCCTCAGCCCAGGCACAAGCCCCTGCCTCCGGAGGTCATCCAGGCCTCACCAGGCTACACCCTCTCGTAAAATTGGATTCCCTCCCTTCAGGGCAGGTTTATAATGAAATCCTCCTCAGAGGCCAGGTGCGGTGACACCCATCTGTAATCCCAGCACTTTGGGAGGCTGAGGTGGGAGGATCACTTGAGGCCAGGGGGTCGAGACCAGCCTGGGCAACATAAGAGAGACTCTTGTCTCTCTTGTCTCTATAACAAATTTAAAAATTAGCTCACCAGGCCAGGCTCAGTGGCTCATGCCTGTAATCCCAACACTTTGAGAGGCCGAGGCAGGTGGATCACGAGGTCAGGAGTTCGAGAGCAGCCTGACCAACACGGCGAAACCCTGTCTCTACTAAACATACAAAATTAGCCAGGCATGGTGGCACGCACCTGTAATCCCAGCTACTCGGGAGGCTGAGGTAGGAGAATTGCTTGAACCCCGGAGGTGGAGGTTGCGGTGAGCCAAGATCACGCCATTGCAGTCCAGCCTGAGCAACAGAGCAAGACTCTGTCTCGAGAGAATAAAAACACACAAAAAATTAACTCGCCAGGATGGCACATGCCTATAGTCCTAACTACTTGGGAGGCTGAGGTGGGAGGATTCCCTTCAGCCCAGGAGTTTGAGGCTGCAGTGAGCCACTGTGATTGTGCCACTGCACTCTAACCTGGGCAAAAGCGAGACCCCAGGCTAGAGTGCATGATTTTGGGTCACTGCAACCTCCACCTCCCAGGTTCAAGTGATTCTCCTGCCTCAGCCTCTTGAGTAGCTGGGACTACAGGCATGTGCCACCACGTCTGGGTAATTTTTGTATTTTTAGTAGAGACAGGGTTTAGTAGAGACCATGGTGAAACCCCATCTCTATTAAACAAATCTCTACTAACCCCATCTCTACAAAAAACAGCTGGGCGTGGTAGTGCACACCTGTAATTCCAGCTACTTGGGAGGCTGAGGCACGAGAATCATTTGCATCTTGGAGGCAGAGTTTGCAGTGAGCTGAGATCGCACCACTGCACTCCAGCCGGGATGACAGAGCAAGACCCTGTCTCAAAAAAAAAAAAAAAAAAGGGCCGGGCGCGGTGGCTCACGCCTGTAATCCCAGCACTTTGGGAGGCCGAGCGGGCGGATCACGAGGTCAGGAGATCGAGACCATCCTGGCTAACACGGTGAAACCCCGTCTCTACTAAAAATACAAAAAATTAGCCGGGCGTGGTGGCGGGCGCCTGTAGTCCCAGCTACTCGGGAGGCTGAGGCAGGAGAATGGCGTGAACCTGGGAGGCGGAGCTTGCAGTGAGCCGAGATCGCGCCACTGCACTCCAGCCTGGGCGACAGAGCGAGAGTCCGTCTCAAAAAAAAAAAAAAAAAAGAAAAGAAAAAAGAACAAACAACAGCAACAACAACAAAAAAACCTCTGTGTCAATCACAGCCTTCGAGCTAGGGGAGAGGCGGCCGAATTCTGCCCTCCGCTAACGAGCTATAGCTTTGTGGAAATGGGCGAGTGGCGTGCCCTTGTGAGCCTCAGGGCCGCATCTGTAAAATGGGCATAACTGTCATGCCTGTCTTTAAGAACAGCCTTGGGGGTAAATGAGTGGAACTCATGGAAAGATCTCAGCCCACAACCTTCCACAGAACAGGCGCTTCTCACACAGTAAGTAGCAGGAGTGCAGAGGCTGCAGGCATGAATCCAGCCAGACTGCCTGGGTTCAAGTCCCAGCTCCCACGTCTTGGTAACTAAGTGGCCTCAGACAAGTTACTTAGTATTTCTTCTTCTTCTTTTTTTTTTTTTTTTCAGACGGAGTTTTGCTCTGTCACCCAGGCTGGAGTGCAGTGGTGTGATCTCGGCTCACTGCAACCTCCGCCTCCCGGGTTCAAGCAATTCTCCTGCCTCAGCTTCCTGAGTAGCTGGAATTACAGGCACCTGCCACCACACCCAGCTAATTTTTGTATTTTTAGTAGAGACAGGGTTTCACCATGTTGGCCAGGATGGTCTCGAACTCCTGACCTCGTGATCTGCCTGCCTCAGCCTCCCAAAGTACTGGGATTATAGGCATGAGCCACCACACCTGGACACGTTACTTAATATTTCTGTGCCTTGGTTTCTTCATCTGTGAAATGGGATTGTTGTGAGAATGCAAAGGGATTCCCAGGGCAGTTCCTTGTGCATAGTCTGGCTGCCTTTGTGTGTGTGTGTGTGTGTGTGTGTGCATGTGTGTGTGTTTAATATAGAGACAGGGTCTCACTATGTTGCCTAGGCTGGTTTCAAACTCCTGGGCTCCAGTGATCCTCCTGCTTCCACCCAAAGTGGTGGGATTACAGGTGTGAGTCACCACACCTGGTCACTTTATATTATTTTTTTCTTTTGAGACAGGGTCTCGCACTGTTGCCGAGGTTGGAATGCAGTGGTGCAATCTCAACTCACTGCAAACTCTGCCTCCCGGATTCAAGTGATTCTCCTGCATCAGCCTCTTGAGTAGCTGGTACTATAGTCACCCGGCTCCTTGCCCAGCTAATTTTTGTATTTTTAGTAGAGATGCGATTTAGTGATTCTTCTGCATCAGCCTCTTGAGTAGCTGGTACTATAATCACCTAGCTCCTTGCCCAGCTAATTTTTGTATTGTTAGTAGAGATGCGGTTTCCTTTTTTTTTTTTTTTTTTTTTTTTTTTGAGATGGTGTTTCGCTCTTGTTGCCTAGGCTGGAGTGCAGTGGTGCGATCTCGGTTCACCACAGCCTCCGCCTCCTGGGTTCAAGCGATTCTCCTCCTCAGCCTCCCGAGTAGCTGGGATTACAGGCATGCGCCACCGCACCTGGATAATTTTGTATTTTTAGTAGAGACGGGGTTTCCCCATGTTGGTCAGGCTAGTCTTGAACTCCTGACATCAAGTGATCTGCCCACCTCGGCTTCCCAAAGTACTGGGATTACAGGCATGAGCCACCACGCCAGGCTGGTAGCAGTCTTTCCTAGAATGTGGATGCCTTGGAAAACAGGGGCTGTGCCTTGTTTCCCTAGAACCTAGAATGGCATCTGGCACACAGCAGATGCTACATCTATTGTAAATGAATGAATGAAAGAAGTGTCCTTGCAGCCACACTGGCAGCCGTAACATAGTGGTTATAAATCTAGACTCTGGAGTCTCAAGTGCAAATGTCATTGGCCTCTCCTCCAGCCTCCTCAAGGGGCACTCAATGACTGGAAGCGCCTTGATATGACTGTGGTTGGACTGACATGACTGCCAGATGGTGGGACTTGGTCTGGAGCAGAGACTACTTGGAATGGTAGAGGCAAAACTCAACAGCCCCTGGAGCTGTGCTTGTGGTGGAGCTGGACCCTGATTTTAGCTGGACCTTGTTTTTAGAGACAGGGTTTCCTTCTGCAGTCTCAATCTCCTAGCCTTGATTGATCCTCCTGCCTTGGCCTCCCAAAGTGCTGGGACTACAGGTGCATGCAACCACACCTGGCTAATTTTCTTCTTTCTTTCTTTTTTTTTTTTTTTTTTTTTTTTTTTTTTTTTTTTTGATGGAGTCTTGTTCTGTTGCCCAGGCTGGAGTGCAATGGTGCCATCTCGGCTCACTGCAACCTCTGCCTCCTGGGTTCAATCCATTCTCCTGCCTCAGCCTCCCAAGTAGCTGGGATTACAGGTGTGTGCCACCGTGCCTGGCTAATTTTTGTATTTTTAGTAGGGACGAGACTTCACCATGTTGGCCAGGCTGGTCTCGACCTCCTGACCTCAGGTGATCCACCCACCTTGGCCTCCCAAAGTGCTGGGACTACAGGCACATGCAACCACGTCTGGCTAATTTTCTTGAGTTTTAGTAGAGACTGGGTCTCGTTATGTTGTCCAGGCTGGTCCCGAGCTCCTGAGTTCAATCGATCTTCCTGCCTTGGTCTCCCAAAGTGCTGGGCCTACAGGCGTGAGCCACCATCCCCAGCCCAATTTTTGTATATTTTGTAGAGACACAGTCTTGCTATGTTGTCCAGGCTGGTCTCAAACTCCTGGGCTCAAGGGATCTTCTTGCCTTGGCCTCCCGGAGCACTTAATTACAGGAATGACTGCATGTGCTGTTGTGCCTATACTTTCTGGAGATACGTTGTTAGGAATTTATGTAGTTGGCCGGGCACGGTGGCTCACGCCTGTAATCCCAGCACTCTGGGATGCCGAGGCAGGTGGATCACCTGAGGTCAGGAGTTCGAGACCAGCCTGGTCAACATGGTGAAACCCTGTCTCTACTAACAATACTAAAATTAGCTGAGCGTGGTGGCACATGCCTGTAGTCCCAGCTACTTGGGAAGCTGAGGCAGGAGAATGGTTTGAGCCCAGGAGCAGAGGTTGCTTGCAGTGAGCCAAGATCATACCATTGCACTCCAGCCTGGGCAACAGAGCGAGACTCTGTCTCAAAAAAAAAAAAAAAAAAAAAGGAATTTACATAGTTGAACAACTATTCTTTGGACATCTTTCAGTCCAGTAGACGGTGTTAAACTTGAAGACAAATAACGATTTGACCTGTGATATTTGTTTTTCCCTCTTATCTTCTAAGCCCATTCATCCAGGTCATTCATCACCTTTAAAGGCATCCCCAGAGGGAGGCAGGTCTGGACAGAGCTGAAGATTGCACAGGCCATTTGCAGGCTGGATTCGTTCTCTGGTGACCCACCTGTCTGACTCGAGTTATTTTTTTCCCATGTCTGGACAAGACTGACCTCTGCCCAGCAACTCAGGCCTGGATTTAGTCCAAGGGCCCTCAGTGGCTTTTTTTTGTTTGTTTTTTCAGGAAGTGAAGAATTTAGAGGGATAAAAGGCGGAAATAACTTTTCAGCCTCTGACCTTTGTAACAATCTGGTTTCCTTTTAAAGGAGCATTGTTTGGGCCTGGGGCCACCTAGACCTTCTGATGCTCTTTCCCCACCCTTGGAGGAGGAGGAAAGGAAGAAAATGGGCCCTGAGCGATCACCACATACCGGGCCCTGGGGGTCTAGTGGCGAAGGAGGCAGGTAGGGTCTCTGCTTTCATGGAGCTTCTAGTCAAGCGAGACGCACTAAACAGTAAAGGGACAAATAGGATTACTAGAGGTAGCCCTAACTACTGGGACAGAAACAAGATGGTAAGATAGAGAAGGAAGAGTGGCCTGCTCAGATGGGGTGGTCCAGAGGCCTCTCGGGGGTGGTGACTCCTTTTTATTTTATTTTTTTTGAGATGGAATCTAGCTCTGTCGCCCAGCCTGAAGTGCAGTCGTGTGTTTCATGCGCGTCGGTGTGAAGAGACCACCAAACAGGCTTTGTGTGAGCAACATGGCTGTTTATTTCACCTGGGTGCAGGCGGGCTGAGTCCGAAAAGAGAGTCAGCAAAGGGTGGTGGATTATCATTAGTTCTTACAGGTTTTGGGATAGGGGGTGAAGAGCCATGTTTTGCGGGCAGGGGTGGATCTCACAAAGTACATTCTCAAGGGTGGGGAGAATTACAAAGAACCTTCTTAAGGGTTGGGGAGATTACAAAGTACCTTCTTAAGGGTGGGGGAGATTACAAAGTACATTGAAGAGTTAGGGTGGGGCAGAAACTAATCACAATGGTGGAATGTCATCAGTTAAGGCTATTTTTACTTCTTGTGTGGATCTTCAGTTACTTCAGGCCATCTGGATGTATACGTGCAAGTCACAGGGGATGCAGTGGCTTGGCTTGGGCTCAGAGGCCTGACAGTGTGATCTTGGCTCACTGCAAACTCTGCCTCCTGGGTTCAAGCAATTTTTGTGCCTCAGCTTCCCAAGTAGCTGGGATTACAGGTGCCCGCCACCATGCCCAGCTAATTTTTGTATTTTTAGTAGAGACAGAGTTTCACCAGATTGGCCAGGCTGGTCTCGAACTCCTGTCTCACATGTCTGTGTGAAGAGACCACCAAACATGCTTTGTGTGAGCAACATGGCTGTTTATTTCACCTGGGTGCAGGCGGGCTGAGTCCGAAAAAGGAGTCAGCAAAGGGTGGTGTGATTATCACTGGTTCTTATAGGTTTGGGGATAAGCGGTGGAGTTAAGAGCAGTGTTTTGGGGGCAGGAGGTGGATCTCATAAAGTACATTCTCAAGGGTGAGGAGAATTACAAAGAAACTTCTTAAGGGTGGGGGAGATTATAAAGAACCTTCTTAAGAGTGGGGCAGATTACAAAGTACATTGATCAGGAAGCAAAGTCTATAGGGAGCTATATAATAGAGGCTGCAGATTCATGGCAGATTCTAAAGCACAGCAGTCCCCAACATTTTTGGCACCAGGGACCGGCTTTGTGGAAGACAATTTTTCCACAGGCGGCATGGGATGGGGCGCAGGATGGTAATGGTCTTGGGATGAAACTGTTCCACCACAAATCATCAGGAATTAGATTCTCATAAGGAATATGCAACCTGGATCCCTCGTGTGTGCAATTCACAACAGGGTTCATGCTCCTGTAAGAATCTAATGATGCTGCTGATCTGACAGGAGGCAGAGCTCAGGCAGCAATGCAAGCAATGGGGAGCAGCCAGAAATACAGACGAAGCTTCAATTGTTACCCACCATTCACCTTCTGCTCTGTGGCCCAGTTCCTAACAGGCCACAGACCAGTACATGTCCATGGCCCAGGGGTCAGGGACCCCTGCTGTGGCACATTGCTTAATAGAGGACTGTAGCAGCCATGTGCCCTGACCTTTCCTTTTTTTTTTTTTTTTTTTGAGATGCCAGAAACCCAGAATTTTTTTTTTTTTTTTTTTTTTTAAAGTCAAGGTCTGGCTCTGTTGCCCAGGTTGGAGTGTAGGAGGGCGATCTCAGCTCACTGCAGCCTCAACCTCCCTGGGCTCAGGTGATCCTCCCACCTCAGCCTCCCAAGTAGCTGGGACCACAGGTGCACATCACTGTACCCAGCTAATTTTTGTATTTTTTTTTAAGGGATGGAATTTCACCATGTTGCCTTGGTGGGTCTTGAACTCCTGGGCTCAAGGGATTCACCCACCTAAGCCTCCCACAGTGTTGGGATTATAGGTATGGGCCACCATGCCTGACCCTAGAGACTATTTTTAATACTAGTTTTAGGTTCTCAGAAAAATGGAGAAGATAGAGATTTCCCATATCCCTCTGACCCCATACATGCATAAGCTCCCCATGATCAATATCCCCCCCCAAAGTTGTACATTTGTTAGAACTGATGAACCTATGTTGACATTATCGTCATTGGATTCTCATTATCATCCAAAGTCCATATTTTACATTAGGGTTCACTCTTGGTGCTTTACATTCTATGGGTTCAGACAAGTATATAATAACATGTATTCACCATTATAGTATCATATGGAGTATTTTCACTGCCCTAAAAATCCTTCCGGGCTTTGCCTGTTCATTCCTCTCTTACTCCTAATTCCTGGCAACCACTGATACTTTTGCCTTTTCTAGAATATCATATATTTAGAATCATACAGTAGATAGCCTTTTCAGATAGACTTCTTTCACTTAGTAATATGCACTTAAGTTTTCTCCAGGTCTTTTTTTGGCTTGATAGCTCATTTCTTTTTAGTGCTGAATCATATTTCATTATCTTAATGAACCACAGTTTATTTAGCCATTCACCTACAGAAGGACATTTGGTTGCTTCCAAGTTTTGGCAATTATGGATAAAGCTGCTATCAACATCCATATACAGGTTTTCATGTAGACGTAAGTTTTCAACTCCTTTGTGTAAATACCAAAGAGTGTGTTTGCTGGGTTATATGGCAAAAACATGTTTGCTTTTGTAAGAAACCAACAAAATGTCTTCCAAAGTGGCTGTATGATTTTGCATTCCCACCAGCTGTCACTGCTAATTGGGCAGACCTCCTTTAGAGATGCCGCCAAAGATAGTGTAATGCTCTTCACTGTAGGCATTTATGATCTATACAAGAATAACAGTGGATTCTGGGTCAGTGCCTTTATTTTATCCTGCCAAGTTCAAGAGAAAGGTTTTTTCTTATTCTAAGAGAAGACTGTTATGGTAAAGTAAAAGGAAGAAATATATAATTACTCTTCTATTGAGGAGGGAGAAGAAGGACACACTGTGATGTAAATGGCAGAAATTCAATAATTTAATTCAAACTAAAGAGAACGGGAATGTATTGAATTCAGGAATGGAATGTAACGGGAAACTCCACTGGTGGTCTTCAGGCATGGCTGAATCCCGTGTCTCCAATGATATCTTCAGGAATATGTTCCTCCCATCCCTCAGCTCTGTGTTCCTTGGTGTGGTCTTTACTTTTTCCACTTGGTAATATGAATGTCCTCCAATATCCTCCCCTACTGCCAGAGATACCAAGAAAGGAGAGCTTCTCTGATAGTTCCATCAAAACTCCCAGGGATGACTCTGATTGGTCAGCCTGCATCACATGCCAATTTTCTCGGTCAAGGAAGTGGGACCATGTGATTGACATGAGTATAAGACAATCTGTTCCTGAAAGAAAAGGGTGCTGGGGGAAAAGGCAACAGATGTCCACCACAGCATGTTTTTTCACTTTACTGGTTATTATCTCTTTTTAGACTCCCTCAGCACTGGACAGCTGAGACCACGAAGGACTTGGGACCCTTTCTAGTACTTTTCTCAGGAGATGAATTAAGCTCTATAGCCACAAAGGTAATGTTGTGCTCCATCTTAAGAAGGCTGAAGGAGTTTGAAGGGGAGAGAAAGTGTGGTCAGTTATACAGCATTGGGTTTACTGCTGTCTATGGTTCTGGAAGCTTCCTCCCTGCCTCCAAGGGCTAAGATGTTTCCAGCTCCATTCCAGGATGTGCAAGGTTCTGGAAAAGGGAGTGAGTCCACAGCTAAATGAACTCAGGCCCTTTTGTGTGGCCCCCCAGGCAGATGTGTGCAGACAGATATTACTTAGCTACCACTCTGCTATTAGTGTACATCTCACACGCATGCCTGTTCTGGCTCTCACACTGGCTGGTGCCCTATGCACATGCACATGTATGTCCAGTGTATGCAATCACATGTGCAAGCACATTTAATCCAATAACAAGTCTTTATTCATCATTACATTTGGGCATGACACTTTTCTAGGAGTAAGGCCCCAGAAGTTAGACAGTCTAGGCCAAGGGTCCTGCAAAATAAGCATGAGTTAGTCATTTGTGCTGCATAACAAAGCCACACAATCTCAAGGGCATAGAACAATTCGCATATGTTTCTTGCTGCCTGATTTGTGGGTCACTGGGGCAGCCCTGCTCTAGAACTTGTTTTTCTCACCATGAAGGTGTGAAACTACCAAAAAAGGGAAGGGATAAGTACAATTCTCCTTAAGTCCTAGGTTGGAAATTGGCACACTATCACTTCTGCCACACTCCAATGGCCAAAGTAAGTTACATGACCAAGACCAACTTTAATGGGGCAGGAAGGAGTCTCCTTCCATGGAGGTGGAGGGCAGGAAAGGAGTGAATGTTTGCTGAATGACAATCAGATCCCCCACAAAGCACATCCACACACTCTCATACCTGCACTTGCAGGCACAAGGTACACATGGTCACACATGCTCAGCAGGGCCTGAACACACACAACTTCACCTAGGATCACACGCAGCACACATTCTGAAGTCCAGTCACAGTAAAATCATATTCTGGATGTCTGAATATATAGTTATAAGCAGTTGATGCACACATGTTTATTTTTATTTTATTATTTTATTTTATTTTGCGATGGAGTCTCCCTCTGTTGCCCAGGCTGGAGTGTAGTGATGCAATCTCGGCTCACTGCAACCTCTGCTTCCTGGGTTCAAGTGATTCTCCTGCCTCAGCCTCCCGAGTAGCTGGGATTACAGGCCCCTGCCACTATGCCCAGCTAATTTTTATATTTTTAGTAGATATGGGGCTTCACCACGTTGGCCAGCCTGGTCTTGAACTCCTGACCTCAAGTGATCTGCCCGCCTCGGCCTCCCAAGTGCTGGGATTACACGCGTGAGCCACCATGCCCGGCCCTGATGCACAAATGTTATATATCCATCTATTTTTTTTCCTTCCTTGTTTTTCTTATGTTTAGATGTTTATTATTATTTTTATTTTTCCATAAGGTATTGGGGTACAGGTGGTGTTTGGTTACAAGAGTAAGTTCTTTAGTGGTGATTTGTGAGATTTTGGTGCACCCATCACCTGAGCAGTATACACTGCAACATATTTGTAGTCTTTTATCCCTTGGCCCCTCCCACTCTTCCATCCAAGTCCCCAAAGTCCATTGTATCATTCTTATGCCTTTGGGTCCTCATAGTTTAGCTCCCACATATCAGTGAGAACATCCATATATCTATCTAATCTTAAAAAAATCAACTTCTGAAATTGAAAAAGTCTTGTATCAACACTGTGAAATCTCAAAA
This sequence comes from Homo sapiens, assembly GCF_000001405.40. Lineage (NCBI taxonomy): Eukaryota > Metazoa > Chordata > Mammalia > Primates > Hominidae > Homo > Homo sapiens. The sequence goes on from NC_000016.10 coordinate 22,548,786, forward strand.
ACACAGTGTAGAGTTAAAAAAAAACCCAGATTGCAAAAGAATATCTATGGTAGGATACAAAGTAAATAAATAAATAGTAGCTGAATTAATTGAAAGCAAATGTAAGCCAAGTTTATATGTAAGAGAAGTGTAAAAGTGAATGCCAAATTCAGAGTGACAGTTACTTCTGGGGAAGGAGGAAGGCAAAGAGTGAAGGAGGGACTTATTATTTATATTGTGATGTTTTATTTCTTAAGTTGGGTTGTGAGGACATGGGTGTTTTGTTGTATTATTCTGTATACTCTTTTTTTAAATACTGGAAATGTTTAATAAAGCAAGTAATACATGCTCCTGGTTAACAAATCCCAATCGCACCAAAGGTAATAGGATGAGAAGCAAGTCTCCCTCCCACCCCAGACTTCTAGTTCCCTAGCCTCCCTCTTCAGAGGCAATTGCTGTCCCCAATCTCTTCTGCATCCTTTCAGAAATATCCTGAATATCTATATAACAAGTTTTATATAGGTATAAAAATACCTATATAACAAGCCTCGCCAACATGGCGAAACCCTGTCTCTACTAAAAACACAAGAGCATATACACACTCTTCTTTAGAAAATACAAAATGGAAAATGCCATTCACTCCGCTATGCATATTGCTTTCTAAAAGTTAACTGTCTTAGAGTGGTTGCCTTCAGCCTCAGCTGCACATTAGAATCACCTGGGGAGATTCCAAGAGGGACCAATCCATGGTATCCAGCCCAGCCCGACTGAGTGAGAATCTTTAGGGGCTGGCTCTGGGTGTCCCAGGTGACTCTTAGGTACAGCCAGGGTTGAGAACTGCTGGCCTAGACTGTGACTCTAATTCTGAAGATGAGACTAGAAAGGGGAGCTACATAGGCTGAGAGGCTTGCTCTCTGGGTGAGCCGGGACCCAGTGAGGCATAGCTGTTTGTAGAGCCTGATGGATTATCTGGGCCCATGGGCAGGCCTTCTAATAAAATCCCAAGTCTTGACAAAGTGTATTCGTTCTAGATGAGAAATGGCACTTTCTCCAAGGCAACCCAAAGTCCCCTAAGTCCCCTCATTGCTAGTCTCCACCCAGGATGTTGAGACAACCCTTCTTCACCTCCTTTTCATGACAAATGTTGTGTTAGGCAATTCTTTTTTTCTTTCTCTTTTTTGAGATGGAGTCTAGCTCTGTTGCCCAGGACAGAATGCAGTGGCATGATTTCGGCTCACTGCAACCTCCGCCTCCTGGGTTCAAGTGATTCTCCTGCCTCAGCCTCCTGAGTAGCAGGGATTACAGGCATACATCACCACGCCGAGTGAATTTTTGTATTTTTTGTAGAAATGGGGTTTCACCGTGTTGGCCAGGCTGGTCTTGAACCCTTGACCTCAGGTGATCTGCCTGCTTGGGCCTCCCAAGTGCTAGGATTACAGGTGTGAGCCACCGCACCTGACCTGTGTTAGGCAATTCTTGCATTGCTATAAAGAAATACCTGAGACTGGGTAATTTATAAAGAAAGGAGGTTTACATGGAATACTATGTGGCCATAAAAAAGAATGAGATCGTGTTCTTTGCAGGGACATGGATGGAGCTGGAGGCCATCATCCTTAGCAAACTAATGCAGAAACAGAAAACCAAATACCGCATGTTCTTACTTATAAGTGGGAGCTAAATGATGAGAACACGTTGTCACATAGAATGGAACAGCAGATACTGGGGCCTATTGGAGAGTGAAGGGTGGGAGGAGGGAGAAGATCAGCAAAAATAACTAATGGGTACTAGGCTTAATACCTGGGTGATTAAATAATTTGTACAACAAACCTCCATGACACAAGCTTACCTATATAACAAACCTGCCATGTACCCCTGAACTTAAAATAAAAGTTAAATTAAAAAAAATAAAATGAAAAGGGCCAGGTGCAGTGGCTCATGCCTGCAATCCCAGCAGTTTGGGAGGCCGAGGCGGGCAGATCACGAGGTCAGGAGATTGAGACCATCCTGGCTAAGAGGGTGAAACCCCGTCTCTACTAAAAAAACACAAAAAATTAGCTGGGCGTGGTGGTGGGCGCATGTAGTCCCAGCTACTCGGGAGGCTGAGGTAGGAGAACGGCGTGAACCCAGGGGGCGGAGCTTGCAGTGAGCCGAGATCGTGCCCCCCACTCCACCCTGGGTGATAGAGCGAGACTCCGTCTAAACAGACAAACAAACACTGCCAGGCACAGTGGCTCACATCTGTAATCCCAGCACTTTGGGAGGCCGAGGTGGGCGAATCACTTGAGGCCAGGAGTTTGAGACCAGCCAGGCCAAGATAGTGAAACCTTGTCTACAATAAAAATAAAAAAAAAATTAGCCTGGCTTGGTGCTGCATGCATGTAATCCCAGCTACTCAGGAGGCTCAGGCACGAGAATTACTTGAGCCTGGGAGGTGGAGGTTGCAGTGAGTGGAGATCACACCACTGTATTCCAGCTTGAGCAACAGAACAAGACTCTGAAAAAAAAAAAAAAAGAGACAAGAAAAGAGGATTGATTGGCTCGTGGCTCTGCCGACTGTACAGGAAGCATGATGCTGGCATCTGCCCAGCTTCTGGGAAGGCCTCAAGAAACTTACAATCATGGCGGAAGGCGAAGGGGGAGCAGACACATCTTACTTGGCCGACACAGGAGCAAGAGCGTGATGGGGGAGGTGCTACATGCATTTAAACAACAAGATCTCGAGAGAACGCACGCACTATTGTGAGGACAGTACCAAGGGGATTGTATTTAACCATTCATGAGAAATCTGCCCCCATGATCCAATCACCTCTCACTGGGCCCCACCTCCAACACTGGGGATTACATTTCAATAAGATTTGGGTGGGGTACACATCCAAACTATATCAAATATAAAGTTTAGTAAAAACTTAGAAATAGCACCAAACCAAAAAAGGGGTAGGTACACATACATTTTTTTTTGTTTTTTTCTGAGACAGGGTTTTACTCCCATCACCCAGGCTGGAGTGCAGTGGCATGCTCTCGACTCACTACAACCTCAGCCTTCTGGGCTCGGGTGATCCTTCTGTCTCAGCCTCCTAAGTAGCTGGGATGACAGGCTCATGCCACCACGCCTGGCTAATTTCTGTATTTTTAGTGGAGATGGGGTTTCACCATGTTGGCCAGGCCAGTCTTGAGCTCCTGACCTCAAGTGATTTGCCTGCATCGACCTCCCAAAATGCTGGGATTACAAGTATGAGCCACCACACCTGGCCTAACCTAAATTTTTTTGTCGATATTACCAGATTGCTCTGCTAATAGTGCACAGTTTGACAGTCCCACGGAAAAATGAATGTGCCCAGCATTAAGTATTAGCACTTTATTTTATTTTTGACAATCTGATGGGTGAAAAGTGATTTACTTATGTTTTTTAGACTTTATTGGATTTTTATTGAAGTTGAGTATCATTTTATAGGATTCTTTATAGAGACCACATTAGTGGGACTAGGGAATAGATTTATATGAGAAGTTGCTATAACAAAGAATGAAGGCAGTAAGTAGTGTGACAGTTTCAACTCTAATTTCAATCTGTATTTAAGGGGTTTTAATTATTATTCCTCTTCTTTCATCTTCTTTCACACAGTTTCCTGAGATCCTTCTGCAAGCAGCTTCCAAGATGGCCAGGACCCTGCCCCCTAAATAATTCCTCTGGGCTGTCTTTCAGTCTGTTCGGAACAGCAGTGATAAGATCCCCAGCTCTGACCCTATGCCTGGTGAGTGTTTCCAGGGTATCTGAGCCACTGTTGGCATAGTAATTAATGTTTTGGGCAGGGTCCCTAACATCAAGAGGCCTCCTTATGCAGGGAACTGGATGAAATGTCTGCAAAGCAATAGAATGACAAAATCTATAAGCAAAAGAATTACACTTTTGGTTCAGGTGCGATTGCTCAAGCCTGTAATCCTAGCACTTTGTGAGGTTGAGGCAGGCAGATCACTTGAGGTCAGGAGTTCGAGACCAGCCTGGCCAACATGGCGAAACCCTGTCTCTACTAGAAACACAAAAATTAGCCGGGTGTGGTGGTGCACACCTGTAGTCCCAGCTACTCAGGAGGCTGAGACACGAGGATTGCTTGAACCCAGGAGGTGAAGGTTGCAGTGAGCTGAGATGGCACCACTGCACTCCAGCCTGGGTGACAGCGAGACTCTGTCTCAAAAAAAAAAGAGTTACACTTTTGTAAAGTGACCTGGAATCATGTCCCATACTCCATATCCAGGCTAGTAGGTTTAATGCGTGAATATGTGTAACAAACATTTCAGTAGGATTGACTTAGAGGACCAACATGGATTAGTGGTTTAACATAGCAGTGACAGGGCCGGGCTGGCTAGATTTCACTCCTGAGTCTGCCACTTACTGGCTGTGTGGCTTTGGGTAAGCTCTTTAACCTCTGTGTGCCTCAGTTTTCATCCTTTATCAAATGGGGATAATGAAAGTCTCTACCTCACTGGGTTATTGTGAGAATTAATGGGTTTAAACCCAGAAACATGTTTACCGGAATGCCTGGCATGTAGCAGATCTTTAATAAGTATTATATATTTTTAAAATTTGATTTTTTTTATTTTTTGAGATGGAGTCTTGCTGGAGTGTCACCCAGGCTGGAGTATAGTGGCATGATCTCGGCCCACTGCAACCTCCACCTCCCAGATTACAGCAACTCTCCTGCCTCAGCCTCCTGACTAGCTGGGATTATAGGCATGTGCCACCACACCTGGCTAAGTTTTGTATTATTAGTAAAGACGGGGTTTCACAATGTTGGCCAGGCTGGTCTTGAACGCTGGCCTCAGGTGATCCACCTGCCTTGGCCTCCCGAAATACTGGGATTACAGGCGTGAGCCACTGCCCCCGGCCTAAAATTTGATTTTATAGAGGCAGGGCCTCGCTCTGCCACCCAGGCTGGAGTGCAGCAATCATGGTTCACTACAGCCTCGACCTCCTGGACTCAAGGGATCCTCCCACCTCAGCTTCACAAGTAGTTGGGACTACAGGCATGAACCACCACATCTGGATAATTTTTTATTTTTTTGTAGAGATAGGGTCTTACTGTGTTGCCCAGGCTGATCTTGAACTCTGAGCCTCAAGTGATCCTCCTGCCTTGGTCTCCCATAGTGCTGGGATTATAGATGTGAGCTACCATGCCTGTCCAAGTGTTAGATATTTTATTATTATTACCATGCACCTACTAAGTACAGACTGGGGCCAGGCATGAGGAGACAAAGTTAATCACCCCCAGTGATAGTAGTTGACAGTCAGTGCTTGCTTTCATCCACCCAACAAATATTCATTAAGCACCAATTTTGTAAATAAAGAGCTTACTTTCAAATGGAGGGTAGCAAGACAATAAATTTCCATACATAAGTAAAATATATGGTATATTGTATGAAAAGTGCCAAGAAGGAAAATAAAGCAAGGGAATGCACCACGAGTGTTGAGAGGGGACTGTCATGTGAAAAGAGAATCATGAAGGAACATCTTATTGAGAAGGTGACATTTGAATGAAGACCCAAGGGAGAGTGGGCCATGTGGATATTTTCAATTAGAGTCTTCCAGGCAGAGAGTGCAACAGGACCACTTCCATGAGTGGGAGGTAAGGGCCAGTGTGTTTGGAGGGGAGTGAGAGACAAGGCCAGCCATGTAGTGACTGTTAAAGGAAACCCTAATGACTTTGGCTTTTACTCTGGGTGGAGGCATCGTGTGACATCGAGCAAAGAAGTATCACAATTGGATTTGTGTCTACCTTGGGTGATTATCCCTCCATGCATTATCTTGTTCTCCCGTTTTTTTTTTTCTTGGTGAATGTGGGGTTTTATTGGGTAATGGAGGTGGCTCTCGGTGGGATGGATGGGGAGCTAGAAAGGGGATGGAGTGGGAAGATGATCTTCCCCTGGAGTTTGGCTGTCCTGTGACCAATCTCCTCTCCAACTGTCCCCAGCCAAACTCTTCTTGGCCTTCAGATGCTCCTTTCTCTGCCATGCTGCTCTTCTGCTCCTCTTCTCTTCTGTTCATCTGCTCATCTGCTTGTATGCTCATGGAGCCTGGGGTTTGGGGTTTATATGGGTACAGGATAGTGGGATGTGGCAGGCCAAAACCTAACATTTGGGCATGAAAACAGGAATGCCTATTCCCATTTAGGGCTGCAGATTTCCAGGCTTGGGTGTTCTCTTGTTTTTTAAATGAAGGAAACTGGGGCTTAGGAGACTAAGGGACTTGTCTAAAGTCACAGAGTTAGTAAATGGCAGTTCTTGGATTTGTACCCAAAGTTGGTGGTGACCACCACTGGCTCCCACTGCCCTCAAGGTCTAGCAGTCCATGTCATCATATTGCAGAGCTCTTACTGTGTGCATGTGGTACACAAAATAAGGCTTTCTATGCTCAGGGGAAGGAAGCTCTGGTATCAGTGCATAGTTTGAGTGTTCTTTAGTTGGTTCTGGGTATTAATTGCTGCTGTGCTTTAGTGATTGATGGATTAGCAGAATTACCGCTTGGTTTTATATTAATTTGTGTGTGTGTGTTCACTCACTCCACAGATATTTGCTGAACACCTACGATGTACCAGGCTCTATTCTAAGCCCTGGACAGACACAGTGATAAGACCAAGTTCCTGATATACTAGTCAACCATTCTGCCCTCTCTAGTTCTGTGCTATCACTGATGTTGTTTTCACTAGAGGGTGGGCTGGGGGTTGGCCTAGGGAGGGATGGGTCTTTAGTCCTCTCCAAGTGGCTTATGATAAAGATGTTTGAGGACCACAACTGGCATCTTTGATCTGGTCTACTTTTGCCTCGTGATTGGAATGCAGTGAATTTCCATTGAAGGTGCAATGAGAAGAGAGAGGCCATGGGACTCGGGAAATACCCTGGCCTTGGGTGGGGTTGGTGCATCTGTCAGCATCAGTGGTGGTCTGCGGCTAAGATAAGAAATCCAGGGTTGCTCTTAAGGATCCTAGAGTTTTCTCCCAGGTTGGGCACATCAGATCCAGCAAAGACAATATCTCACTTGCATGTTGGTTGGTAGCTGGTTTGAGTAGGTAAGGTTCACATTATTCAAAGACCGAAATGGATGTTTTTCCTGTTGCCAAGAGAAATGCAATAGGCTCATTTCTCTTTTCTCTTGGGATGGGAAAGCCACAACCCCCACTATGATTTTCATGGACAGCAACTCATCTTCCTGGTTTTTATTTTTTATTTTATTTTGACACAGGGTCTCACCGTTACCCAGGCTGGAGAATAGGTGTGATCACGGCTCACTGCAATCTTGACCTCCCAGGCTCAGGTGATCCTCCCACCTCAGCCTGCTGGGTAGCTGGGACTACAGGCATGTGCCACCATGCCTAGCTAATATTTTGTAGTTTTTTTTTTTTTAGAGGTGAGGTCTTACCATGCTGCCCAGGCTGGTCTTGAATTCCTGGGCTCAAGTGATCCTTCTGCCTTGGCCTCCCAAAGTGCTGGGATTAAAGACATGCGCCACCGCACAGCCCATCTTCCCATTTTTATAGGAAGGCTGCTGCATAATTTTGGAATCTTTATGCTGGGCTGCAAACTCAAAGGCATAGGGGGTAAGATAGGCAACAGAAATTGTGTATCGAGTGCTTACTGTATGCGTGGCACTGTTCTAAGTGCTTTACATATAACACATTTAGTTTTCACAACCATCCTATGAGGCGATTTTATTTCCATTTTATAGACAAGAAAACTGAAATACAGAGAGGTTAAATAGCCTTGGATTTGAATCGAAAGTCAGGACTGTTCACCACCAGCTCTTACTGCCCTCAAGGAATTTGTAGTTTAATTGTAATGTTGCACCGCTCCTAGTTTGTGCATGTGGATGTGCAAAAAGCTGGCATTTCCATGACTTTGTTACCCAGTAATTAGCAAGAAATGGCAGAAGTGGGATTCAAACTGGTCCCTGCCTCCTGCTCTCTGCTTTTACTCTGTAGTCCCTTCCATGCATAAATCTGACTGGCAAAGAATGTTACTCATTTCAATACACTAACATTTCCTGAAATTCTCTTTCCTCTTCTCCTTCCCTGCATCTCTCCTTTCTTCAGGTTGCCATGGAGTCGTGGCCCCCTCTTCTGATGACATCTTCAAGTTGGCCGAAGCCAACGCCTGCTGGGCCCTGGAGGACCTGCGGTGCATGGAGGAAGACACATTCATCAGGACCGTGGAACTGCTGGGAGCTGTCCAGGGTTTCAGCCGGCCTCAGCTGATGACCCTGAAGGAGAAAGCAATACAGGTGAAGCCCACCTCAGGGAGGAAACATTAAACAGAGGAAAAAAGAAAAACACCAAAACCAGTTCAGCATTTCTGCACATAGAACCCTCCTCGAGCAGTTTTCCCATACATCATCTTGAAATTTTACTGCATCAGCTCAGTGATATTGTGATCTCCTTATCTGAGAAAGGAGGAAATTTCCAGTTCCTCCCTCTTAGGGCTGTGGCAGAGAATGGGATGAGATGTGTCTTGGCATCTAGCAGATGCTCAGTGAATCAAGTTCTGTGGATGTCCCAGTGCCTCTGACCAAGGCGGTTTGCAGGAATTAGGCTTTATTCCTTCACCTGGAGAGCCCCAGCTGCTGCTCACAGCAGGTTTTCTCAGAATCATTTGCAAATTTGTCTGAAAATATAACAGAAAGGAGTAAAAAGAGGACTGGAAGTAGCTTTCCATCTTTAAAAAGGTCCCTTTGTTGGCTGGGTGCAGTGGCTTATGCCTGTAATCCCAACACTTTGGGAGGCCGAGGCGGGCGGATCACGGGAGGTCAGGAGTTCGAGACCAGGCTGGCCAACATGGTGAAACCCTGTCTCTACTCAAAATGCAAACATTAGCCAGGCGTGGTGTCATGTGCCTGTAGTTCCAGCTACTCAGGAGGCTGAGGCAGGAGAATGGCTTGAACCCGGGAGGTGGAGGTTGCAGTAAGCCAAGATTGCGCCAGTGCACTCTAGCCTAGGCGTCAGAGCTGATACCTTGTCTCAAAAATAAATAAAAATAGGCTGGGTGCAGTGGCTCATGCCTATAATCCCAGCACTTTGGGAGGCGGATCACGAGGTCAAGAGATCGAGACCAGCCTGGCCAACATGGTGAAACCCCATCTCTACAGGTGGCATGCACCTGTAGTTCCAGCTACTCGGGAGGCTGAGGCAGGAGAATTGCTTGAACCCGGGAGGCGGAGGCTGCCATGAGCCGAGATTGCGTCACTACACTCCAGCCTGGTGATAGAGCGAGACTCTGTCTCAAATAAATAAATAAAAGGAAAAGGTCCCTTTGTGGCCTGTTTTAGCTTTTCTTTCTTTTTTTTTTCTTTTTCTTTTAAGACAGAGTCTTGCTCTGTCGTACAGGCTGGAGGGCAGCAGCGCGATCTGTGGTTCACTGCAAACTCTGCCTCCCGGGTTCAAGTGATTCTTGTGTCTCAGCCACCTGAGTAGCTGGGACTACAGGCACAAGCCACCATGCCTGGCTAATAATTGTATTTTAGTAGAGACGGGGTTTGTTTGGCCAGGCTTGTCTCAAACCCCTAGCCTCAAGAGATCTGCTCACCTTGGCCTCCCACAGTGCTGGGATTACAGGCATGAGCCACTGCACCCAGCCCTGTTTTAGCTCTTTACATGGTTGTGGAATATCTAGTTACCCTCAAGGGTTAAACAATTCAATGTCTTAAAATTATAAATATAACTGTATTTATGTATTATATGAGTACTTCAAGTTTATTGTAGAAAAGTCAGAAAATAATAAAGAAGAAAATCAGTGATAATCTTTTACTCACTGTTGATATTTTGATAAGCACTGTTCAGCAGATAAGCACTGTTGATATTTTGGTATATTCACTTGAAGCTTACCAGACTCCAAAACTATGTATATAAAAAATATTATTTTATATATTTCATACATATATCTCATGTTTTACAAAAATGATATTATACTTACCTACTATTCAATAACTTGCTTTCTACACCCAACAGTACAGACTGCATATTTTTTCATATCCAAAATGTACATCTATGTCAGTATTTTATTTATTTATTTATTTTTTGAGATGGAGTTTTGTTCTTGTTGCCCAGGCTGGAGTACAATAGTGTGGTCTTGGCTTACTGCAACTTCTGCCTCCCAGGTTCAAGCAATTCTCCTGCCTCATCCTCCCAAGTAGCTGAGATTACAGGCATCCGCCACCATGCCCGGCTAATTTTTGTATTTTTAGTAGAGATGGGGTTTCACAATGTTGGCCAGGCTGGTCTCGAACTCCTGACCTCAAGTGATCTGTCTGCCTGGCCTCCCAAAGTGTTGGGATTACAGGCGTAAGCCACAGCATCTAGCCTATATCAGTATTTTAAATAGCTTTGTAATACAATTAGCCTTCCATATCAGTGGGTTCCACATCTGCAGATTCAACCAACCTCAGGTAGAATGTATTTAGAAAAAATGATCCAAATAACAATATAACAATAAAAAACAATACACATAAAAATACAGTAGCATTTTTGACATAACATTTTGTACATATTTACATAGCACTTATATTGCATCAGGTATTATAACTAATCTAGAGATGATTTAAAGTATACATGAGGATGTGCATAGATTATATGCAAATACTACACTATTTTATATAAGGGACTTGAATATCCATGGATTTTGGTATCTTTAAGAAGTCCTGGAACCAATCCTTGGTGGAGGTATCCACAGGGGCAACTTCATTTTATTTATGGTTAGTTCTTATTTATTTAGCTAATTGTTAGACTTTCATGTTGCATTAAAAAAATGCCTCAATGTATGCCTTTATACATATACTGTTGGGTACTTGTCTCATTTACTCAGGCTAAATTCCCAGAGGTGGAATTTCTGGGTCAAAGAATATAAATACTTTAAAAGCTTTTGATACAGATAGCCAAATTGCCCTCTCAAGAGTATGTACCAACTTATATTCTCAACTACAACAAATGAGGGTATCCCTTACCTTGTATCTTTCCAGTATCGTAAATGGTGATAAGTCTTTATACTTCTTGACATGTGATGAATCAACATGGTCTGATTGTTTTTAATGTATATTTCTTTAATTATGACTGAGAATAAAGTTTTCCCCATACATTTAATTTTTCTTTTGTGAATTCCTTGTTGATGTCTTTTGTCTATCTTTTTTTTAAAACAAATATAGTCATCTTTTTATTATTGATTTAAAAGAGAGCTTTATATTAAGATTTACCCTATGTCTTTTTAATTTTTATTTATTTTTTATTAAGGGATAGTTGACAAATACAAATTATATATATTTATGGTGTATACATATATACAATATGATGTTTTGATGTATGTATACATTGGGGAATGGTTAAAGCAAGCTAACATGTCAATCACCTTTCATACTTGTCCGTTGTCAGTTTTTGTTGTGAGAATATTTAACATCTACTCTCTTCACAATTTTCAACCGTTCAACACATTATTATCAACTGTGGTCACCATGCTGCACAATAGGTTTCCCTATGTCTGTTTTATTTTTATTTCTTTGAGACAGGGTCTCGCTCTGTCACCCAGGCTGGAGTACAGTGGCACCATCTTGGCTAACTGCAACTTCTGCAAGTGAGTCTTGTGCCTCAGCCACCCAAGTGGCTGGGATTACAGATGTGCGCCACCATGCACAGCTAATTTTTTTTTTTTTGTATTTTTAGTAGAGGCAGGGTTTCGTTATGTTGGCCAGGCTGGTCTTGAACTCCTGGCCTCATGTGATCTGCATGCCTTGGCCTCCAAAAATGCTGAGATTCCAAGTGTGAGCCACCGCACCTAGCCTCCTTATGTCTATTTTAGATACTGCCTTTGTCCATTCAGGCTGCTATAACAAAATATCATAGACTGGTAACTTATAAACAGAAATTTATTTCTCACAGTTCTGGGGGGTGAGAAATCAAAAATTGAAGCACTGGCAGATCCAGTATCTGGTAAGGACTTGTTTTTCATAGATGGTGCTTTCTCACTGTGTCCTCACATGGTGGAAAGGGACTAGCTTGTAGCTAGCTCTCTGGGGTCTCTTTTACAAGGGCACTAATCCCACTCATGAGGGCTCCACCCTTATGACCTAATCATCTCCCAAGGCCCAACCTTCCAATACTATCACATTGGAGATTAGGTTTTAACATATGCATTTTAGAGGGGCACAAACATTCAAATCATTGTAAATACCATCACAGTGTTCAGTCTAATCTATTTTCTTTTTTTGCCTAAAGGTTTGGGACATGCCATCTTACTGGAGAGAACACCATATCGTCTCCCTGGGGCGCATTGCTCTGGCTCTTAATGAGAGTGAGCTGGAGCAGCTGGACCTCAGCTCCATAGACACTGTGGCTTCCCTAAGCTGGCAAACAGAATGGACCCCGGGACAGGTGGGTGGATGTTTCTGGGTCTTTTAACTATTCCATATTTATAAGAGCTGCCTTCATATCCTTACTGTTAATTTCCTCATGATGGTCATTTTTGAGTCTGTTTCTGTTGACTGATTTTTCTCTTAGTTATGAGTCATATTTTCTTTTTTTGTTTGCAAGCCTAGCAATTTTGATTGGGTGATGAGCATTGTGGATTTTACATTGTTGAGTATTTGATTTAGTTGTATTTCTTTGAAGAGTATTGGGCTTTGTTCTGTCATACACTTAAGTTACTTTCAAATCAGCTTGATCCTTTTGATGCTTCCTTTTGAGTTTTGTTAGGGTAAAACCAGAGTGACCTTTATTCTGTTGTTAATTTATCATCATTACTGTGACATGATTCCTTTGAGGATGTTACCTAATGCTCCATGTATTTCAAGATCTCTCTACTTTGGCTGGTGAGAATGTGAACTATTTCCAGCTCCATATGAGCTCTGGAAGTTGCTCAGCCTAATCCTTTCTGATTACTGATGACTCTTTTCCTGCCTATGTGGAGTTTCACTCTTTGCATGTGCAAAATAGCAGTCAGTACTAGACATCTCTGCAGCTTTCTGGAACCCTCTGCAGTTTCCTCCTCTCCAATACTTTGCCCAAGTGATAAGTGCCGTGGCCTCTCTGAACTTGGATATCTGTATCCTCAACTCAGCTGGGCCACTGGGCTTGTTTTGGTTCCTCTTCCTGATCCATGTCTTGGAAACTGCTTTTTGGCAGTAAGTGAGGGTAATTTTAAGGCTCATCTTGTTTGTTTTTCTTCTTCTGGGATTATGATTCTGTTGTTCCATATCCGGATGCAGTTGTCTGATGTATTTTGTTAAATTTTCTAGTTGTTTATGGTGGGTGGCCAATTCCTATGTTAATTAATCCTTCATGGGCTAAAGAAGAAGTTCTTCCCAGAATTTTAATTGTTTTGATTGGGAGAGGAGTTTAGGGTGTCTAATCCACTGTACTGCTGGAAAGGGAAGTGTTAGCCCTTCCATGTTATCTTCGTTCTTAGGCAGCTCTCTCAGTGGTCATTTTCAGCACTAGGCTTATATACAACCTAATTAACAAGCCCATAAAAATGTGCCTCTTCTTTATTAGTTTTTGGAAAAGCCTCAGCATTGACTCCACTCATGTAGTTGCCCGCCCCTGAGCAACCACTCTGGTCAGGGGTTGAATATGTTGGTTGGCGAGGCCTGCATCAGGGAGCGGAGTCCATCTTATCAGCATCTCATGACCACATGAGCCGAGTGGGGAAGGATATGTGGTGGGCTGATTAAGGTCCCCCAAAGATGTCCATGTCTGAACCCCTGGAAGCTGTGACTATGTTAACTTATGGAGCAAAAGGGACTTTGAAGATGCGATTAAGGATCTTGAGATGAGGAGGTTATCTTGGATTATTTGGGTGGGCCCAATGTAATCACAAGGGTCCTTTTAAGAAGGAGCAAGGAGGGTCATAGATAGAGAAGGTGACATGATAATGGAAGCAGAGGGACCTAGAAAGAGATCTGAAGGTGCTCTGCTGCTGATTTTGGAGATGGAGGATGGGGCTATGAGCCAAGGAAATGCAGGTGGCCTCTTGAAGCTAGAAAAAGCAAGAAAATGAATTCTTCTTAGAACTCCCAGAAGGAACCCATCCTTCTAGTCCATTTTAGGACATACAGTCTCCAGAACTATAAGAGAATAAACGTGTAGTTTTAAAGCCACTATGTTTGGGGTAATTTGGTAGAGTAGCAATAGGAAGCTAATGGAGGGTAATTTTCCAAAGAAAAAGTGTGGACGCTGAGCAGCCAAAACCAATGAATGTCCCCCTACTCTTTTGAGCTTTTTGTAATCACGGTGGCCATGTTTCATAACTCTGAGTGGCACCATTCAAACAGAATACACTGTGAATGGTGCACCCCTAGAGCTGGGCAACATGCAGATCCTGGCCATGAAGATTACATGAGTTAATACTTGAAAACATTTTGAACAATGTCTGGTACATAGTAGTCAATAAAAATTAGCTGTTTTTATGTTGATATTGACATCATTGCATTGTCATCATCAACATTATCATCATTACAGCCCCTTTCTCTGGGTTAGTCTCCTCCTTTGCAAGATGAGAGGGTTAGCCCCAACAATCTGAGGTTCCTTCCAGTCTGATATTCTATAATCCCATGGTTCTTTGACTCTAAAACTGGTTTTGACTAGTTTGAGAAGTGCCACATCACACTGTGCTATTAAAATCATTCTATTTGCAGGCTCGGAGAAACAGAAAAATACATCCAGAAACTAGGGTATCTCCTTCCCTTCGCACCGATTTTAATTCTCATGGATGGCAGTGAGATTTATCAATATGTTTGAAGAGGATATGAAAACCTAACATTTGCATGTATCATTTGTAGTCAGTTCTTCAACTTTAGCTCCCAATCAACCTTAAATGCAGGTTTCTAGATTAATAGTCAGACCTGACGGAACTACATTAACAGATAGTTCAGCTCAAAAACCAATATAAGGGAAAAAACTATTATAGAAGCCAGAGGGATGAACAGAGAGATTGAAATCTTAAAGCTATTCATTTTTCAACAGTTAATATTGCCTAAAAGTGTTGGTATTAATTGTCTTGGAATCATTACATATACACTGGTCTCGTCACTCAAGGAAATTTATTTTAACTTATCACCTTGCAGGCTGAGCTTGCATTTTCCGGGTTTCAGTGGCAAGGACAATTTAATACCATATCTTCAAAGTAATTTTATTTAAATTGTATTTTTGCACTTTCATTTTAAAGTGAGCATGCCTGATAGTTGAGGAGCCCAAATTGCTCTGAGTCAACTAGTGAAACCTGATTATGAAGACTTAATAAGAAAAATTTGAAAACTAACTTGAATCTCCATCTTTTCTCCATAGCCAAACACCTTCACTGGCTAAGAGTATGGGCCCTGGAATCAGACTGCCTGGGTTTTGATCCTAGAACCATCATTTTCTTTTCTCTTTCTTCTTCTTCTTTTTTTTTTTTAGAATGAGTTTTGCTCTTGTTGCCCAGGCTGGAGTGTAATCTCCACTCACTGCAACCTCTGCCTCCCGGGTTCAAGCAATTCTCCTGCCTCAGCCTCCTGAGTAACTGGGATTACAGGCATGCATCATCACACCCTGCTTATTTTGTATTTTTAGTAGAGACGGGGTTTCTCCATGTTGGTCAGGCTGGTCTCCAACTCCCGACCTCAGGTGATCTGCCCGCCTTTGTCTCCCAAAGTGCTGGGATTACGGGCAGGAGCTACGGCGCCTGGCCAGAACGATCATTTTCTAGCTGTGTGATCTTGGCCTAGTTACTTAACCTCTCCTTGCCTCAGTTTGCTCATCTGCAAACTAGGGATACTATTAATACTTACCTCATAGTGTTATTTAGGAGGATTAGATGAGATAGTATGTGTAAAGTGGTCAAAGTGGTGCCAGCACACAGTATGCACTCAAGAAATGTTAGCTACAATAAATGTTAGCTATTACCACTTTGGATATACAGTCCCATTAAGTCAAAGACATATAAGTCTAAGCATGGTGTTACTGCATCCCCCGCCCCCATAGTAGCTGTGAGCTTTGTAATCATGGAGGACAACTTGATGAGGACACTGACCAGTCCGATTTTCAGAAACATGAGAAATCTTCCTGAAGCCAGTCTATTACATGAAGGCAGCAAAATGAAGCGTGTCAAATAATATATATTGCCCACGACTTTTGTAAGTCACTCACTCAGATGTTGTTTCATTCATTCATTCATTCACTCATTCATTTACTTACTCAAGAAGTACTTATTGAACTCCTACTCTGTGGCAGGCATTATGCTAGGTGCTGGGGACTCATTGGTAAACTACCTGGATATGGTCCTTTTCTTTTGGGAGCCTACTTGGTGATACAGACAAAAAAGTGAGTAATCAAAGTGAAAAATTTGAAAAATCACGATAAGTGATGCGGAAAATGGACAAGGTGCTCATGGGAATAGTGGGAAGAAGGGCTGTTTGAGATGAAAGAGTCCAGAGGGCAGTTTTCTCTGAGTAGGTAGCATTTAAACACACCTGAGGGGTGGGAAGCACCAGCCCATGAAGACGGAATTTCATTGCAACATTTCACAATCTTCCTCAACACTTTCTCTCAACACCTTAATGATCTATATTGTGTGATGGGGATGACTAACATTAAACGGAGATGGGGGCCGGGCATGGTGGCTCATGCCTGTGATCCCAGCACTTTGGGAGGCTGAGGTGGGTAGATCACTTGAGGCCAGGAGTTTGAGACCAGCCTGGCCAAAATGGTGAAACCCTGTCTCTACTAAAAACACAAAAAATTAGTTGGGTGTGGTGGCGGGCGCCTGTAATCCCAGCTACTTGGGAGTCAGAGGCATAAGAATTACTTGAACCCTGGGGGATGGAGGTTGCAGTAAGCCAAGATCATGTCACTGCACTCCAGCCTGGGTGACACAGTGAGACGCTGTCTCAAAAAAAAAAACAAAAAAAAGCAAAGAGAGTTGGGAAGATTGACTATAGCCTGTGATTTTCGCTTCCACTTAGGGGTCTCTCCTTGGATGTCTCCTCATCTTTGCCTTGTGAGGTCTTATAATCTCTTTTACTTGCTCCCATGAGCACTGAAGGAACCAGACTTTATTTTGTGAGACAGAGTCTCCCTCTGTCACCCAGGCTGGAGTGCAGTGGCACAATCTTGGATCACTGCAACTTCCACCTCCCAGGCTCAAGCAATCCTCCCACCTCAGCCTCCCAAGTAGCTGGGACCACAGGCACGTGCCACCATGCCTGGCTAATTTTTGTATTTTTTGGTAGAGACAAGCTTTCACCATGTCAGCCAGGCTGGTCTCAAACTCCTGACTTTAAGTGATCCTCCTGCTTCGGCCTCCCAAAGTGCTGGGATTACAGGTGTGAGCCACCGTGCCCAGCCCAGACTTTATTTTGTAGCTGATCTTCATAGGATTGGCTTGGATGCCTCCTCAGGTCCTACATAGGTAGATAAAATGAATCAGCACATGTTTAGTTACAAGTGGCAGAAAACCCAACACAAACTGCTTGAACAAATAAAGGGGCTGGGTGCAGTGTGCAGTGGCTCCTACCTGTAGTCCTAGAACTTTGGGAGGCTGAAACGGGCAGATCACTTGAGGTCAGGAGTTTGAGACCAGCCTGGCCAACAGTGAAACTACTTCTCTACTAAAAATACAAAAATCAGCCAGGCATGTTCATGCCTGCCTGTAATCCCAGCTACTGGGGAGGCTGAGGCATGAGAATCGCTTGAACCTGGGAGAGGGAGGTTGTAGTGAGCAGAGATCATGCCGCTGCACTCCAGGCTGGGTGACAGAGTGAGACCTTGTCTCAAAAAAAAAAAAAAAAAAAAAAAAAGGAATTTATTGACTCCCATTACTGGAAAGTTCAGGGGTAGTGTTCAGATACAGCTGGATCCAGGATCTTCAACACTCTGGGTGGGAATCTGTCTCTTATCATGTTTTTGAACTTTGCTTTTCTTTGTGTTGGCTTCATTGAGAGACAGGCTCTATGCCTGCATGTGGTAGGTTCCAGCAGATCCTTGTGTATATCCTTCTAAGTTCAAGTCCAGAGTAAAGAAAGCTCTTCCCCTAATGCTCCACTCAAAGTTCTGGTTGACTCTGGTTAAATCACATGTCCAATCCAGAACCAGTGACTGCAGCTAGGCTAAGGTATGAATTGAAATTCATCACTCCTGGAACTTGGTGCAGTTAGCTTTGACTGAACCACATGAAGCAGGAATACAAGAGAGGTGGTTCTCCAGAGGAAGTTATGAATGATGAATAGCCACTGTGCTAGAATTATGGAGACTTATGTGTCAGCCGCCTTAAATCAAGGCTTAGTTTAAAATAGTTTAACACCAAAGCATTTTGTGTGCTACTCTTGGAATTGAAGAGTAAACATTGGAATTGAAGGGGTGAACATATTTCTGTAGGACCACAGAGGAAGAAAAAATCATTAAGGGGTAAACATATTTCTGTAGGACCATAGAGGAAGAAAAAATCATTCTGGCTGAAACCTCATGAAGAAGGTGACATTTGAGTTGAACCAAAGAAAAAAAAAAAAGAATGTCTGCACTTGGAAGTGCAGAAGGGCATTTCAGATGAAAGGACTGGTTTGAACAAAGGCAAAGAGACAGGAAATTATAAGGTTTTGTTGGAGGTTGTGGAAAGGCTGGGTGCGGTGGCTCATGCCTATAATCCCAGCACTTTGGGAGGCCGAGGTGGGTGGATCACTTGAGGTCAGGAGTTTGATACCAGCCTGGGCAACATGGTGAAACCCCGTCTCTACAAAAAATACAAAAAGCCAGATGTGGTGATGTGCACCTGTAATTCTAGCTACTTGGGTGGCTAAAGCACGAGAATTGCTTGAACCTGGGGAGGTGGAGGTTGCAGCGAGCTGTGCCACTGCACTCCAGCCTGGGTGACAGAGCAAGACTCCGTCTCCAAAAAACGAAAAAAAAAAAAAAAAAGGGAGAAGAAACGTTGTGGAAAAAGATGCTGGAAAAGTTTGGATCCTGATGCAGAAGAAGTTGTATGTCCAAACTGTCTGAGGGTCATAAGAGTGACTGAAGGAAATAAGCAGCAGACACACAGGACACAAGTGCCTTTAATATTGGTGAAGGATGTAAGAGATTCGTTGCCTGAAGACACTTCCATAGATTAGGGGACATACTCAGTTGAAGTAGTATCTTAAGGACATGAACTTGGATGCAGAGGCCAGGATGGTTTGGAGTGGGGATTCCAGAGGAGTAGGATGGGAGATCAGTCAGGAGACTACAGCAACAGCTTATTTATCCCCTCAGGCCTGGGGACCTTGATCATTCCTGGATGGTTTATCTTTTATTCTTACTATTTTTTAGGCTGAATCCATTTTGCAAGGGTACCTGGATGATTCAGGATACAGTATCCAGGACCTGAAGAGCTTTCATTTGGTAGGACTTGGTGCAACCCTGTGTGCTATAAACATCACTGAAATCCCACTTATAAAGATCTCAGAATTCAGGTAACTAAAATATGAATGTGCAAAATGGCAAATGGGTTAATTCATCCATCCATCCATCCATCCATCCATCCATCCATCCATCCATCCATCCAGATATTCCACCTCCTGACACTTGGCACCTTTCTGGGCTAAAATCCCACTGGGCTAATGGGATAAGCTGGATCTGCTGTCCCTGCTGAGCCTACTGTGCAGTGTGTGTGTGTATGTGTGTGTGTGTGTGTGTGTGTGTGTGTGTGTTTGTTTGTTTTTGGCTGAAGAGTCCAAGCTCATATTATATCCCTCCCTCTTTAACCACTACCAGGGTGGTAGTGGCCAGAATTGGGACCCTGCTCTGCAGCACACATGTCTTAGCCGAGTTTAAGAGGAAGGCTGAAGTTGTGTTTGGGGATCCCACTGAGTGGACCAGTTCTGTCTTGCAGGAGCTTGGGACCATTGCAGGTAAGACTCACCCTGAGCATACCTTTCTCTCTCTTTCCAAACTTAAATGTGGGGACACAAAATAAAACATTATCCTTGGCCATGTGTAGCAAACATCAGTGGCGTTACAGTAGAACCTACATTTCATGATTTGAAGTTGCAGAGGGTGGGTCTGCAAATCTGCTTTTAAAACAAGCTCTTTTGGAGATTCTTGTGTACACTAAAGTTTGGAAAACCGCTAGTTTAGAATGTGATTTAATTGGCCCCTAAGTAGGTTTATACAAAATTTGAAAGTGTGTAAATTGAAGTTCCTTCTGGGCATGCGTTTCACTGTAGGAGGCCAATCAGGGCTAATGTGACCCACATTTTTTTTTTCTGAGTTGATGAAGGAACTTGATTCCCCAGTGTGATTTCCAGGGCCTTTTGTAAGGAATGATGCCTGCCTAGAACACTCAGATCTGAGCATTATGCAGCACCATTAATAAAACAAGCGGAGTTCTGATGGCTTGAACTAAACCCCCGTGATTCCTTTTTCTCCCCAGCTGGATTAACTAAGGCAGAGCTCCGGATGCTTGACAAGGATTTGATGCCATATTTCCAGCCATCAGCAATAAAATGCCTTCCTGATGAGATATTCAAAGTAGGTGCTCAGTTCTTCAAGGAGAAATGGGAGCTTGACCCCATTTCAAATCACACAGGGAAACAGGTGATGGGCCTTGGAATTTAGAGGCTTGTGACCAGGCTCTGCTGATGGGGTCAGAGGAGATCTGTGTGAGTTTAGGTGTTTTTAAAAAACATTTTTTCTTAAAATTACAATATGTAGTTTAATTATATTTATTTTTACGGTCATCTTCTCTTCTTCTAGCAGGTGGTACTGATTTTCTACTTATGGTGGTATGACAGGTTCATAAACCCTTACGAAAACCCCTGGGGACAGATATAGTTCAGAATTCAGAATTTCTCAGATTTTGAAAAGATCACCCTGTACATTTACTGTATGTAACTTCATACCCCCAGCAGTGTCTGGGGAAGCACCTTGTAAGCAAACACATTAATATTTCTGTGAAGAAATCTGTGACAAGCCACACTAATTGGAATAAATAGAGACTATAAATAAATAGCCTCACATTACTTCAGGTCAAGTTTTGCTGATAAATAAGTTTGACTTAAACTTTGGGGGAAAACTTGCAGTTTTCAGATTATTTTTGGACTTTGGAATTGCAGATGAGGGATTGTGGACCTCTGTAACATTTCCTTTTAAGATATAATTAAATAAAAATATTTTAGTTGATTTAGGTCAGGCATGGTGGCTCACACCTGTAATCCCAACATTTTGGGAGGCTGAGACAGGCCAATCACCTGAGGTCAGGAGTCTGAGACCAGCCTGGCCAACGTGGTGAAACCCCATCTCTATGAAAAATACAAAATTAGCTGGGCGTGGTGGTGGATGCCTGTAATCCCAGTTACTTGGGAGGCTGAGGCAGGAGAATCACTTGAACCCGGGAGACAGAGGTTGCAATGAGCCAAGACCACACCATTGCACTCCAGCCTGGGCAACAAGAGCGAAACCATCTCTCTCTCTCTCTATATATATATTTTTTTCTATATATATATATTTTTAGTTGATTTAAAGAAAAGTATTAGGAAAATCACAAGAGGACAGGTGAAAAACTGCTATGAAAAAATTGAGAGGGTGAAATTGGATCATTTGAAGGAAGGGAAGCAGGGTATCTAATGACAGGTCCTTTTTTTCTGTCTGTATACAAGATTAGGGGAGTGTTTGGTGGGAATAGTCTGCTCTGATGAGGAGGCAGTCATTCTGGTGTTCCTGTTTGCTGCGTAATGTGGGAACACATTTTGTCCAGCACTTCTGGATAAAACACACAAACCAGGCTCGACAAACTCCCCCAGTGCCACATCACTTGTTCATTTCAAGAAAGATAGCTGAGGCCGGGTGCAGTGGCTCACACCTGTAATCCCAGCACTTTGGGAGGCCGAGGAGGGTGGATCACGAGGTCAGGAGATTGAGACCATCGTGGCTAACATGGTAAAACCCTGTCTCTACTAAAAATACAAAAAAATTAGCTGGGGTGGTCACATGTGCCTGTAGTCCCAGCTACTCAGAAGGCTGAGGCAGGAGAATGGTGTGAACCCGGGGGGCGGAGCTTGCAGTGAGCCAAGATCGCTCCACTACACTCTAGCCTGGGCGACAGAGCGAGACTCTGTCTCAAAAAAAAAAAAAGAAAGCCAACCTTCAATCACTTCAGCATCCTGGACAGTTCCGAGCACATTGCAGGCATAATAGCTGTTTGAGGGCAATAAATAGCAGTCCTCAAAGCCATTGAGCAAATACCTGCTTCCCCTCTGGGGCACTCTGCATGGGACAAGCAGCTTGGTCTTGGATGCTGGCATTTTGCTAAGCACTTTCTCTTGGTCTTGTTTGGAGTGCTGTTGTGCTGCTTCCTTGTACAGGTATTTATCTATTCCAGAAATCCCTACTGATCACCTACATTGTGGCAGGCTCCAGGGTAGGTGCACCTAAGGATGCACAGGTGAAGGGGTTATCACATAGTGCCTTCAGGGGCCTAAAAGGTAACATAAGGTGCAGTAGGCTGGGTAGAGACCGAAGTGAACTGGAGAGCCTTGTCTAAATGTGGAGGCTGCTTCTCATTCCTAGCACATTCATGCAGTGTGGCCATGTGGGCCCAGGATTGCTGAATTTTCCTTTTCACTTTTTTCGAGAAGAAGTCAGAAATCTTCATTTTCATATGGAATTGCTTGATAATTAAATGTTGGCAGCCAATCTGAATTTATTTTTGAAAACACAGTGCCGTAGGCCTAGAGATTCAATCTGGCCTGTGGGTCGCAAGTCAGCAACATTGATAAAAGAGATAATTTTTAGAATACAGACTCTGTGTTAATGGTATATGGAAGCCAAAAAAGTACCTCTCTGACCACCCCACCGTGTGTGTGTGTGTGTGTGTGTGTGTGTGTGTGTGTGTGTGTGTGTAGTGAGAGGAGAGGAGGTGATGCTGAATTTTAATTTTTTTGAGACAAAGTCTCACTCTGTTGCCCAAGGGAGTGCAGTGGCACAATGATGGCTCACTGCACCCTTGATCCCCTGGGCTCAAGCAATCCTCTCACGTCAGCCTAAGTAACTAGGACTACACACTTGGCTAATTAAAAAAACTTTTTGTAGAGAAGGGGGGTCTCACTGTGTTGCCCAGGCTGGTCTCGAACTCCTGAGCTCCGTTAATCATTCTGCCTCAGCCTCCTAAAGTGCTGGGATTGTAGGCATGAGCCATGGCGCTTGACCGACCAGATGCTGAATCTTGGAGAACAGCTGGCGATGAAGAAGAAACAGTGTTCCAGGCAGAAGGAGGTGCACAGGAAGATGCTGCCTCTAGGGAACTGTAAATATTGGCACCCACTCTCCTGGAGTGAAGAATGCCATGTGTGAGGCTGGAGAGGTGGGCAGAGTTTTTTCCAGGAGCCTGAACTGTGTTCTGGAGTGGGGTTCCTGGAAGGGCTTTACACAGAGGGATATGATTCCAGGGAAGTATCTACCTGGACAAAAGAGGAGGAGAGGGTGACTGACAGGAGAGGAAGGGATGAGGGAGCATAAGCATCTTTCCCAGATTCTTCAGGGCCTTTAGAAAATAAACATGATGATATAGAGTCCCCTTCGTATTCCAGTCCCATTGGAACGAGTCACCAAGTCCTTTGATCTGGAAGTGACTTCAGAAGACACCTTGTTCACAGTCCTTGAAGACATAGTCTGGCCGGCAGAATTCCCAACTCATGTTGTCCATAGCAGATATCACCAATAGATGACTGCATTTTCCCTCCATGGAGCCCTCACAGAGCTCATCACATGGTGCTCAGGAAGTCAAACCAAAGGATCAGAATCAGTCAGCAGAGGAGATGAGTTCTCTATGCCATCTCACATTTATCCCCAAAGCCCAGGGAGGCTGTGTAATTTGTTCAAGGTGACACAGCAAGTATGTGGCAGAGCAGGGGCTCGAATTCAGGCCTCTGATCTTTAAGGCCTGTGTTTCCCCCTCCACATCAGTGTTTCAGGAGGTGGAAGACTTGAAGCACTGGGAAGCTGTCTTGCATTGCATTAAACAACATTGCCACATAGGGAGGAAATCATGCTTCCCTTTTCAACTCTCCATTAGTACTTCTAAATACCTCAAGAAGGAAGTGTCAATTTAACCCTGTATAATACATTTTATATTCTCTCTCTCTCTCTTTTTTTTCAAGAGGCCAGGGGTTCAGATATTGTTGGCGGACAAATCTAGCTAGGATTCAACAATATTGTTTTATTTTTATTTTGCGGCTCCTATTTAATGCTTGCTTATGGCAAGTCTGCCGGCTTTCCATTTTTGGAAACTTCCATTTTAAATTTTCTATTTTTAAATGCATTTACTTTGGTAGTGCAAGAGTGATCTAATTTTAAGGAAATATCTTAAAGAGGACCACACATGATACACACAAGGGGATGGCAAAGTTGTGTGCATCCTGCGCGGACGCCCGAGATGTGGGAAATCCGGGGAGGGGCCCCGTGTGAGGGTGCTGCCCCTTTGCCTCCTGCAGGAGCTGTCCGCGGAGCAGATCGCCTCCCTGGGTCCGGAGAACGCCGCGGCGGTGACCCACGCCCAGCGCCGGCGGCTCAGTCCACTGCAGCTGCAGAGCCTCCAGCAGGCGCTAGATGGCGCCAAGACTCACTCCTGGCAGGACGCGCCCGCTAGCGCCGGTCCCACTAGAACCTCATCCTCGCGTTCTCCCGCAGGTGAGCAGAGCCGCCCTCTGCCCCGCGTCCCAGCCCCACTCTCCTTCCTTGTCCTCCCTGTCAGGCCTGGGGTGGGGAGGTTCTTAAGATTCAGAGCGAGGTCTCTGACAGTCACTGGGGATTCTGCCCTCAGTGAAAAACCCAAAGTCCCTATCAAGCTTCCCTACCAAGCTTCAGAATTAGTGATTCTCAACTATGGCTGCCCTTGGGTGGGGGGCATTAAACATCTTCCAGTTCTCCCACCCCTACCCAGAACGCATAACATCAGAAACTCAGGACTAATTTCATTTTAGCCGCTCCTTTGCAAACTCCCTCCTCACTATCCAATAATAATGAACTATTATTATTATTATTATTTTGACTCAGAGTCTCGCCCTGTCGCCCAGGCTGGAGTGCAGTGCCGCGATCTCGGCTCACTGCAACCTCCACCTCCCAGGCTCAAGCGATCCTCCCACCTCAGCCTCCCAGTAGCTAGGATCATAGGTGTGTGCCACCACACCTGGTTAATTTTTGTATTTTTAGTAGAGATGGGGCTTCACCATGTTGGCCAAGCTGGTCTTGAACTCCTGACCTCAGGTCATCTGCCTACCTCAGCCTCCCAAAGTGTTGGGATTACAGGCGCGAGCCACCAAGCCTGGCCTGTCCAATATTAATTAATTCAACCCATGTTTACTGGGCACCTACTATGTTCCAAGTCTGCAGTAGGGGCTGGGAATACAGAGGTGTGCAAGATAGATAAGGCCCTCTTGTAAATGAAGAAGATATTTCAAATCTGACAAGACCAGGGAGGGTGATAGTGACTGAGGGCTGAGCTAAGATAGAGAAGCCTCCCCAGGGAGTGGCATTGGATCCTGGGAACATGGCCTTCTTTCCTTTTTCTCCCCCATGCCTTTCTTACAGCTCTCCCCATTTCCCCTTCACTTTCTCACTTCTTTGTGGTACCTTCTGTTCTTAACACCACATTTGGACCATGCTCTGGGGAGATAGCTTCTAACAAGATGGGGAACAGAGATGTTCCCTACCCTCATTGAGCTCTCAGTGCAGCCTGGCGGGGAGGGAAGACATGTACCCTGGTGAACATGAGGCAGGTGCTGGGTGCTGAGATGGGGAACACACATGGGTCAGGAAACCTCCTAAAGTCAGTGATGTCTCAGGTGAGACACAAGGTGAGAAGAAGATGGGCTTAGCGAGGTAGACAGTGTCTCAGGAGTAGGTACCGGCATGGGCAAGTGCCCAGAGAAGTCAGAGGACTTGGTGCTTGACTAAAACCTCCACTCCACCTTTTCCTGACTTGAATGTCTCCCTGTCCTGCCTTCACATAGGGATGGTGAATTGGAGTATTCCCCATTTCTGCAGCCACAAGTGGCCAGAGGTGGCACTTGAAAACATAAATCATGCCTTTTGATGTATTATATTATTACTTTAAAACACTTTTCATTGAGGCTGGGCACATTGGCTCATGCCTGTAATCCTAGCACTTTGGGAGGCCGAGGTGGGCGGATCACCTGAGGTCAGGAGTTTTGAGACCAGCCTGGCCAACATGGCAAAACCCCGTCTCTACTAAAAATACAAAAATTAGCCAGGTGTGGTGAGGGGCACCTGTAATCCCAGCTATTCGGGAGGCTAAGGCAGGAGAGTTGCTTGAACACTGGGGGCAGAGGTTGCAGTGAGCTGAGATCATGCCAGTTCACTCCAGCCTGGGCAAAAGAGCAAAACTCCATCACAAACAAACAAACAGCAACAAAAAAAAACTTTCCATTGAAATATGATATGCATATATTTAAAAGTTATTTGTAAATGTTATAGCATTTTGCATGAATAGATAATATGTGCAATAGATAATGCACAGGGTTCCGAATATGTAAAGTCTGCAAGGCATGTGGTGAAATCTTTTCCTCCAGCCCCTGTCCCCCAGCCACCCTGTTCCCTCCCCAGAGGCAACCAATGTTAGCAGCTTCTTGTGTATTTGTCCAGAGATATTCTATGCATACACAGCAAATCAAATATAGATGATCTCTGC
Source organism: Homo sapiens (assembly GCF_000001405.40). Lineage (NCBI taxonomy): Eukaryota > Metazoa > Chordata > Mammalia > Primates > Hominidae > Homo > Homo sapiens. The sequence goes on from NC_000016.10 coordinate 22,575,438, forward strand.
ACTTTTCACAAAAGCTTATTATACACCTTATTCTGCACCTTGTATTTTTCACCTAACCATATACTTTGGAGGGAGTTCTGTATCTGTGCACAGGAGCTGTGCCATTGTTGGTTTTATGGCTATGCCGTAACTGTATTCAACCAGAGGTCTGTAGATGGACCTTGCAGTTGTTTCTATTTTTTTTTTTTTTTGCTGTTATGAACAATGCTGCAGCTCCTGACCTGATATAATTTGCATCTGTGCAGTATGTCTGTAGGATAAACTCTTCAAAGTGAGATTGCTAGATCACAGGGTCTGCATTTATAATTTTGATGGATGTTGGTTGGATGTGGCAGCTTATGCCTGTAATCCCAGCACTTTGGGAGGCTGAGGCAAGTGGATCACTTGGGGTTAGAAGTTTGAGATGAGCCTGGCCAACATGGTGAAACCCCGTCTCTACTAAAAATGCAAAAATTAGCCAGGTGTGGTGGCACATGCCTTAGTCCCAGTTACTAGGGAAGCTGAGGCAGAGGAATCGCTTGAACCTGGGAGACAGAGGCTACAGTGAGCCGAGATGGCGTCATTGCACTCCATCCTGGGTGACAGAGCGAGACTCTGTCTTAAATTTTTTTTTGTAATGGATGTTGTCAAATCCCCTGCAGAAAGGTGTGACCAGTTTTCCCTTGAAACAGCAGTGTCAGAAAGTGATGAGGGCCCCTTAAAAAGATGTTCCCTGCATGTCCCTGGCTGGGCAAGATCCTGGATGCCCCTCCTTCATTCACCCCAAGGGCCTAAGTGAGGGCTGCCATTGGATGAACCCTTCCTATGGACCAGAGCCCTAATCTTTTCTTTCCTAAAGTTGCTTAATTATCAGAATCACCTGGGAGAGATGCTTAAAATACAACAAATTCCTGGGTCTCCTGGCAGACTTGCTAAATCAGAATCTCTAGGGGATCCTGGAATTGGTGTTTCTAACAAGCTCCCTAGTACATGCTGACTGACACAATCTCATTTAATTCTCACTCCCCCACCCCTCCTCCTCTTTGGGGGTCATTGTTCCCATTTAAGAGACGAACAAATCAAGGCTCTGCATCAAGTGGCCCCAGAGAGAGACTCGGGGAGTTGGACATGATGTGTCTACCTTCTGCTTGCTGCCAGAACTTCATGTGTACTCTTATTTTGTATTTGCTTTTAGGAGCTCTCCAGTCGTGGGGTCTTTGGCTTGGTTGTCCCCTGCTGGTTCTAATGGCCAAGCTCCTGTGGTGAGTGGCCTGAGCACATCGTCCTGTGTTGCCCCAAGCAGCTGGCCAACGTGTGTAGAGACAGGATGCTCCAGATGGTGGGACACCGTTCCCTGGATCCAGACCCTCATCTAGGGCAGGGAAACCCTGGGGCCTTGATGGTGAAAATGCACCCCAAATGAAAAATAATTATTAAAAATGATCTTGCAAATTATTTTTAATTTTTTTAAATTTTAATTTTCGTTAGTACATAGTAGGTATATATATTTATGGGGTACATGAGATGTTTTGATACAGGCATGCGATGTGTAATAATCACATCATGTAAAATGGGGTATCCATTACCTCAAACCTTTATCCTTTGTGTTACAAACAATCCAATTGTACTCTTTCAGTTATTTTAAAATGTGCGATTAAATTACTATTGACTATAGGGTCGGGTGCAGTGGCTCATGCCTGTAATCCCAGCACTGTGGGAGGCCGAAGCAGGTGGATCACCTGAGGTCAGGAGTTCAAGACCAGCCTGGCCAACATGGTGAAACCCCATCTCTATAAAAATACAAAAATTAGCTGGACATGGTGGTGTGCGCCTGTAATTCCAGCTACTCGGGAGGCTGAGGCAGGAGAATCGCTTGAACTGAGGAGCCAGAAGTTGCAGTGGGCAGAGACCATGCCACTGCTCTCTAGCCTGGGTGACAGAGTGACGTTATCTCAAAAAAAAAAAAAATTACTGTTGACTATAGTCATCCTGTTGTGCTATGGAAAAGTAGGTCTTACTCATCTTTCTGTTTTTTTTGTACCCGTTAACCATCTGCCTCCTCCCCACCAACTCTCCCATTACCCTTCCCAGCCTCTGTTCACTCTCCTTCTACTCTATCTCCATGGGTTTAATTGTTTTGATTTTTGATCTTGCAAATTCTTAAGCCCACTCATCTCCTCAGCAGGAAGCCCTTCTCTGTCCCATTGCAGCCTCTTTTGTTTTCCAGCTTGGAGACAGAGAACCTGTGGGGAAGGAAGGGTGTTTTCTGTTAACAGCACGAGACCCTTACAATCAAGTTGCTGCCCTCACTTTAGAGAGATACCAGAGAGAGGCAGTGCAAGAAAAGGCACCATTTTAGCCAGGGCCTCATCTAGTTTCTACTTGGGCTTAATTTCACTTTCTTGAAGCTACAGGCTACATTGGATTTCTCCTCTACGATATTTAGCAGAGCTGAAATAAATGAATCCCTGAGCAGAAGCCAATATTCTTGCCTGATTGCTGGGACTAATTGATGTTTTGGTGGGCATTGCATTGGTTGGAAGTTAAAACATTTAACATGGCTCAACGTTAAATCAATTTAAAAATACATTTTTCAGGTGTCTTCCATTTCCTTGGGACTCAGCTGAATGGATGGCTGTGAAGTTATCATTAAACTCTCAAAATATTCCCTGTTTTTGGTGGAGATGGTGGTGGCTCTTCTGGTTTTAAGTTGCTCTGGGCTTTGGGGAATTGGTTGAAATAAAAAATAAAAGTACATTGGGTAAGTCAGTCACTGATGTGATCCTGGCGGGCTGAGAAAACTCCACCCACTGGCTCGATCCTGCTAGAATGAAGTTACTTCCGGGAATTGCCAGGATGCTTTTAGCCTTAGGTTTAGGAAGTCAGGGCTCAGGGAAGGGGGGCAGCAGTGGTGTTTGCAAACACCTTCTCGAAGACAGCATCACAGCTGCTTGTCAGGGCGTTTCCCTGGTGGCATCCTAGGTGCTTCTGTTCTGCCATCAGCACACCTTGGGTTCTCCTCCTAGTCACCTATCCACAGTAGACATCTCATCTGGAGGTAAGAAAACTGCATGTTTCCGAAAATCTTGGTGTCCCTAAAAGGCGGTGGATTTTACAAAGCGTCATGAGTAGGTGTTGCAGAGGCTGGAGTGTATTTTCAGAGGTCACGTGGTTTTATAGAAAACTAAGACTGCAGTGTGAAAGGTGTGATCCTGTGATCCTGCACGTGTTATTTAATGTCTGACTTGGTTTTCCTTCATCCTGGCAGGGAAGTAGCAGCAAATGGGTGCTCCTCAGGTACAGAACATTAATTTTTTTTGTTTTTGTTTTTGAGATGGAGCCTCACTCTGTCACCCAGGCTGGAGTGCAGTGGCATGATCTTGGTTCGCTGCAACATCCACCTCCCGGGTTCAAGTGATTCTCCTGCCTCAGCCTCCTGAGTAGCTGGGATTACAGGCATGCGCCACCATGCCCAGCTAAGTTTTGCATTTTTGGTGGAGACGGGATTTCACCATGTTGGCCAGGCTGGTCTTGAACTCCTGGCCTCAAGTGATCCGCCTGCCTTGGCCTCCTAAAGTGCTGAGATTACAGGCATGAGCCACCGTGCTTGGCCCAGAGCATTAATTTTCTTACAAACAGCAGCCCCCAGTTTAGCTGGGCTGGACCAGCTGCTTGGAGAGGGGTTCTTGATGAAAACCTGTCTGCACAGACTCCCATGAGGATGTCCTTGGATCTCAATCGGTATTCTCACTTTCTGCCAGTCTTGGATTATCCTGGACAAGAAAAAGCAAACAGTAACAAAATCCACTCTCCTGCGAGTCAGGCTTCACACTGCCGACTTCATGTAGCTTTTGTATTTCATCTCTCTTTCTGGTCATTTGTTTCTGATCTAATTCCTGTTTCTTTCCTCCCATCTTGAATAATGACTCCCATTACAGAGGTCTGACTCTGGGTCAGGCTGTCTAAGGGCTTTCACTGTGTCATTAGCTCATTTCATTGTGGCCATGCTCCTGCCAGGTAGGCACTGTTAGGATTCCCATTTACCAGATGAGGGGACTGAGTGTGAGAGAGGTTAAGGAGCTCTTGTCTAAGCTTCCCAGATAGGACAAATTTGAATCCTGACTTCTTTATCTCTGTACTGTGCTGCCTCCTGGACGGGTGTCCTTTAACTTCTCTAATAAGTCAGATCAGAGAGAGATTCTGTAAATCCCTTCACCTCCTCCTCTGGCGGGAGGACAGTTTGCCTCACAGCACATATAATTGGTGATCATCCCAGGCAGGAAGACAAATCTAGCTGATGCCCTGCAGGAACCCCAGGGTCTCAGGTTGAAATGCACCGTCCTTTGCATGCAGGAAAGCAGCAGGTCACGCTGGCAGGTGCTGCTCCCATTCACCTTTCAATGTCAGCTCTCCTGATGGATTTCTAGCCTCCATCCTTCACAGCCCTCCTCAGCTGGAGGCAGGGATCACTGGCACTTGTATGCAGATCACAGCATGTTGGCTCTGGTTCTTATCGGTCAGGACCTGTGCCATTCTGGCTTCTAAATTTTTTGAATATCACCCCAGTTAGATCCTTTTGCAGAATCTCTACCTTCAGGCCCGCTCCAGACACCAAGCCTGGCTTGATGGGGGCTGCAACTTCAGCCTAACATCCAGTGGAACTTACAATGAAGTTATCCTCTCTAGTCCTGGTACCCAGGGGTTCAGCCACAGCTGCTTGTGATGGGCTGTACTACCAAACAGAGGTTACTGTGTCTTGGGGCATGTGTGTGTTTACTCTGCTTTACTGAAGTCATGGAAGAGAGTTACAACACAGTAAACAACTTAATATTCAATACTAGGCATTTTTTGTCCTTAAAAGTCCTTTGCCCACTTTTGCCTCTTGAGGGGCCTTTAGAAATATTGGGCCAGGCCTGGTGGCTCATACCTATAATCTTAGCACTTTGGGAGGCTGAGGCAGGAGGATCACTTGAGGCCAGGAGTTCATGTCCAGCATGGGCAACATAGGGAAATCCTGTCCCTACCAAAAAAAAAGAAAAAAAGGCTGGGGGCAGTGGGTGGGTCACTCCTGTAATCCCAGTATTTTAGGAGGCTGAGGCGGGCAGGTATCTGAGCTCAGGAGTTCAAGACCAGCCTGGGCAACATGGTGAAACCTCGTCTCTAGTAAAATACAAAAAATTAGCTGGGAGTGGTTGCACGTGCCTGTAGTCCCAGCTACTTGGGAGGCTAAGCAGGAGAACTGCTTGAACCTGGGGGGTGGAGGTTGCAGTGAGCTGAGATTGCACCACTACATCTGAGTCTGGGCAACAGAGTGAGACTCTGTCTCCAAAAAAAGAAAAATTAGCCCCCGCCTGGTGGCACACACCTGTAGTCCCAGCCACTCAGGAGGCTGAAGTGGGAGGATCAGTTGAGCCCAGAATTTTGAGGCTGCAATGAACTATGATTGTGCCACTGCACTCCAGCCTGGGTGATGGAATGATCTATATCTATCTGTATATGACATATATATCTCTCATATATGAGAGATATATATGTCATATACAGAAAAGCGTAATACAAACTACCTATGGTATTGGAAGAATCCCAGGAATCGTTGGAGGTCTTGAATGAATTTGAAGAGGGTACTCAGTTCAAGACTACTTTAAGACACACATTTTGTAGATGTCCCAACTAGACACTGTGTGGCCTGGGAATATAGATGTAGATAGATATCTATATCTGTATATGAGATATATAGCTCTCATATCTTATATATATGAGATATATTTCATATATATAAGAAAATAATATATATGAGATACATATAACTCATGTATATGATAATATATCATATATAAGATAATATATGAGATATATATCAAAGATTATATTTAGATATATAATATATCTATATTATATTTAGATACATAAGCTATATATAATCTTATATATGATATATATTTCTTATAAATATATTATAACATAATATAATTGAAAAAAAGTAAACATTGCAGAATTCCCAGGCCACACAGTGTCTAGTTGGGACATCTACAAAGTGTGTGTCTTAAAGTAGTCTTGAACTGAGTACCCTCTTCAAATTCATTCAAGACCTCCAACGATTCCTGGGATTCTTCCAATACCATAGGTAGTTTGTATTACGCTTTTCTGTTGTCACTTCCCCGATTACTGATTGTTTCAGAAAGAGACATGGGCTTGGCTGATCCATGGAGATATCTGCAGCTTGCCAGCAGCTGAAGTCTTTATTTGCCTTTATCTCCGTTGTGGCCTCTGATGAGCCAGACTACAGAGATGCTGATGAAATCTGGGAGGCAATGGTGGAGGCTGTAGTTTCCCAGGAGAACTCTGGCCCTGGGGAATTCCTTCCAGTCTCTGAGTCCCTGTGGCACATCTCCATGTGTGGCGGACTAGGTGATTGCTCCTAGTGATTCTGCTTAGTTCCTTTATTAGAATTATAAGCTTTTTGCCATGTGACTTTGTAGTACATCTCAATAGGTAGAGTCTAATTCCTTGCCCTTCTAACTTTGGGCTTTGGTCATTGGAATGTGAGCAGACACATTTTCCCCCAGCAGAAGTTTTAAATGTGCTGCATGATTTGACTTGACCTCTTGGCAATTGCTTCTCATGTGAAGGGACATGTGGAGCAGACCTGAACTCAACCCAAACCTTGGAGCCAAGCTGAGCTCAGCAGAACCTAGCTGAGCTCAGCCAAGCCAAACCCAGTGTAATCACAGCCAACCTGAAGACTCAGAAGCAAGAAACAAATATTTGTTATAGGGATCTATTGGGATTTGAGAGCTATTTCTCTTTTTTTAAGTTATTGTTATTTTTTGAGATGGAGTCTCACTTTGTCACCCAGGCTGGAGTGCAGTGGAGTGATCTCGGCTCACTGCAACCTCTGCCTCCTGGGTTCAAGCACCACTAGTGCCTCAGCCTCCCGAGTATCTGGGATTACAGGCAGTGCCACCTTGCTTGGCTAATTTTTGTATTTTTTGGTAGAGACAGGGTTTCGCCATGATGGCCAGGCTGGTCTCAAACTCCTGACCTCAGGTAATCCACCCGCCTTAGCCTCCCAAAGTGCTGGGGTTATAGGCATGAGCCACCGTGCCAGGCCTAGGGAGTTCCTTGTTATTGTAGCAAAAGCTGTCTTATATATCATGTCATTAACATGCCCACCTTACACAGTGCTGGTCCCATTCTGATGACAGGAAGATGATACATTTTATCCTTTACCCTTACCATCATTTACTATGTACACTATGCCCATTTGTCAAGCTCTTCTGCCTCCAAAAAGTGCTATGGTACTTGATACCTAATAATGGTCTTTAACTTCTGTCATGCACCCATTTATTTCCCATCTTCAAGACCAAGGGTCCTAGAAATCACAGGAAAGCTGGGGTCAGAACTTATACTCATAACATGGTTGTTCCACCTACTTTGCCATGGCAGACTTTGTATCTCATGGCTCACTTAACTACTTCCCTTGAGCACTCACTGTTCTAACACTCATTTCCCCCAAATCTACAACTTAGCTTCTCTCCCTGGTGCAGTCAAGGCCCTTTTACCTGGAGTCTCCCAGAAGGATTTTCAGGTCATGTGCTATATTAGCTCATCCTTAGGGAAGAACGTTCCAATTGAAGAAGCCATCTGACTCTCCCCCAGGTGTGTGGTCATCTTCTTTGCTCATGCTGGAAGATGGAAGACCCTTTGAAGTAACTTAGTTCAACAAATCTGCCCTTAAGTTGTCTTCCCCCTGGGGATCTGCCCCATCTTCGTCTTCTCCCTGCCACACCAGGTTCATTGAGAGCTCACTCTCCCCCACGGTCCTCTCTCATGTTCCCTGGCATCTTGCAACAGGGAACTTGAGATGCTGATGGGCAGTTGGGTGGATTCTCAATGGTGGCCAGTCCAGCTCCAGGACCTGCCATACTGGAAAGGGTTTGGGGTTGGAGGAATCGGCATGACAACTCACCAGCCTGTATTCCACCCGAATGTAAGCTTCTGTGGGCAGGAGGCTCATCTGTCTTGTTCGCTGCCGTGTTGCTACTGCCAAGCAGTCCCCAGTAGGCTGGTCATGGCTGGTGTCCATTACATATTTGTGCAGCGTATGGGTGAACATACACACATCCTTTCTGAAACAAAATTGAACTCAGTAGGACACTCACTCAGGCAAAGTTTGGGAAGCTTTAGATCCATTCTGGAGGAGGGGGGAGATAGAATCAGAATATATTCATTTAACAAACATTTATGGAGAAGCTACTTTTTTGGCAGACCCCATGCTACAGAAGCAACAGTACACAAAGCCCTGCTTTCATGAAGCTTACAGTCTACCGGGGACTGGGAGAGGCGGACCATAAACACACACATGCACACATATACATGTTCACATCCACACACCCCTGTATCAGATAGTGATAAATATTATGGAGCAAAGAAATCTGGAGGAAAGGATCAAGAGCTCCAGATGGTGATGGTAGGGATAGGGGTGGTGCAGAACAAGCTTTAATAAAACATTAGGTGGTCAGTAAAGGCTCTGCCCTCAAGAGGGATACAATCGCTTCTTAAAGGTCCCACCTCTCAATGCTCCCACTTTTGGGATTCAGTTTCAACATGAGTTTTGGGGGGTCATTTGAATCATAGCACATGGTGTCCACCATCAGCTCTAAGTTTACAGCCTAACACTTCCGCAATAACAAGAAAGAGAGAGAGAGAGAGAGAGAGAGAGAGAGATCTTTCCTAGTTACTTCAGCAAAAGTCCCCAGGTTAGGTCTGATTGGGCTTGCTTGAGGCAGGTGCCCATTTCTGATCTGACCACTGTGGCCCAGACAATGGTTACACCAATTGGCCAAGGCTAGGTCTGATTACCCTAAATCCTACCACAAATAACATTGACTGAGCAGGAAAGGACTGATTCCAGAAGAGATCAATTACTAAAATGTGGTAGGCAGAATTCTGAGATGGCCCCCAAGATCCCTGCTCCCTGGTGTGCACAATCTGTGCAATCTCCTCCTCTCCAGTGCTGCACAATTAGAGGATGTGATGGAATAGCCCTGCCCTGACTGGGCTACTAGTTAGTTGATTTTGAGTTAATCAAAAGGGAGAACATCTGGGTGGGCCTGACCTAATCAGGTGCACCTTTAAAAGGGACTAGGCCCTTCCTGAAGTCAGAGATGCTCAAAGTGTGAGAAAGCCTATGGAGAGGCCACAGGGCAAGGACCTAGGTTTGTCTTTAGGAGGTAAGAGAGGTCTCTGGTCGATAGCCAGCAAGAAAACAAGACCTCAGTCATATTGATGCAGGGTAGATGAACTCCAAACTGGGGCTTAGCCTGTGAGGGTTCTTGGCCTTGCCCAGGAAAGAATTCAAGGGCAAGCTGGAGGTAGAAGAAAACAGCTTTACTGAAGCGGTGGTGTTACAGCTCCTGCAGTGTTACAGCTCCATGACGGCTCCTGCAGAGCAGGGCTACCCTGTAACCAGAGAGTGGCATCTCTGGGCAGTTTTGCAGTCATATTTATACCTGCTTTTAATTATATGCAGATTCAAGGGTGGTTTCTGCAGAACTTTCTAGAGAAGGGGTAGTAACTTTAGGTCATCAGGTCATTGCCATGGAAAGGGGTGGTAACTCCCAGGTATTGCCGTGTCAATGGTAAACTGACCTGGCACACTGGTGGGTGTGTCTTAGGGAAAGCTGCTTCCCTCCCAGCTCTGTTTTAGTTAGTCCTGAACTTGGTCCGGTGTCCAAGCCCCACCTCCAGAGTCAAGTCCTGCCTCCTATCTCAAGATAATCAGAAGGAGCGGAAGTCTGAAAACAACCAATCATCCTGGAAGAAGACCCTGAGCTTTAGATAAGACTACAGCTCCAGCTGACACCTTGATTTCAGCCCCATGAGACCCTGAGCAGAGAATCCGGTTGAGCCGTGCTTGGATTTTGACCTATAGAGCTGTGAGATAATACATTTGTGTTGCTTTAGTTGATGCACTTCTGTCAATTTGTTACACAGCAATGAGAACTGAATAAGGGAGAAACAAATGCTGGGTAGACAGAAGCGACGGATGTGCATGAGGAGCTGAGACAGACAGCTGCCTGGAATTGAGCCTTACTTAGCCTGGAAGGTATGACTATGTCTGTGAATCCTTATTGGAAGAAGTTTTATTGGTCAGACATCCTGTTCCATGTCAGCCTCTCCCTCTAGGATCTTTTGCTTCCTGCAAGGAGTGGGGCCTGGTATGTTTATCTTTTGCATTTGTCATTTATAGTGAGTCAGCATCAATTCATCCTTTCCCACAGTATTGTGAATTTCCTTTGGGGAAGCACACTTTTGGTACTCTCCAGTGGATTAGGTGGCATTAGCCCCACCTTCACTCCAGTGCTGGGCCCTGATTCCCTTAAGTCAATTAGCGTACTCCATTCCCCAGGCCATAATGACTGATTCAGGGATGGACCAAAGAGAGCCAGGCTTTGGATTTTTTATTCAACTGTCAGAGTAAAGAGAAAGAACTTCTCTTTCCTCTGCACATGAATTGGGCAGCCATCTTGAAATAGTAAGAAGAGAAGCTTTATAAAGGAATGAAATTAAGAAATGGAGTGAGAAGAATGGAGTTAAGAAATGGTGTGAGGTCAGGCATGGTGGCTGACACCTGTAATCCCAGAACTTTGGGAGGCTTAGGTGGGTGGGAGGATTACATGAGCCCAGGAGTTCGAGACCAGCCCTGGCAACATAGTGAGACTCCCTGTTTCTATAAATAATGAAAAGAATTAGCTGGGCATTGTGGTGCATGCCTGTGGTCCTAGCCACTCAGGAGGCTGAGGTGGGAGGATTGCTTGAGCCTGGGAGGTTGAGGCTATAGTGAGCTGAGATTGCACCATTGCACTCCAGCTTGGGTGACAGAGTGAGATCCTGTTAAAAAAAAAAGAGAGAAAGAAGGAAAGACAAAAAGAAAAAGAAAGAAAGAAGGAAAGAAAAAAAGAAAAAAGAAAGGGTGTGAGAAACACTGGGTCCTGGCAAAAGATGTTGGCACCTGCATCAAACCATACCTGCAGGTTTGCCCCTGGACCTTTCAGTTATATGAACAAATATGGGTTGGATTTCCTTATACTTACAAGTAGTTGGGTTGCTTTCTTTTTTCCTGTTTATTTTTCTTGCTCATGAGATGCACACAAATTGTTTTTTATTATGGGTATAAGTGATCACAAAGTGCCCGTTTTCTCTATAACCTGAACAGAGAGAGTATGGGCATCTCAGCTTCACTGGGCCACAGCATCAATCTTTACCCTGAATTCAGCTTTGATGCACCTGAGTGCCTGATGAGCTACAGGGATCCTGTTTCTGAAAACTTTACGTGGGTGACAAAATAGCAAAATAGTGTGTGAGGCCTTTGCCTTGAGACCTGGGTTTGTTCCGGAGACAACTCTAATGGAGGAGAGAGATTTGCTCCTCCCACTCTCCTCGCTGACATTTGGCCTCAGGGGACTGAGTCATACCCGACTGACTCCATGTATATAAGTGTGAATGGCAGTCTGGTAGTCCAACCAGGTGATGCTTCCTGTCCCCGGAGGGTAGCCAATATCATCTCCTGCTTTTCTTCCTCCTGATTTAGCATCACTCAGGGCAGGAATTCTGGGCTGGAGGAGAGGGGCCTATAGTTCTCTTGTATGGTCTGAGTTTGCTCACACAGCAACCTGCTCTTATCTAGTCTGATTTTTTTCAACAGCATCCTGTTGTACCTTGTCATCTGGCTCTGTGGACAGGCCTTTCTGGTCTTCACACTGATGCAGGTTTGTTAGTTTTTTTCCTCCTTGTTAATGTATAGTCAGGAATTTAACATCCTTGACTGTCCTCATCATCGGACACCCTCACTAGTCTTGTCAAGTCTTAGCTATACAAATGAAAGCATGGAAGCTTGGAGGTGATATGTCATGATGCTGAATCCTAGGACTGAGCCCCGTGAATATGCTGTTAAGGTTCTTCAATCCCCACTTGCCTTCTGGGCCTGCCGCTCTTGCAACATCCTTGTGTCATGCTCAAAGACCTTTGCAGTGCCCAGTTCTGTGTTTCCTAACAGCATCTTTGTTTTGGGTGCATTCTTTGATATTGGATGCTTGAAATGGACTAATCAGGTCCTGGCAGGCAATGGATGCACATTAAAATCAATTACTTGAGGACAGTTTAGCAAAGAGAGTATTTACAGAAGCATGGACTGGGTTAAATGAAACAAAGGATGTGAGGTACTCTGGAACTGTCAACAGCACAGAGCCCTTACCAACCAGGTCTAAAAGGGAAGGGGAGAGAGACTCCTGGAATCCAGAAAGAACTGTAGTGTGATTACTCAACCTTCCTACCCACTGCATAGACAAAACCAGTTTGCTGAGACTGTGGTATTGCAGTGAAGAAAGAGTTTAATTAACTTGAGGCTGGCCATGTGGAAGAACTGGAGTTATCACTCAAATCAGTCTCCCCAAAAACTTGGAGGTTGTGGTTTTTCTTTTCTTTTCTTTTCTTTTTGAGGTGGAGTTTTGCTCTTGTTGCCTGGGCTGGTGTGCAATGGTGTGCTCTTGGCTCACCGCAACCTCCGCCCCCCGGGTTCAAGTGATTCTCCTGCTTCAGCCTCCCAAGTAGCTGGGATTACAGGCATGTGCCACCATGCCCGGCTAATTTTGTATTTTCAGTAGAGACAGGTTTTCTCCATGTTGGTCAGGCTGGTCTCGAACTCCTGACCTCAGGTGATCCCCTCGCCTTGGCCTCCCAAAGTGTTGAGATTACAGGTATGAGCCACCGCACCCAGCCTGTGGTTTTTCAAAGATAGTTTGGTGGGCAGAGGACTAGGCAATGGGTGCTGCTGATTAGTTGGGGATGCAATAGAGGTGTGGGAAATGGTCCTGGTGCTCTGAGTCCACCTCTGGGTAGGGGCCACAGGACCAGTTGAGTCATGAGTTACAAGTCCAGGTGGGGTCAGTTATTTGCCAGAATGCAAAGTCTGAAAAACATCTCACAAGACCAATCCTAGGTTCTATAATAGTGATGTTATATATGGGAGCAATTGGGGAAGTCACAAATCTTGTGACTTATAGAACAATGGCTGGTTCTAAAACTATGCCTAAGACTATGCCTCCATTTTAGCAGAATTCAGGCCCCTCCCTAATCTTGTGGCCTTTCCTTAGTTTTACAAAGGTGGTTTAAGCCCTGAAACAATGAGGGAATCAGTTTTAGTGGAACACTATTATCATCCTTGCTTTCAAATTAAACTATAAACTAAATTCCTGTCCAGGTGCAGTAGCTCACACCTGCAATCCCAGCACTTTGGGATGCCAAGGCAGGCAGATTGCTTGAGCCCAGGAGTTCAAGACCAGACTGGGCAACATGGCGAAGCCCCATCTCCACAAAAAATACAAAAAAGTTAACATGCACCTGCAGTCCTAGCTACTCTGGAGGCTGAGGTGGGAGGACCACCCTGAGACCAGGGAATTCGAGGCTGTGGTGAGCCGTGATCATGCCACTGCACTCCAGCCTGGGTGACAGAGTGAGGCCTTGTCTCAAAAAGCAAATAAATAAAATAAAAAAATTCATCCCATGATTAACTTGGCCTATGCCCAGGAATGAGTGAGGACAGTTAGCCTGTGAGGCTAGAAACAAGATGGAGTCAGCAACACCAGATTCTCTCACTGTCATAATCTTTGCAAAGGCAGCTTCAGTAGCTGTGAGAAAGAGCCGCCCAACAAGGGCTGTAGCAGCTTTTCCCAGTGGTGCCAATGCTTCCCTAGTCCAGGCTCTGGGGAATTCTCTCTTGGAAGACACAGCAGGCTGGAGTTGAGGGTGGGGACTTTAATCCTCCTCTGCACATTGCCAGGAACCACCTTTTCCCTTCCAGAGCAGACTTTCATTTTAAAAGCTATTTTGTGTTCAGCTTCTGAAAGCCCATGTGTTTGCTCATTCCCAGGAGAATTTTTATGACTTCTACACTTTTAAAAAGCTCATGTGAAGCTGCCTGGCTTCTGTCTAGGTTTTGGATACTTTCTGCTTGCGCCTCCAAATCCGCTGTCCGTTCTTCTCAACTCTAGTGTGCCCAGGGAGCCAGACTGGCCAGTGGGGACCCAGTAGGAGATTGGAGGGTGGAAGGGGAGGTCAGGGTATTTATTCCTTTGGCTTCTTTCCTTCCGGGCTGAGAGTTTGCAGTGGCTCAGTTTCTCCCCAAAGGCCACAGTTCCTGTTGGGCAGCTCTGTCTTACAGCGACAGCTCTCTCTGGGTTCCAGGATTCTCTCTCTCTCTCTCCTTCCCTTTTAGACCCCACTGTTGATAATACCAGCGTGCTCCACATCCTTGTTTTCTCTTAATCCTGTCCACACTTCTGTAAATAATCTCTTTCCTAAACTGTCCTCAATTACCCCATTGGAGTGTGCATCTGTTTTTTGCTGGGGCCTTGATTGCTCCATTTCAAACACCCAGTGTCAAAGAATTCACCCCTGAAGGCTGCAAGGGGAACCTCAGGGAAGCTTCCGCAATGTCTCTCTGTTTCCAGGTGGTAGTCCACCTCCGGCGTAGCCTGAACCAGGTCAATGAATGCTGCCTATTTTATATGATCAAGTTTGTCATTGAGGTCGTGAAGATGCATACCTCTTACTTCTGGCTTGGGGACAGTTGGGCACTGCCCCCTAGTTAATGACTGTGGATACAGTTCTCAAATTAATCTGGGTGTCAGCTGAGTCCATCAGCCAGTGAGTAGCCCCTGATTGCATGGCCAAGGAAAACCAAAACTTCACCAGGGTTTCTGCAAATGACTGTCTCAGGACTCCTTCTGGTTGCATGCTATCGATGTACCTCCTTGCCCCAGGTGTGAATCCTCTGAAATAATTCATAGTGGAACATTGTGGTAGACAGCTTCTAAGATGACCCCAAATGATCCCTGCCACCTCATATTCACGTCCTTTTGTGACCCCTTGCCCTGACTGTGGGCTGGACCTAGTGACTAGCTTTTATTTTTTTATTTTCACTTAAAAAATAATTTCTCGGCCAGGTACGGTGGCTCACGCCTGTAATCCTAGCACTATGGGAGGCTGAGGCGGGCGGATCACGAGGTCAGGAATTCAAGACCAGCCTGGCCAACATAGTAAAACCTTGTCTCTACTAAAAAAAAAATGCAAAAATTAGCTGGGTATGGTGGTGCGCTCTTGTAGTCCCAGCTACTTGGGAGGCTGAGGCAGGAGAATCGCTTGAATCCAGGAGGTGGGGGTTGCAGTGAGCTGACAGTGAGCTGTCTCTTTTTTTGAGACAGGGTCTTGCTCTGTGGCCCAGGATGAGTACAGTGACACAATCACGGCTCACTGCAGCCTTGAACTCCTGGGCTCAAGCAATCCTCCCACCTCAGCCTTCCAAGTAGTTGGGACCACAGGTGCACACCACAATGCCTGGCTAATTTTTAATTTTATTGTAGAGAGGAAGTCTCCCTATGTTGCCCAGGCTGGTCTTGATTTCCTAGGCTCAAGTGATCCTTCTGCCCCAGCCTCCCAAAGTGCTGGGGTTACTGGCATGAGCCACTGTGAACAGCCTATAATTTCAACTTTTATTTTAGATGTAGGGGATACATGTGCAGGTTTGTTACATGGGTATGTTGTCTGTTGCTGATGTTTGGGGTATGACTGGTTCTGTCACCCAAATAGTGAGCATAGTTTGTCAGCCCTTTTGTCTCTCCCTCTCTCTCATCTAGCAGTCCCCGTTTTTTGTTTTTTTTTTTTTTTTGAGACAGAGTCTTGCTCTGTTGCCCAGGCTGGAGTGCAGTGGCATGATCTTGGCTCACTGCAACCTCCACCTTCCAAATTCAAGTGATCCTCATGCCTCAGCCTCCTGAGTAGCTGGGATTACAGGTGCTTGCCACCACGCCCTGCTAATTTTTGTATTTTTAGTAGAGACAGGGTTTTGCCATGTTGGCCAGGCTGGTCTTGAACTCCTGACCTCAAGTGATCCACCCAGCTTGGCCTCCCAAAGTGCTGGGATTATAGGTGTGAGCCACCATGCCCAGCTGTAGTCCCCAGTTTTTATTGTTCGTATGTTTATATCCATGTGTACCCAATGTTTAGCTCTTGCTTATAAATGAGAACATGCAGTATTTGGTTTTCCATTCCTACATTAATTCACCTAGGAAAATAGCTGCCAGCTGCATCTATGTAGCTGCAAAGGGTATGATTTTGTTCCTTTTTATGGCTGTGTAGTATTCCATGGTATATATGTACCACATTTTCTTTTTCCAATCCTCCATTGATGGGCACCTAGGTTGATTCAATGTCTTTGCTTTTGTGAATAGTGCTGCAATGAACATATGGGTGACTAGCTTTTAATCAGTAGAACACAGCAAAGGTGACGGCATTTCAGTTTGAGATTAGGTTACCAAACACACGGACTTCTGTCTTGCTAGCACACACTCTGTCTTGCCTTCTTGCTGTTACTGAACCTAACTTGGGTCCCCCTGCCCAGCACAGCAAAATCAAACATTGATATTGGGATTGTAGCAAGAGGAAGTGGGGTATTTATTGGAGGGGCACCAAGCAAAGATAATTAGTTAATGCTTAAGTCCCAAGCTCCCGGATGGCTTATAGGTAAGGATTTGTAATTGCAGGAAGGCAGAGGTTACATGCAAAGTTATAAATCAATATATGGGAGGCTCTACATTGGTTTGACCTAAAAAGGCAGGACGTCTCAAAGTGGGAACCCATGGGTCAAAGGTAGATTTAAAGATGTTTTGATTTGTAATTGGCTTAGGAGGAGAAGCCTTGTCTAAAAATTTGAGATCAGTGGAATGTTAGTTCTGGCCTGGGGTGTGACTTCCTCTACTCCCCTTAGGAAGAAATTTAGAACTGAGAAAAGTATTAAGAGTTTAGCCTTCAGGTCCCCCTTATCTGAGTCTTGTGTGTTGCTGGACCCATTTAGTGGGGAGTCCTCATTTTTGAAAAACAATCTATGAACATTAGTTTTTATAGGGAAGCCAAACATCCCATGATTTTAACTTTTTTGCCCATTATTCTAAGCTACTATTATCTTCTTGCTTATTAAGTTGTTTATTGATGTATTTATTTATTTCTGAGACAGAGTCTTTCTCCATTGCCCAGGCTGGAGTGCAATGGCATGATCTCGGCTCACTGCAACCTCCACCTCCTGGGTTCAAGTAATTCTCCTGCTTCAGCCTCCTGAGTAGCTGGGACTACAGGCATGCGCCACCACTCCTGGCTAATTTTGTATTTTCAGTACAGATGGGGTTTTGTCATGTTGGCCAGGCTGGTCTTGAACTCCTGACTGCAAGTGATCCACCTGCCTCAGCTTCCCAAAGTGCTGGGATTACAGGCATGAGCCCCCGTGCCCGGCCTTATTTATTTTTTAAGGGCTAGCTAAGTGCCTGGAATTTTTCTTAAAGGAACTTAAGATTTTTCTTTATTTCTATGTTTGAGGGTGGGAGTGCTGCATGTCCCTAAGAGAGGTCCCTGTTCTGCCTCATTGCCTGCTTGCTCTGATAAATCAAGCTGTTGTGTTGTGAGCTGCCCTTCGGAGAGGCCCACGTGGCAAGGATCTGAAAGCGGCTTCTGACAACAGTTCATGGGAAACGAATCCTGCCAATAATCATGTGGGTGCACTTGGAAGTGGATCCTGCCCCAGTTGAGTCTTGAGATGAGACCTAGCTTACACCTAGATAGCAACCCATGGGAGACCCTGAAGCAGGGGGCCCATCTTCGAATTCCTAACCCACAGAAACTGTGAGATAATAAATGTGTTGTTTTAAGCCACTGAGTTTTGGAATAATTTGTTACACAGCAATAGATAGCCGATATAGCAGTGTAGACTTTAGTTGATGATTCCGGTGGGGAGACCAAAGTGAAATTTACATTGCACACTTCACAAAAAGTAACTAACTAACCAACCCATCAGTCATTTCTGTGCTTCCTCAGCCCTCTCAATGCTGAGGGCTCCTCTTTCTTGCTCTTGTTCTCTCTCAATATCATTTTCTAATTTGGCCATGTCTAGCTTCATTGCATATTATCTTTCTCTGGATTGTCAGTTTTTTCTGTGTCCATTTTGGCAGAGAATTTTAGTTTTTTATGATTTTTTTTCTTTAGAGATGGAGTCTCACTCTGTTGCCCAGGCTGGCCTCAAAGTCCTGGGCTTAAGCAATCCTCCCCACTTGGCCTCCCAGAGTGCTGGGATTACAGGCATGAGCCATCACACCTGGCCCTTTCTACTTCTACTCCCAAACGTGTTGGCCAACTCCTCAAGGTATTCAGCAGGAAAAAATCCTCTCTATTAATGCAGCGCACCTTTCCTGGGCAGCAGTGTGGGTTATAGATACATGAAATATCTATTACATAAGTCTCTCAGCTTCTTCCTGCATATATTGCTATTCAACTGCTTAAAGCTATTGAAAAATTCATGCAAACAAAATTTTAATCTAACAGAGAAAATATCTTTGTGACATTGTTCAAATCAAGTTATATCATGTATGAAGGAGAAGCACATTCCACCGAGAAAAGCTTTTTAAACCCTCTGCTTTTTGACATTTTAACCAGTATGTTAGATAAGAAGGCTGGTATGGAAATATAGTTAGCAACATTGTTGGAAAATATAGGCTAGAAAAGAGTTCAAGAATATGTATCCATTGAACTTGATGAAATAATTTTAGAAGCTGAGGCTGTGAAATCTTGACAGCAAAACTGAAGAGACACTGTAGAGTTCCCATTTTGCAGATTTATATTTGGTTGGTTCATGCAGGCAGACTCCAGGAGAACTAAGACTTTGTTAAATACCTAACACATACCCAGTAAGAAGGATAAATGTAGGTGTTCACATCAGGGTTTTAAACACGTGATCCAATAAATCAGCAAAAAGGCAGCAAAGCAATTGTAGTAATGGTTAAAAAAAAAAAAAAAAAGGAGTGGGGAAGACTTCAGGAGCAGGAATTGTATAAAAATACATCCAAATGTGGCTATTTCTGACTACTTCATTTAAATGTGAGCCTCTATCCGTTCTCACCTGGATTCCAGCAAGAACTTCCTAGCAGTTTTCTCTGTTTGAGATTTGCTTTCTTGGGGTCTATTTTCAACAAGGCAACTGGAATAATACTTAAAAAAAAAAGTATCAGGCTGGGCACGGGGGCTCATGCCTGTAATCTTGGTACTTTGGGAGGCTGAGGTAGGAAGGATCACTTGAGGTCAGGAGTTTGAGACCAGCCTGGGCAACATAGCTAGACTCTGTCTTTACAATACATAAATAAATAAGTAAATACATACATTAGTCAGGTGTGGTGGCACATGCGTGTAGTCCCAGCTGCTTGGGAGGCTGAGGTGGGAGGATCACTTGAGCCTGGGAGGTTGAGGCTGCAGGGAGATGTGTCCCTGCCACTGCATTCCAGCCTGAGTGACAGAGTGAGACCCTGTCTCCAATCTCTCTCTCTCTCTTCTATCTTCTATTTAATTTATCTATCTATCTATACACACACACGAAGTATCAGAACATTATTCATGATAGCCAAAAGGTTAAAAAAACCCCAAATGTCCATTAGCTGAATGGATAGTTAAATTGTTGTACAGTATATCCATACAATGAAACATTACTTGGCAATTTAAAAAATGAAGTATGAGTAGTCATATTTATAGAGACAGAAAGTACAATGGTGGTTGCCATACCAGGGACTGGGGTGGGGTGGGGAATGGGAATTGTTGTTTAATGGGTACAGAGTTTCAGTTTGGAGAGGTGACAAGAGTTCTGGAGATGGATGGTGGGTATGGTTACACAACAGTGTGAATATACTTACTGCCATGAAACGATACACTTGAAAATGGTAAAGATTGTTAAAAAAAAACTCAAAAGGACTGAAGTGCTGATATATGCTACAACATAGACGAACCTTGAAAATCTTATTCTAAGAAGCCAGATGCAAAATGTCACATGTAGTATGATTCCATTGATATGAAATGTTCAGAATAGGCAAATGTATAGAAAGTAGATTAGTGGTTGCCCAAGGCTGGGTAGGGGTTTTGCGGGAAGGGTTGAGAAAATGGGGAGTGATGGCTAATGGGTAAAGACTTAAATGGGTGATGGGATGATAAAAAGTTCTAACGTAGATTACGGGCAGGTGCTGTGGCTCATGCCTGTAATCCCAGCACTTTGGACCCGAGGCAGGTGGATCACTTGAAGCCAGGAGTTTGAGACAAGCGTGGCCAACGTGGTGAAACCCCATCTCTACTAAAAATACAAAACTTAGCCAGGCGTGATGGCACATGCCTGTAATCCTAGTTACTTGGGAGGCCAAAGTGGGAGGATCGCTTGAACTCAGGAGATGGAGGTTGCAGTGAGCTGAGATCACGCCACTGCACTCCAGCTCTGGACAATAGAGCTAGACTCTGTCTAAAAAAAAAAAAAAAATTATAATGATGGTTGTACTACATTGTGAATATATAAAAATCCATTGAATTGTAAACTTTAAATGGGTGAATTTTATGTCAATTAAAGCTATTTTTTAAAAAAGACCTATATGAAAAACTTGAATTTTGGGGAGTTAGTTGTATTAACCAGGCCCTATCCAGTCTTTTTTTCAAAATTACAGATGGGGGTCTCACTCTGTCACCCAGGCTGGGGTGCAGTGGCGTGATCATAGCTCACTTCAGCTTCCCAAAGAGCTGGGATTACAGGCGGATGCCACAATGTCTGGCTAACTAAAAAAAAATTTTTAAGAGATGAGGGGTCTCACGATGTTGCCCAGGCTGGTCTTCAACTCCTGGCCTCAAGTGATCCTCTCGCCTCAGCTCACAGGCGTGAGCCACCATACCTGGCTTATCTAAGAAAGCCACCATACCTGGCTTATCTTTCTCTCATCTTGAGAAAGAATGAATTCAGTTTGGTTACTGCACATTGAAGAGTAAGCTATCCTCAACATCCAGTAACACACCATAGCCTTTCCAAAGGTAGAAATGGTGATAGGGTCAAATAAGTATTTGTTTCACAGCATTTGAAGAAAAAAAGGCAGATTATGTTATTCCTTTGCTCAAAACCTTCCAGTGGTTTTCCATGTTAATGAGTGGAAACTAAAGTTCTTAAAATTGCCTACAAGGTCCAATACACTCAGTTTCCCACCTGCGACTTGTTTGAGCTTACCCCCTACTTCCTTCAGCCATGCTGACCTTCTCCCCATCCGTCCCATGCCCTGGACCCACTCCTGCCCCAGGCCTTTGCACCTGCTGGCTGTGACCTCCGCCTCCGAAATTGTTTTGCCAAATTCCCTCATAGCTTGCTCACTTATACCTTCTTTAGTTCAAATGTCACTTCTTGGCCACCTGTCTGGCCACCCGCCACGGAAGTGCATTCCTGACATTTTCTGCTTTTCCGCTTTTCTTCCCTCCTTCATTTTTTTCCCATGACACACCTGCACAATACACAGTTTGTTCATTCTTTGGTTCATTGTCTCCTCACACCCACTCAAGAATGTAGTACAAAGGCAGGGATTTTTGTCCATCTTGTTCACCGCTGTATCCTCAGTACCTTTATAATGGTGTTTGGCACATAGTAGTAACTCAATAAGTATTTGTTAAATGAACAAATGAAAAGCTGCCATGTGTTCAAGAAGTCATTGTGTGTTGCATAGGAAAACAGTAGCTGTTAAGGAGATACCAGCATCCTACAAATAGTGGAGGAAAATGCCATGCAAGTTGCCAAATTGATTAAAGTGTGCCTTTTAACTTGTAGACTCCGGAGGGTAGCTTACACAAATATGAACAATTGTTCCCTTATATGTACAATTTGCCCCTGATT
Organism: Homo sapiens; assembly: GCF_000001405.40. Lineage (NCBI taxonomy): Eukaryota > Metazoa > Chordata > Mammalia > Primates > Hominidae > Homo > Homo sapiens. Next base: position 22,597,192 of record NC_000016.10, read on the forward strand.
TTTCATTCCAGCTGTCACACAATTGCCTGGAGGATTTTTTTTTTTTTTTTTTGAGACGGCCGTCACCCAGGCTGGAGTGCAGTGGCACGATCTCGGCTCACTGCAAACTCCACCTCCCAGGTTCACACCATTCTCCTGCCTCAGCCTCCTGGGTAGCTGGGACTACAGGTGCCCGACACCACGCCCGGCTAATTTTTTTGTATTTTTAGTAGAGAGAGGGTTTCACCTTGTTAGCCAGGATGGTCTCGATCTCCTGACCTCATGATCCACCCACCTCGGCCTCCCAAAGTGCTGGGATTATAGGCGTGAGCCACCGCGCCCGGCCGAGGATTGTTAAACATCATTTAATAAGTGGGTCTTTGCTGCCCTTCTCCCAGGAATAGAGTGTATAGAGTTGCCCATGTGAGAAGCAGCCAAAGCCCAGGTCAGCACCTGCAATGAGGAGTGGCTGCCTGGTTGAATGGAGCGGGGCTTCTGTTTGAAACCTCACTGGTTTTCTCTGTTGACAGCATCTTGATATATATGGCATGTGTCTCCTGACCTTAGTGGCCTCTCACAAAACTCTGGAGCATAACAGTGCATCTCTTTGAGATTCTCTTAGCAGCATAGTCCATAGGTGAATTCTCTATGGACTATGTGTCTTATATTTTAAACCAATTTAAACCAAACCCATCACAAAAGTACCCTCCAACTTTGGTGAAAACCTGTCCAGCCATTTTCTTATGATATTGTAAGACAGAAACTTAATTTTTTTTTTGGAGACAGTCTTGCCTTGTTGCCCAGGCTGGAGTGCAGTGGTGAGATTTCAGCTCACTGCAACCTCTGCCTCCTGGTTTCAAGCGATTCTTATGCCTCAGCTACCTGAGTAGCTGGGACTGTCGGCACACACCACCACACCCGGATGATTTTTGTATTTTTAGTAGAGACAGGGGTTTCACCATGTTGCCCAGGCTGGTCTTAAACTCCTGGCCTCAAGCAATCCACCCACCTTGGCCTCCCAAAGTGCTAGGATTACAGGCATGAGCCACCACGCCCAGCCTGTATTTTAATCTCCAGGTAAAATAAGAACCAGAAAGACTGGGTCTTGTGTTTGCAGTATGTGGAACTGCAAATTAAGACTTTCAAATAAGGTTGAAGCCCGAGAGACAATGGTAGGTAAGGGATGGGTCTGTGGAGGGCTCTGGACAAAAACCTATGTCTACCCACAATTGGTATGCAGATTATCTTGAGTAGTTGGGATTACAGGTGCCTGTCACCATGCCTGGCTAAGTTTTGTATTTTTAGTAGAGATAGGGTTTCACCATGTGGCCAAGCTGTTCTCAAACTCCTGACCTCAAGTGATCCACCTGCCTTAGCCTCCCAAAGTGCTGGGATTACAGGCATGAGCCACCACATCAGGCCTAGAAATGGTATTTAAGGTTTACTTATCTGATAACCTGATTTCCTCCCTAGAGAAAGAATTAAATTGTTTTTAGCTGATTGAATGGGGGCTTGGGTGACATTTCAGGAGAGTTAGAAAGTGTACGTGTATATTTAAAGACTGATTTGTAAGTTGACACTTGAATATATGTAAGAGTAGTCAACTTGGTTTGAAACAGTCTTTTTTATTCTTTTTGGTTTATTGGTAACTGTGAGTTGATTTATCCCTAAAATAGTTCAAAGCCTTTTCTGTTTTAGCTCTGGGAATAATGTTTTTCTTCTTTTCAAAGATGTAATATTTCTGTTAACACTATAGAAAGATAAGAAAGATAAGAACCTTCAGGGCTCTTTGAAGACAAAATTGTATTCTGAATTGGGCATTCATTAGACTGAGCGGATAAATCTCTAAATCTGGGTTTTATGATTTTAGGTTTGTTTGTTTAATGGATTTCTTTGCTTAAACTTCAGGTGCATGCATGATAATTTTGAAGAGCAGAGAGATGGACAAATGTGATTTGATTTATAAGTCTTTTCAAAGGCATTTGAAAATGTATTTCAGGTTTAGTTAAGCTTATTTTTCACACTCTTAGTTGAAGGCAGGAGTGATTGTTTTCCTCCCTCCACACCTCGAAAGATGGAATGGTTTTTCACTTATAAATTTTTCCATCTCAGAAAAGGAGGAGCAGAGGTTTTCCAGAAGGGTTAAGAATAAAGGTGGGGAAGGCAAGCCCTTGTTACCATAAGAGCAGGAATCCATACGGAAGAGTGGCTGGTTTAGATTTGCTGGCTTGAGAGTGGATTATTTTATCCAACTCTTGATCAGTGTTGTGAGAATTAAGTAAGATAATGGATTTAAGGGGCTTAGAAGTGTCCAATCAATGTTAGCTACTGTTGTTATTCTCAGTACTACATGTAGGCTTGATGGATATATTTGGAGACATTTGTACCAAGGGTTATGGGGCAATAAGTGCGTGGTTCACCATTTGGCCCAGTGAACTTTTCAGGACTTAGGATGAGGAAGGCGGGAAAAGCCCTGGGGCTGGCAGGTTTAGAGGGAGACTCTTGCATTATGGTCCTGAGAGCCCCAGGATAGGAGATGACCTTTATCACAAGATCTGAGAACTGCTGCTATCTCGGGCTTCTGGGATAATGAGCTGGAAGCTCACACTCTGACAATGGAGGGATTTTTTTTTTTTTTTTTGATGGAGTCTTGCTCTGTCACCCAGGCTGGAGTGCAGTGGCGCGATCTCGGCTCACTGCAAGCTCCGCCTCCCGGGTTCTTGCCATTCTCCTGCCTCAGCTTCCCGAGTAGCTGGGACTGCAGGTGCCTGCCACCACGCCCGGCTAATTTTTTGTATTTTTAGTAGAGACGGGGTTTCACTGTGTTAGTCAGGATGGTCTCAATCTCCTGACCTCGTGATCCACCCTCCCCGGCCTCCCAAAGTGCTGGGATTACAGGCATGAGCCACCGTGCCCGGCCCAATGGAGGGATTTTTTATAGCATTATGTCTACCTGGCTTTTCATATGACTTGTGTCCTGCTCATGCAGCTTTGATGACTTCTGAAGTACAGATGTTCCTTGACTTACAATGAGGTTGCATCTCAATAAACCCACTGTAACTTGAAAATATCTTAAGTAAAACTTGCTTTAATACACCTAACCTACTGAACATCATAGCTTAGCCTAGCCTACCTTAAACATGCTTAGAACACTTACATTAGCCTAAGGTTGGGCAAAGTCATCTAAAATAAAGCCTGTTTTATAATAAAGTGTTGAATATCTCACATAATTCATTGAACATTGTACTGAAGGGGCAAACCAGAATGGTTGTATGGGTACTTGAAGTACAGTTTCTACTGAATGCACATTGTTTTTGCACCATTGTAAAGCTGAAAAATTGTAGATTTAACCAATGTAAGTTGGAGACCATCTGTGTTTTGTTCCTCCTTAAAGCATACAAAAGTGTAGCCAAAGAGTGTTTCAAAGCTGGATTACATAATGAATTATTATTATTTTTTTTTGAGATGAAGTCTCGCTTTGTTGCCCAGGCTGGAATACAGTGGCGTGAGCTCGCCTGACTGCAACCTCCGTCTCCTGGGTTCAAGCGATTCTCCTGCCTCAGCCTCCCGAGTAGCTGGGATTACAGGCATGCCTGGAATTACAGGCACACGTCACCACACCCAGCTAATTTTTGTATTTCTAGTAGAGACAGGGTTTCGTCATGTTGGTCAGGCTGGTCTCAAACTCCTGACCTCAAATGATCTACCCGCCTTGGCCTCCCAAAGTGCTGGGTTTACAGGTGTGAGCCACTGCACCTGGCTGAAAATCCAGATTTTTGTCCAAGATTGCAGAATAAATTGCCTGGGACAAGTCAATGAGTGAGGAGAGATAAGTCAATGGACTGAGAAGGGGTAAACTCAGTCTTGCATAAACAGAATACAGAGGGGATTTGGGTGGATGGGGAGCAGTGAGTGAATGGGCAAAGATAGGACAAAACCAAGCCCACTTAAAGAACAATAATATTACAAAGGACAAAGTTGAGAATAAGAGGCAAAGGGAGGAAATTTAAAAAGCACATTTTTGAGCACTGACTAGTGATGCTTTCCCTGCATAATCTCATTTAACCAGTTTAACAACCTTAAAAAGGAAGTAGTAGTGTTCTTATTTCATAGATGAGGAAACTGAGGCTTGGAGACAGGAGAAATGTTCAGAGAAGACTGTTTCTAAAAGGGTATGTGGTTAGCTATATTCTAAACATTCTTGATACCTCCCCCAACCCCCCTGCCCTTGAATAGTCACTGTCTTCCCAGCCATCATCTATTCTACCTTCAAAACATATCCCCAGTTCATCCACTGCTTCCCATTTCCTGCATTGTCACCCTAGGCTACCACTGCGTCTCAACATATACAGCCTCTCGATTCTCCTATTTCCTAATCTGCCTTCTGCTTAAATTGTTCTTTCAACAAAATCCAGAGAAACCCCAAACAAGTGCACATCTGATAAAGATACTGCCCTCATTAAAACCCTCAAAGGCTCCCTTGCAATTACTTTAAGAATCTCAAGTGCTCATGCTGGCCTGCAAGACCCAGCATGACCTTGTCCCTGCCAGCCTTTCTGGTTACATCTTCTTCATCATCTCCTTCATCCCGGTGCCCCACCAATGCAGTCCTTTCATGTCTCTAACTGCATCCTCGCTTTCCTTCTCCGTGGTCTTTACTCATGCTCTCCTTGCTACTTAAAATACTTTCTTTCCACTTTGCACTGACAAAGTGACTTGTCTTACAGTTCTCACTTTAAACATCACTTTTCTAACTTTCCAAATTAAAGTAAGCCTCCTGTACTTATTAAGAGTGGCATATTTTTCTTTGGGACACTTCACAATATAGAATTATGTACTTGTTTGTGTGATAATTTTTTTTTTTTTTTTGAGTTGGAGTTTCGCTCTTGTTGCCCAGGCTGGAGTGCAATGGTGCGATCTCAGCTCATTGCAACCTCTGCCTCCCCGGTTCAAGCAATTCTCCTGCCTCAGCCTCCCAAGTAGCTTGGATCACAGGCATGCACCACCATGCCTAGCTAATTTTGTATTTTTAGTAAAGATGGGGTTTCACCATGTTAGTCAGCCTGGTCTTGAACTCCTACTCCTGACCTCAGGTGATCCACCTGCCTCGGCCTCCCAAAGTGCTGGGATTACAGGTGTGAGCCACCATGCCCGGCCTGTGTGATAATTTGTTTAACATCTATATCTCCCTAGTAGACTATAGCTCCACCTGGTGAAGGAGTGTGTTTTTATTGCTCACTATTGTATTTCCAGGGCCTCATGAAGTGCTGCCAGGTAAATAGGCCCTCCATAAATATTTATTGAATGAATACGTGAATGAATGAATGAATGAACTGCACCTAGGATTGCTGACAATTCTGGCTTTTGGGACTTTAGTGTCATTTTTCATTTACTTTCTTAAAGAGCAGTAAGTTTAAACTTATACTTTCACCTAGAAGACGGAAGAGTTTTTGAAGCAAAACCTTGAAGCTCGTGACGTGTGCCACGTAATGAATGGATGTTCACCCAATTCAAAGTCCCTGTGTTGTGATCTGACATGACCTCTGAGCTTGCCACAATGAACTTGACCACAAAGACACTGCGTGCACTGCCAACCACAACTAGCAATTGAGTAGCAAGCAGTGGTGTCAATCTTAAAAGCCTAAGATATTCTTAGATGCTTATTTTTATAATCAGTTTTATTATAGAGTTGCTAAAATGGGCCCAAACCATATGTCTCTCCATCGAGAAAAGTCAGCACTGACTGCATGAAACAAAACACTTGCAGAGACATTGAAAAGCCACTTGTTTGACTTTGGAAATAGAGCGCTAGTATTTTTTGCAACTCAAAAGACAAGCCTTGTCTTGGAGCAGTACAAGGAGAAGTGCAATCAAACAAATAGATAAAAAATCATTTGTCTCTTCATTCGAGGTCGGTTTAGAATCACTATGAAAGGTATATGCAATAATAGAAAGCCTGGTGAAGCCCGGAGCTGCAGAAAAGGGTTGAAATTATTTTGGGTCAAAAAGAGGCAGCCAAGTTGAAAAAGGTGCCCTTATTGAGTGACACCATCAAATGGGTTCAAAAGACGTGCTTGAAAATTGGTGGAGAGTCCCAGAGGCAGCTAGTTCTTTACATTTTGATGAAAGGGGGAGACATCCATGACTTGGCTATTTTGCCATCTTTAAAATAATGAAGTCTAAGAAGGTATGCTGATTTTCCCAATGCTGAATGGTATAGCAGCTGGTGAATTTTCAATAAGATACACTTTTCTCCTGTTCTAGCAAGTTTTGATATTTGCCATTTGGTTCCAGAAACTTATTGTGTCTATGTTCCTAAAGCACTTTGACTCTGAGAGAGAGGACAAACTGAACCTGATATATGATGTTTGTGCCCCTTGACGGAGGCTGAATTTTCTGAACTTGAATGATCAATACAACAGTGTCTTGCTAAAAATTGTCTCGCAGAAAATTTTTCATTCATTTTTCTTGATGGCAAGTAATGTATTCCTTCATCAGAACAATTAAACATCTTTAATGATTTTTAAAGACAGGGTGTAATTACATGCACATGATAAAAATTTAAGCAGCACCAAGGGCGTACAGTGAAAATTAAGTCTCTTTCCTGACTGGAGATCATAGTATGAGTGTTTCATGGCTCCTTTCAGAGAGATTCCATGTCTAGCATTTATACATGCACATAAATTCATTTCCTTTTTAAAATTAACACAAATGACAGCATGCTGTATTCTCTCTCTTTTAAAACATTGAGATGGGGTCGGGCACGGTGGCTCACGCCTGTAATCCCACACTTTGGGAGGCCGAGGCAGGCAGATCTCCTGAGATCGGGAGTTCAAGACCAGCCTGACTAACATGGAGAAACCCCGTCTCTACTAAAAATACAAAATTAGCCGGGCGTGGTGGCACGCACCTGTAATCCCAGCTACTCAAGAGGCTGAGGCAGGAGAATTGCTTGAACCCAGGAGGCGGAGGTTGTGGTGAGCCGAGACTTTGCCATTGCACTCCAGCTTGGACAACAAGAGTGAAACACCATCTCAAAAAAAAAAAAAAAAAAATTGAGGTGAAATTCACATAGCAAAATTAGCCACTTTAAAGTGTACAATTCGGTGACATTTTACTCCATTCACACTGTTGTTCGGTTATCACTTCTGCCTAGTCCCAAAACGTTATGTTCTCTTTTGCAATTTACTATTGCTCTTTCACTTAAAAATCTATCATGGAGATTGTTCCATACTAATACATATAGATTCATGTCTTCCATCTTCATCCTATGGGTAACCCTTGTGCCAGACCTGGAGATGAGCTGCTCAGATCTTCCTTAAACAAAGGCTCTCTGTCCAGCTGTGGGGAGTGAGGAGCTGATAGCCTTAACCTGGCAGCTCTTTCAGGGTCCCCTTAGCTGTTAAGTCATGGTCATGCTCTTCTTGGAGTGGCTCCCATCCAGTGACTGAGGGTACAAGGGCCTGACCATTTCTCTAACAGGCAATCTTTGCTGCCTTCTGAAATGGTGGTAGCTCTAAATTGTGCTCTAATGGCCCCTCCTGCCCAATCCTATCTCTTCTGCTTTTCTGGCAGAGGTGTTACTCCCTAATGAATCTTTTGCATTCTATCCGGGCATGCGCTTCTCGGAGAACCCAACCAACATGTACAGTATCTCATGTACACAGTCTTCTAAGGATTGACACTGAGGTTGCTTCTGGATTTTTGCAATTACAGATAGTGCTGGATACAAATCTTTGCAAATATACCTTGCACGCATGCATGAGAATATCTGGAGAATAAATTCCTAGGGTCTAATTGTGGGTCTATTTAAATTTTGCATAAAAATTTGATACATGTTTTCTAACCACCTGCTCCTCCCAAGAGGTTGCACCAGCTTACAGTCCCACCAATCAGGGAAGAGGGATTTTTTTTTTTTTTTTTTTTTTTTGGGACAGGGTCTGGTCCTGCCACCCAGGCTAGAATACAGTGGCGTGATCATGGCTCATGGCAACCTGGTCTTCCCCAGTTCAAGCAATCCTCCCGCCTCAGCCTCCCCAGTAGCTGGGATGATAGCCGCATGCCACCACACCCAGCTAATTTATATTTTACTTTTTGTAGAGACAGAGTCTCACTATGTTGCCTAGGTGGATCTTGAATTCCTGAGCTCAAGCGATCCTCCCACTTTAGCCTCCCAAAGCTCTGGGATGACAGGTGTGAGCCACCATGCCCTGCCTGAGAATTGTCTTCTCACACCCTTGTTAATAGAACTATTATCACATTTTAAAATGTTCTCAATTTTGTAGGTGAAAATATGTCATAGTAGTTTTAATTTGCTTTTATTTTATGATGAGTGAGGTTGATTGTATTTTCAACTCCTTAAAAATGATGACAAGCAAATGAAAACTATTTCATACTAAAACAAGCAGAGAAGATAAACATTTGCCATGGAATCTTGAGATAAAACACAATGCTTTAAAGAAATCCTCCGCTTGTAGAGGGCTACTTTGTGCTAAATTTCCATACATCTTTTGGCACAAATTCTCCTTCCTATTAAGAAAACTGTGATAGAAAAATTTGAGAAGTCCCGCATATTGATGTAAGATTTTCTTAAAGTACAGGAGGAAAGGTGTCTACCTGTATAAGGGATTTCCTGAGTACTGAATCTATTAGGTTTGGACATTAAGCATGTCATAATTTAATATGTATAATGAGTTAAAATGATTTTTTTCGGGAGTTGTTGTGAGTTGGCAATTAGAATGTTTTAATTCCTACCATTGGTTACACTCTGTCAGGCTCCATGAGATAAAGGTAATGGCAGAAATAATTACGTTTCCTGTTTTCCCAAATGAGTCTAAGGAGGAACCAGGGCAGGGAAGGCTAAGCTCCCATTTCAAATGTAACAGCTGTGAGTGCAAAGGACCAGTGGGGAATTTGTCCTGTCTGATGACAGGGGCAAGTTGAGGTGACATAGGAAAGGAATATCATAACATTCTGAGCTTTGGTCACAGACCAAGGCTATATCTATTAATTAATGGTCTATTTATTTTTATTTTTATTTATTTTTTTGAGACAGAGTCTCACTCTGTTACCCAGGCTGGAGTGCAGTGGCATGATCTCGGCTCACTGCAACCTCCCCCTCCTGGGTTCAAGCAATTCTCCTGGCTTAGCCTCGTGGGTAGGTGGGATTACAGGTGCACAACACCACGTCCGGCTAATTTTTGTATTTTTAGTGGAGACAGGGTTTTGCCATGTTGGCCAGGTTGGTCTCAAACTCCTGACCTCAAGTGATCCACCCGCCTTGGGCACCCACAGTGTTGGGATTACAGGTCTGTATCTATTCCATTTGGATGATGTTTTGAGACTCATTTTGCTTCTTTGTCTCCCTTAGGAGCAGGAGACTTGGTGAGGTATATTGATTAGACTAGAGGGTAGGCTGCTGTCACAAAGAAGCCCTAAAATGCAGTGCTTCAAAAATATGATTAGGACTTATGTTTTTCTCATGTTATAATCCAGGTGGGCCCAGGGTTGGATAGGTAGCTTGGTTCTGTGAACTCATCTAGGGACTTGGGTTCCTTCTGTCTTATTGCTTAGTCATCTCCTGGAGTTTGTTTTTATTCATGTGACTGAAGCTGACTCACCAGCATCACATGCATGTTCTGGCTCATTGGAAGGGTGAAAGAGAGGAAGTGGAGGACCAGCAGTTCCCTTTTTAGGAAAGTGATGAAGATACTGACACATCACTTGCACTCACATTCTGTTCATGAGAATTTAGTCACAAGGCCACATCCAGTTGCAAGGGAAGCTGAGAAGTGAGATCCCAGTAGGGTGACCACATGCCCTGTTAAAACTCCATGGGAGGGTATAAATGGAAGAAGAGAGGATAAATTTTGGAGGACAATTAGCCATCGATGCCACATGGACTCAGAGCCTGGCAGAATTATGATCCAAGAAAGGCAATAGGTCTACGTCTATCATTAGCCACATCCATTCCAAACCTCCTGAACTGGCACCACAAGTGGGCAAGATAGTGGCAGGGGAGAAGGTAGCACCACTTTCTTCTTTGATCCTTCAAATAGGCCAGAATCTGTTATCAAGGGTGCCCAGTTAACTAACTTGGAAGCCATTCAGTCATTCGACAGATAATTAATGGAGCATCTGCTATGTGTCTGGCATTGCCTAGGCACTGGGTGCAGGGATGTCCTTGTGGAGTTTCTAGGAGAGTGGAGGAGGTAGATGTTTAACAACAAAGAACTTTGCTAGATATATAATTACAAATTATGACAAATGCCATGAAGGAAAGAGTAGAGGATTCTGTGAAGAACTTGAGATATGGATTTCATTCATATTAGAGATAGAGGGAGGTCTTGGAGGGAGTATTTAAGCTGAGATCTAAAAGATGTGCTGGAATTGGCTGGTGGATGATGAAAGGGAAATAATGGTCTAGGTAGACTGTCTTAGTCCATTCAGGCTGCCGTAACAAAATGCCATAGGCTGGGTAGCTTATAAACAATAGAAACTTGGCCGGGCGCGGTGGCTCACGCCTGTAATCCCAGCACTTTGGGAGGCCGAGGCGGGCGGATCACGAGGTCAGGAGATCGAGACCATCCTGGCTAACACGGTGAAACCCCGTCTCTACTAAAAATACAAAAAATTAGCCGGGCGTGGTAGCGGGCGCCTGTAGTCCCAGCTACTCGGGAGGCTGAGGCAGGAGAATGGCGTGAACCCGGGAGGCGGAGCTTGCAGTGAGCCGAGATCGCGCCACTGCACTCCAGCCTGGGCGACAGAGCGAGACTCCGTCTCAAAAAAAAAAAAAAAAAACAATAGAAACTTACTGCTCACAGTTCTGGAGGCTGGGAATTCCAAGATCAAGGCATTGGCAAACTCGTATCTGGCAAGGGCCTGCTTCTTTTTTCACTGTATCTTCACATGGCAGAAGCAGCAAATGAGCTCTCTGGGTTCTCTTTTATAAGGTTACTAATCCCATTCATGAGGGCTCCACCCTCATGACCTGATCACCTACCAAAGATTTACCTTCTAATACCATTACCTTGGAGATTAGGATTTTGACATGAATTTTGGGACACAGACTATAACACAGAGGAATTAGAATAGTAAATGAGAAGAGAAAGAAATTGTGTGGCTGGAGAGAGAGGCAGCATAGTTTTTCTATAGACTTGTAGGCCTATATGTATCAGAGAGCTATTGTTGCATATCAAATTCCCCCAAAAGGTAGTGACTTAAAACAATAGTCCCTTATTACTTCATGATTTGGCAGGCTGGCAGTCTAGGCTAGACTCAGCTGGGAGGCGTTCTGGATCTAGGCTGAGCTCCCTTATGCATCTGGAGTCAGCTGTGGGTCAGCAGATGCCTCTGCTTCTGGGGTAGGCTGGTTGTTGGCTGGGGCACCTCAGCTCTCTTCCACATGGTCTCTCATCCTCCATTAGGCTAGCCCAGGCAGGATTGTTCACATGGTGGCAGGGTTCTAAGAGAAAGTTGCTGCATGCAAAGCCTCTTGAGACTCATGCTTAGAACTGTCACGCCATAATTTCTGCCACATCTATTGGCCAAAGCAAGTCCCATGGCCAGCCTAGATTCAAGGGGTGAGGAAATAGATTTTAACTCTTGATGGGAGGAGCTGCCAAGCCACATTGTAAAGGGGGCAAGATAGAGGGAGGGGTGAATTATCAAGGGCATTTTTGCAACCAGGTAGGAAATTTGTGTGGTTGGAAGTCACAGGAGATTTTTAAGCAGGGACCAGCAATAACAGGGCACATAGCCAAGGTCATTTGTGCTGCACTGTGATGGAAACTTTCAAGAGCTTGTGTCTTACCTTGCCGTTGTGGTTATGAGTTCTTAGGATGCAAAGTCTGCGATGTCCTTTCCCAAGGCTGGACACAGTGCCCATCTGCCAACTCAACTCCCTTGGTTGCAAACAAGAATTGAAAGCTCTGTTTTCAGCACCTCCAGGTTTGCCAGTGAGGTGTTGTTGAGGAGATTTCACACAGACAGCTTAACTTGTTTGGAGTTGTGAAGCTAATACCATCACCACAAGCTGAGCTGTGAAGAATCCCAGACTTGTCTAAATTATAATTTGTTTGTTGGGCCTTAAGGGGGTCTGAAAAGCCTGTTCCAAATTCTTTCTCTCCAACACAAAAGCATATTTACCCAAACTGGCATTTCCCCTTTTGAGCATGTTTTTTTTTCAATGATAGTGTTTTGCCAACTATGGTGTGCTGGTTGTTAAGCTATTGTCTCTCGATGAACCCATGAACCCATCCTTCTAGACTTTTCTCTGCAGTAGCCTCTCTGCTTTCTCTCTCTCTCTCTCTCTTTCTTTCTTTTTCTTTTTTTTGACAGAGTTTCGCTCTTTTTGCCCAGGCTGGAGTGCAATGGTGCGATCTTGGCTCACTGAAACCTCTGCCTCCCAGGTTCAAGTGATTCTCCTGCCTCAGCCTCCCAAGTAGCTGGGATTACAGGCATGCACCACCATGCCTGGCTAATTTTGTGTTTTTAGTAGGGACGAGGTTTCTCCATGTTGGTCAGGCTGGTCTCGAACTCCTGACCTCAGTTGATCCACCCGCCCTGGCCTCCCAAAGTGCTGGGATTACATGTGATAGTTTTTCTATAGCCTTGTAGGCCTATATGGATCAGATAGCTATTGCTGCATACTGAATTCCCTTAAAGGTAGTGGCTTAAAACAATAGTCACTTATTAGTTCATGATTTGGCAGGTTGGCAATTTAGGCTAGACTCAGCTGGGAGGCATTTGTGTGACCTAGGCTGAGCTTCCTCATCTGCAGTCAGCTGTGGGTCAGCAGATGCCCGTGTGATGTTGGGGTGGTGCTCTGTGGAGCACCTTTTCCCGTCACCAGCCAGATGCTCTGTCATGAGGGAGACTGGAAGGAAGGAAGAAGGGGAAGGGACACCCTCCTTTTTGTTTGCTTGCTTTTCCAGTAGCATCTCTTCAGCAGTGATTCTTTACCCTGGCAAGGGTCATTGATTACAGAGGAAATTGTTCCAGTTTCCAGTTTCTTTCCCTACACTGCTAGAATCAGCCTCAGGAGCTCCCTTAGAGACACCAGCATTGTCAGGGGCCAACCCTCTCCTCATAGGGTCCCAGCTCCTGGTGGTTCCAAACTTCTAGGTTCTAATAACCCCATGCTCTTCCCTTTATTCCTTCAGGACAGTAACTGCTTTATGTAGTTCTTATCTCCTTGTTAACTCAAGGGTTCCCTTTTTTACTTTTTTAGTTCTCCCATACCGTTTAAAAAATTCTGATAAAATAAACTCATGCAGTTTCTGTTGTGTTGCCCAAACCTTGGCTGTTATATATAGTATATAAGATTATTTTAAATGATACCCACTTGAGCACTCAAACAAAAATTTGAATGGGCATTTATTAGTATAATATATATTATGGAAAAATATAACGAATACACAAAACTCATTAGTTCTTGAATATTATTGCTTAAGATTAAAACAATAAATTAAGAATGGGTTAACTTAAAGAACAATATTATGCAAATAGGACGAGTGGAACACAAGCAAAATAGCTGTGGGTGTAGGCTAGCTGCTGGCTGGGGCACTTCAGCTCTCCTCCACGTGGTCTCTCATCCTCCATTAGGCTAGCTTTCGTAGGCTTGTTCACATTGTAGTAGAAAGCATATGCATGCCGGAGAAAGCATATGCATGCAAGAAATTTTGAGAGTACGCTAGTGAGGTATGTCTACCCTGCCCATTACTGTAATAAAATGACCTTTTAGAAGGAAAATCATCTTGATTCCAAAAAAGGATCCCGATAGAGAGATTAGAAAAGTCATAAATTCAGATTTCCTACGTTTCTTTACATTCCCAGGTCCATATATGATGTCACCAGGGTTCCCAACGTAGCAGCCAACCGTGGTCATTCCCCAGCACCTGAACTCTATCCTATAGCTGACTGTTTGCTGGGTTTGAAGGCTGAACTTTACATATTCAGATCAACCAACAGTTGAGAGGGTTGGCTGCCATTTTGAAAGTCATATATAGAAAGAGCTGCACAAAAGCAACCAGTGGAGTCTCCAAAGTTGGTGGCCCAGATATTTGTGTTTCATCATCATGGTGTTGCTGAGCTCTGAGTTGCTTTCTGGGTGGCAGTCTGGAGGTCAAATACCACACCTGGGAAGACTGTGTAGCGAGGTCGGAGAGGGAGTTGGGGAGGCTTGAGGAGCCACTCAAATATCTTACCTGTAGCTGACAAGGCACAACCCGTAATGACATCCTGTTCTCAGAACTCTAATGCTATCTTGTTTTTTGCTTTCGTGACAAGGAGTTGAGGTAGTTATTTTTGTTCCAAGCAACTCCAGATGGGTGAAAGTCAACCCACACAGTCTGGAAAGGATACTAATCCTTCAAATCAGAGACTTCACAAGAAGCACAGAGGTGGCCAGGCCTAATGAGGTTACCCCAGTGGAAACTGTGAACCCAAAATGTGACTTCTGGATTATGTGCAAATGAGTAGAAAAGTGCAGCCCACTAAGTGGGGACCTGGCATTAGACAGTTGTCTCTGGAAACACTTCAGCAAAGGCTAAGTGGGGAACGTGTCCCTCCATGACTGACACTCAGTGTCATAGCTTTAATTTTATTTCACTTCTGAGAGGAAAGTTGACATAGGTGAGCTACAGATGGAAAGGAAGGGGATATGAAGAACGATTTCTCTTTTACCTAAATGTGACAGCAAAAATTTTTCAATTTATACATTCAGTCCTTCACAGAGACTTCTTAATCTTCAGAGAGATTGTGATGTGCTGAAATTTTCTGGTTGAATGTTTTTCTTTAGGATTGGTGGTTCAGAGATAGAGGCAAAAGCAATTGAGAACCACAATTTTTCTAAGATAGCTAACAGTTCCACTTGAAATGATCAATATGATATAGAAAAAAATGGTTCTTTGGTTTCTGCATTGATTTTAATCTTTTTGGAATTTTTTTATACACAGTGTCTTAAAAAGGACCAGGTTTGCTATTTATTGATAGATCTTCCTGAATGTCTCATCACCAAAACTTTTTTTAAAACATTGTTTCCTTAATCACTAAAGTTTGCCAAGTGTAGGAATGAAGTGTATCAAGGCAACTTGCTTGTTCTTGATTTCTGAATTATTTTTGACTTGTTCCTTTTCTCTGCCTATATCCAATCACTTCCCAAGCCCCACACACTGGGGCCATTCACTCATTCATTCATTCAACAAATATTTATTGAGCACCCGATATGTGCAACCTTCTTCCTCAACCTGGAGATATTTATCCTCAAAATTTTCATTCAGTGCTTTTTATTGTGGACCCTTAGCATCTGGTGACATGAGGTATCTGCCATTGGCCCAGAAAGTGTTCTGACATCTTTGGCATCACAAGCATCACTTAGATTAGTTTATTGCCTCTCTTGTGTCTAGGCATAAGTATGATAATGATCAGGTTTGCATATATCCATCAATTTAAATAGAGAAATAAATATAACAGAGACAAGGCGCGGTGGCTCACGCCTGTAAGTGAGGTCAAGGTGGGTGGATCATCTGAGGTCAGGAGTTCGAGACCAGTCTGGCTAACATGGTGAAACCCCATCCCTACTAAAAATACAAAATTAGCCAGGTGTGGTGGCGCATGCCTGTAATCTCAGCTCCTTGGGAGGCTGAGGCAGGAGAATCACTTGAACCCGGGAGGTGGAGGTTGCAGTGAGCCAAGATCGCACCACTACACCCCAGCCTAGGAAAAAAGAGTGAAATTTCATCTCAAAAAATAAAATAAAATAAATATGACAGTAATCTCTGTTTATTAAACACATAATGTGCCAGGTACTATTGTGGTCACCCTGCAAAGACATGGACCCCACCACCCAAAATTTGTTTTAGATGTCAAGACTGATGATACACCACATGCACCAAGAGGGTAGGAAAAGGTTTATTGCTCATATAATGAAGCTTTCTGAGAGAGCAGGGCAGATTCCCAAGCAGGTCCAAAAATGGCTTCAGAAAACCAGGCAAGGAAACTCCCTTAGCATTTATGGTGGTTAGGGATGGGGATGGGGATGGGGATGCGATGGGGATGGGGATGAAATGTGGGTCTGGTGGGAGGGCTAGGGCTTGTTGGGTATGAATTTCCAGCTGGTGCCAGAGGAGAGAGCAGCAGGCTTTCTTAGCTTGCCCAGATGTGGGGCAGAGGGGGAGAGGGAGGGTGGAAGATGTTAGCAGTCCCATATCAAAAGTGGAGGCAGACTGTTTTTCCCTCTACAATTTTTTTTATTATGGTAAAATACACAACATAAAACTTACCATCTTAACCATTTTGAAGTGCACGGTTCAGTGGTATAAAATAAATTGATATTGTTGTGCAACCATCACCACCATCCATATCCACAAGTCTTCATCCTGTAAAATGAAAACTCTGTACCCATTAAACAATAATTTCCCCACTCTGTCTTTCTGCAGCTGCTGGGGACCACCATTCTACTTTCTGTCTCTCTAATTTTGACAACTCTATGGGCTTCCTTTAAGTAGAACCATACAGTATTTGTTTTTCTGTGACTGGCTTATTTTACTTAGCGTAATGTCCTACAAAATCATTCATGTTGTAGCGTATTGCAGAAATTCCTTTTTTTTTTTTTGATGGAGTCTTGCTCTTGTCACCCAGGCTGGAGTGCAATGGCACGATCTCAGGTCACTGCAACCTCTGCCTGCTGGGTTCAAGTGATTCTCCTGCCTCAGCCTCCTGAGTAGCTGGGATTACAGGCGCCCACGACCACACCCAGCTAATTTTTGTATTTTTAGTAGAGACAGGGTTTCACAACGTTGGCCAGGCTGGCCTCGAACTCCTGATCTCATGATCCGCCTGCCTCGGCCTTCCAAAGTGCTGGGATTACAGGCGTGAGCCACTGTGCCTGGCCTTCCTTCCTTTTTAAGGCTGAATAATATTCCCTTGTATGGATATACCACATGTTGCTTATCCATTTGTCTGTCAATGGATAAGCATTGGATTTTAACCATTGGGAATTATGCTGCTATGAACCTGGAGGGGTATATAAATATCTTTTCAATAATCTGCTTTCAATTCTTTTGGGTTATATACCCAGAGTCAAAATTGTTGGCAGGCCTTTCATTGCAATTCGCCCTTGATATTTGACTGATGACTAAAAATGTGCCATGTTTCAGTTAATTGAGTTTGAACTGGTTTAATTAAGCCATTATGGTTCTCTATGAGGCTTGTGTCCTGAGGCTGGTAAGGAAATTGAAAGTCCCATTGAATGACTCATTCCAGAGCCCAGCATTATGTCTGTTGAGAAGTGAAATGCGTGCTTTGTTCAGAACACAAAATGATATAAGAAGTGTCTTAGGGAGGCTTTGTACTGTGGTTTTTGTAGGTACAGAGACATGTGTGACCTTGATTTATATGTTGGATATCTATGAGGCAAGAGATTCGTGGAGTTCTGTACTCCAAAGGCAGAAACTCTGGGTAAGAAATTGTTGTTCCTGCCATTGGCAAGACTAGAAGGCCAGATGATTGGCAGTGGTCCATGAGTCTGTAAAGGTGTGTGGACGGGCTGATTATTAGCCAAGGCATCCTGGGCTAAGATTACTTCCTGAAGTTCCGCCAATTGTGTTAACCTTTGGATCCTCTCCTTTTTCAAGAATGTCCTGGTTAGGGATGGAATGCAGCAGCTTTCTAGCAAGCCCTATCACATTGAATGTGGTTAAGATCTCGCCCACAAAGATTGTGTGCAATGGCAAGGCTGTTGAGTGCTCCAGCAAAGGTATATTGTATCCCTCTGAAGGTGAAGACAAAGTGCAGCTAAGAGACTGTAAAAATAGGCATTGAACATAAGAGATTTAGCTAAATCTACGACTGCAGGGTATTTACAAGTTGCTGATTTGATGAAGTCAATAGTTTACTAATATTGGGTATGAGAACCTCAATGGGTAAGGCATTGTGACATTAAGATTACGGTATCAGCCAGGTGCAATGGTGCACACCTGTAATCCCAGCACTTTGGGAGGCCAAGGTGAAAGGATTGCTTGAGACCAAGAGTTTGAGACTCACCTGGGCAATATGGTGAGATCCTGTCCCTATAAAAAATAAAAAAAAAATTAGCTGGGTGTGGTGGTACACAGCTGTAGTCCCAGCTACTCTGTAGGCTGAGGCAGGAGGATTGCTTGAGTCCAGAAGTTTGAGGCTGCAGTGAGCTGTGATAGCGCCACTGCACTATAGTCACTCTGAGTGACAGACAGACCTTGTCTCAAAAAAAGAAAAGAAGACTTCAGTATCTATAGTGAGGCACTATTCTTTCCTTCCAAGGTAAAAGAGGTCAAATTGAGCTATTAAATGGAGAAGTAGTGGGAATAATCACTCCCTTTTCAAAACGGACCTTGCATAATGAGTTTCAATCTTAAATGCCTTGTTTTGATTTATATTAGATCTTATTAAATATTCTAACTAGGGTCAGGGACGTCTTAAATATTCTAACTAGGGTCAGGGAGGTCCAGGGGGTCACATTTTGTGTTAAGCCCATTGTAAGTGTCAAAAACCTAATTTAACTTTAAGTTATCACACTTTGGGTTAGAGCATCCCTGCCCACTATGAGATATTTTGGGGCCATGGGCATTTTAACTAGGCGGAGTTTAGGTAAGGCAATATGTCTGGTGGTTAAGGAGAGGCATACCTATTTGTCTTCCATTTATGTTCAGTAACTCTCCCAAGATTATAGGGGGTACCTTGTTTAAATTTAGTGGGATCCCAGGTATGACCATAATTTCAGCCCCCGTGTTGATGAAGGCCATTAAAATTTGCCAACGGGTACATCTCAGTAGATTTTGAAGTTAATTCACAATCTATGCTGCAGAGCTGTAAAGGCCAATCTTTTATCTTTTTGTTGTATACATTCTTTTGGTGCATCTTGGATTTCCAGTTGGGTCAAATTGAGGACTTCTGTTTCTGTTTTGTAGTTGTTGTTGTTGTTGTTTCCTCTGGCTCTGGCATCCGGGTGTTATTATTGTTATTGTTTTTTGATGGTTACTGGATATACTTCAGGGAGTGGGTGTTCTCTACCTTGCTTATATTTAGAAATTTCACCTCAAAGAGCCTGAAATTAATACAGTCCGAATTAGGGGCCTGCCTTTTAGAAATGGTTGCTTTATTGGGTTTAAGGACCCAGGGTTTAAGTTGTGTTTGAATTAACCCTTTGGCTATGTCACCAGGGTGCTAAGCGTATTTTTTTCCGTATAACTCTCAGGATTGAGAACTTTGTTGTGAGAAACACATAAGCAGCAGCGGCAGCAGCAAAACCATTCTGTAGGGTCCTAGTGAGTCACCTGTTTTTAGGAGTATGACTTCAGCATATACTTCCATGCAAGGACCACTCAATGGCATGCATATTGCATAGGGTATCCGTCTTTTCCCAAGCACTCTATAAAATGGGGACTAAAGTCCTGTTGAGACATACAACGAATGGTAACAGAGTAAGAGTCATTCCCCTGAGCCTAGTGGCAGTCATGGCTTATGCTGGAATTGAGACACACAAAGGAGTCCAGACACATGATCCAAGGTCACTTTAAGGAGGGCCCCAATCCCATGCTCCTGTTTCTAAATGCCAATTAGTGAAATTTCTGATTTAGGTTGGTTAAGTATATAACAGAGGCTTGAAAGCTCAGCAAATTCAGCAGAAAGCAGCTCAGCTCAAAGAGCAAGTCAGCCTGCCGGCAGCGGCACAACTCAAAGCGCATGCAAGCCAGCAGGCAGCAGGGCCTGTTCACAAGTCAAAGCCAAAGAAGAATGACCCCCGGTGGTGGTGGTCATTGCCTAGGCATACTGCTCACAGAGTTGTGGTCACCCTGCAAAAGTGGGATGGACTCTGTCACTCCAGATTTGTTCATATGACACACACACACACACACACACACACACACACACACACACTATGACAAGGTTTATTACTCACGTAATAAGCAAGGCAGGCTTCCCTAGTAGGTCCAAAATGGCTTGAGAAAGCAAAGAATGGAGGTTGGCTTGGGTTTGATGGTAGCTGGGGGATAGGGTTGGGTTGTGGGTTTCTGCCTACAAGTCAGGCTTGTATAGTGTTGAACTTCTTGGCATCACCAAAGGAGATAACACCCAGGTTCTGTTATTGGTCTGTTCAGATGTGAGGCAGAAGAGGAAGAGGAAAGGTTGGGACTTGAAAGCTATCAGCAGTCAGATATCAAAAATGGAGCGAGATTATTGCAGATATATTATTTCCTTTAATACCTAGTTACAGATTGGAAAATAGGCTTAAATAGGCCACATGGCTATTAAAAAAATCAAATAGTGGAACTAGAGTCAAACTCTGGCCCATCTGACTTCCAAACCTATTCACTTTTTTTCCTTTTTCGGTAAACATGGGGTCTCGCCCTGTTGCCCAGGCTGATCTCAAACTCCGGGCTTCAACTGATCTACCTGCCTTGGACCCCGGAAGTGCTGGGATTAAAAAGAGCCACTACACCTGGCTCAAACCAATTCACTCAACCGCTAGGCTACATTGCCTCAGGAAGAAAATAAAGGGTCTAAGCTCTAACAATCCAGGCTCTACAGATATCATGAAGGAAACATCATTTATCAGTGAAAATAAGGAGTTGGTCAATGTTAGAGTATAAAACAGAGAAGAATAGGGAATGTGGGCCAATTTGGGCTTGAAATGTATGTTGACTAGAGATCTCTGTCCCTTGGTATGGTTGGTCAGAGCAATTCATTATAACTCTATTTGATTATCCCCACTTAAAGTTGCTGTCCCAGTAGTCCGTACAAGCATTGGTGGACTTGCTGGATGCAGTGGCTCATGACTGTAATCCCAGCTCTTTGGGAGGCTGAGGCAGGCAGATCGCTTGAGCCCAGGAGTTTTGAGACCAACCGGACAAACATGGCAAAACTCTGTTTCTACAAGAAAGTAAAAAATTAGCCAGGTGAGGCAGAGTGCACCTATGGTCCCAGCTACTCAGGAGGCTAAGGTGGGAGGATCAACCAAGCCTGGAGAGGTGGAGGCTGCAGTGAGCTGAGATTATACCACTGCACTCCAGCCTGGGTGACAGAGCAAGACTCTGTCTAAAAAAAAAAAAAAAAAAAAAAAAAGCATCGGTGGGCTGGAGTCTAGTATCAATATTAATTGCAGAGTTTCTTAACCTAGAGTAGGGGAAGAGAAAGAAGGGGTCAGAGAAGGGGCATATAGATGAGTATCAAGAGTTCTGTGCATCAGGCCGGGCACAGTGGTTTATGCCTGTAATCCCAGAACTTTGGGAGGCTGAGGTGGATGGATCACGAGGTCAGGAGTTCGAGACCAGCCTGGCCAACATGGTGAAACCCCGTGTCTACTAAAAATACAAAAATTAGCTGGGCGTGGTGGTGCATGCCTGTAATCCCAGCTACTTAGGATGTTGAGGGAGGAGAATCATTTGAACCTGGGTGGCGGAGGTTGCAGTGAGCTGAGATCGTGCCACTGCACTCCAGCCTGGGCGACAGGGTGACACTCCATCTCAGAAGAGTTCTGTGAATCAGATACGCGCGCACACACACACACGCGCGCACATAGCTTTTCTTCCAGTTTTCTTTCTGTTACTTTGAAAGTCATCTTTGAAAAAAATTTGGTGTCAAATTATATGATTATGATATTGTTCCATTTCAAACAGTTGTGGAATGGTAATATACAAAGTTTATGGTTATGGTTGTGTCAATGCCTATATTAATTTCTCACTGATAAAAATTAAAGAAGATATGCCTTGCCTTAATACTCAAGGGAATCTGTCTTTGTTCATATCAAGTTTAGCTGAATTGGGAAGTATGAAGAGATAAAAGCATGACGCAACTGACGTATCCCTTGGTTTCGCTTTCCTCATTGAACATTATGGGACACTAAAGCCACAATGGTTCTGTGAATGCAAATCGCTCATCAATGGGTGCATAAAACAAACAAAACCAAAGAAGCAACTTCCATCTCAGCATCTTTCAGTGTGGGTGTGTTTCCTGAGACAAACCTTAAATTTGGAAAGGCTGGAACTCCACCTGATCTTACGTTTGCCCCAGCCCCAATGCCATATCTAGAAACATTCTACAACATTGTCACTCACATTGCCAAAAATGCAGAGTATCTGTACAACTGGGGATATCTTGAGGAAGACCAGTACCTTAGCAGTGATCAAGCTGGTTTATGACTTGGAGCAGAGAAATCAATAAAGTAGTGCCTCTCTCAGATAACCTCACCTACTCCAAAAGATGAACACTTATTTCTTTTTTTTTTTTTTGAGACGGAGTCTCACTCTGTTGCCCAGGCTGGAGTGCAGTGGCGCGATCTCGGCTCACTGCAAGCTCCGCCTCCCGGGTTCACGCCATTCTCCTGCCCCAGGCTCCCGAGTAGCTGTGACTACAGGCGCCTGCCACCACGCCCTGCTAATTTTTTTTTTTTTTTTTTTTTTGCATTTTTAGTAGAGACGGGGTTTCGCTGTGTTAGCCAGGATGGTCTCGATCTTCTGACCTCGTGATCCGCCCGTCTCGGCCTCCCAAAGTGCTGGGATTACAGGCGTGAGCCACCGCGCCCGGCCGATGAACACTTATTTCTTCGGGATATTTTAAAGCAAGAATTGTAGCGATTTCTCCTTCCTTCAGCTTGCAACTGCGTGCAACTGTCGACGCCTTTCAGTGCGGAGGTAGTACTCTTTATGTACTCTTCATCCACTATGTGCATTCTGACACCTTCAGAAGAAACATTTTCTTTTGGTGAGTCCCGTTGGAAACATCATGCCTGAAAAGTTTATTTTCTTCAGACACAACTTTAACTGGGAAAAATGTCTGGGTATGGATGACAGCATCTGGCATGCCTTACAACACATATGGCTTCCTTGTTTTAATGGAGACGCTGCGTGCTTCATTACTTTCTACACTGGCATGGGGACTCGGCCAAAATCCTGAAGGGAGCCTTGTCTCGTGCCCTAAAAGCTGGCCTTTTGAGGAGTTTTTGCTACCGAATGGATGCAGAATATCGTGTTCTTCCTGTTTACATACAAGTATGCTGCCTTTCCAGGAAACAATTCCCCCAAGCTCTTGATTGAACCTGGGGCAGAATTTTCACCTTTATGAGAGTATGAAAAGCTCCTTTGCAGTTCCCCACCCTGTGTCCAAGTGTTCTCATTGTTCAGTTCCCACCTATGAATGAGAACATGCAGTGTTTGGTTTTCTGTCCTTGCGATAGTTTGCTCAGAATGATGGTTTCCAGCTTCATCCATGTCCCTACAAAGGACATGAACTTTTTTTTTTTTTTTATGGCTGCATAGGGAAGGGGCAGGGATAGTATTAGGAGGAATACCTAATGTAAATTACTAGTTAATGGATGCAGCACACCAACATGGCACATGTATACATATGTAACAAACCTGCATGTTGTGCACATGTACCCTAGAACTTAAAGTATAATAATAATAATAAGAAGAAGAAGAAGAAGAAGAAGAAGAAGAAGAAGAAGAAGAAGAAGAAGAAGAAAAGCTCCTTTGCAGAACAATTTGGCAGGAAATTCTTTTACCACTGGACTTACTTGGAAGAAATTATTGTTCACCAGAATGAAGCCAATATTTCCATGCAAGGTCCTTCAGTTACTATTATGGTCAGTGCAGAAAAATCGTGAGCTTTTTTTGGCAAAAATGTTAACCTGCAGTGGTTAAGTCTCTGCTCTGAACTGCTGTGTGAACCAAAATCTTACCCTGCAGGGGGATAACTCTGCAAACTTCTCAAGGCTGAATGAAAGCGATTCTGCAGATTGGAGCCAAAAATGACAGCCTTATAAATTTCATGGCGCACCAAATCTGAAAACACCTTGAAACACTGATGAAGTCACTTGAAGGTTACTTACACTCAGATCATCTTCAAATTTAATGATAGATTCATAAACTCTTCCCTCGTTGACCCAGCCTCATTAACTTAAGGACAAAAGAAAACAGGCGACATGAATTTAATTTACCAAGTCTTGGAGGATTTGGTGTTTATTGACATAGCCCCACTCTAACTTGGCAAAGCAAGCAATGGGAATGTTAATTTTGTCTTTTCCTGTGCATTTTGGGGGTTCAGGGTTTTTGACCCTTAGTGCCATTTAACGGAAAATTTAAAATTGATTTGGGATTGATATCAAAGACTACTTCACAAAGCCAACTTTTGATTCAAGCCAAGAAATTATAGTATTTTCATTAAAATGTGATTTTGAGAAGAAGAAAATTTTAAACATTTGTTTTATTTGCAATTTTGGATTGACCCCCTTTACCATTTAAATAGGCCTTAACTCTTAGAATAAGTTATAAAATAATTAGATCAGGAGTTTTTTTTTTTTTTTAAGACAGCTTTTAACTTATATTGATATACAAGACATACATTTCAAATGTAAAACAAATTAAATGCAAAAGTTTTGGTGTGTGTATTTTTGTGTGTTTTTCTGAGAAGGAGGAGCATAGCTTTCTTCAGGTTTTCAAAGAAACCTCGGATGCTCATACCGGAAAGAACTGTAGCATATGGCCAGGTTGGCTACTCTGACTTCGGTTCTACTGGTTCCAATTACTCCCAATCATAGGTTTAGGCTGTTGAGTTCTCGTCAGGCTGTTACACCTCAGCCAACTCCCCTTTTGAAAACAAAAACCCAGGAAGGTTAATCAGTCCAGTCCCTGGTCCTTAAGTTAATCAGTACAGCATTGAAGTTATGCATGAATTTCCCAAAGGTAAACAGATTTCTATTTAAATGTTATTGCTCTCATTAGCATCAGCAGTTTTCATTATAAATGTGCTGAGATGTTCTTTTCTAATCTAGTTTATAAATTATGCTTATTACTTTCAGATGTTGAAAAGAAATCATTTTTTTTTTTTTTTTGGTTCCCAGTGTCCTTTTCCCTCACGCTTTTATTTACTCTGCTCCCTCGTGATGAGCAGTATTTCTATTACAGCCTTCACTACCTTTCTCAATGGCCTATTTCCCCCGAGTTCCTCTGATTCCCTGCTATTATAAATCCTCCTTTTTCTCCTTCTACTCTGAGTGTTCTTTCTTTGACTCACACTAATAATTGTAGTTACACATTTATTTTATTGTTACCTTCCATCTATGGCAAGAAATGCTGGTTTTCAATTACATTGGCTATATCATGTGTCCTATTTAGAAATGCATTTAAATTAAAAAGTGAGTTGATTTAAAGCAGGGATCAACAAACTTTTTCTGTAGAGGACTGAATGGTAAATAATTTTGGCAAAAAATTCAACAGATAATTACAGGGAACAGATAATGACAGTGGGTGTGAGAGTGACCTCAGAGTGCCAACAGATATGTGTGTGTGTGTGTGTGTGTGTGTGTGTGTGTGTGTGTGTGTGCAGGACCAAGGGAGCTGTGTTGGCCCTGAAAAAACTTGCCCTTTTCTATCCACTCTAGATTATCCACCAATACATTATGATACACTTTATGTTAGCCTTTGCCATTTTACAGATGAGGAAACAGGCTAAAGGGCTGGGCAGGGTGGCTTGTATCTGTAATCCCAGCTATTTCGGAGGCCAAGGTGAGCAGATCACTTGAGGTCAGGAATTTGAGACCAGACTGGCCAACATGGCGAAACCCCATCTCTACCAAGAAACAAAAATTAGCTGGACGTGGTGGTGCATGCCTGTAATCCTGCTGCTTTGGAGGCTGAGGCACAAGAATCGCTTGAACCTGGAGGTTGCAGTGAGCAGAGATCACGCCACTGCACTCTAGACTGGGCGACAGAGTGAGACACAGTCTCAAAAAAAAAAAAAAGGGCTAAAGTATTGCTGAAGGTCACAGAACTAGTAGGTGGAAGAAGTGAGATTTGAGCCAGATACTCTGACCCCAAGACCCATGTGCTTCACCAATGTGCTTCCCTTGCCCCAATTATGTTGACTAAGGAATTGACTCTTCCCCTTAGGAGGTCTCAGTATAACAGAAACCAGTTCAGTCTTTAGAAAGTTGTCAACCTATGGACATGTGCTTGGCATCCTCCCTCTTACAATTTCCCTGCAAAGGTGAGCAATGCAAGCCCCGTACATGGAAGAGCTTGGCCTCTTCCCTTGTATCAGGGAATGGACTGAGAGCCTGCTTGCCGATAGTCAACTCCAGGTGTCTGTGCAGATGGGCAGGCAACTTATTTGTCCATTGTCTGCTATTGCTGTAATGATAAGGGATGTCTGCTTATGGGACAAAGCAACCACAATAATATCAACAAATAATAACAATTACGCCACACTTGTATGATTCACCAGATGTCAGACACTCTCCTAAGCACTTTGCATGTGTTGCATGTATAATCAATCCTCATTTGACACCCTCTGATGTCAATTGACACCCTCTGAGCTGGGGTATTAATGTCCCAGGGCTACTGTAACAAATGACCACAAACTGTGTGGCTTAAGACCACAGAAATCTATTCTTTCATAATTCTGGAAGCTAGAAGTCTAAGGTCAAGGTGTTGGCAGGACCATATTTCCCTCCAAAGCCTTAAGGGAAGAATCTTTCCTTGCATATTCCAGATTCTCGTGGTTACTGGCATTCCCTGGCTTGCAGATGAATCTCTCCATTCTCTGCTGTGGCCTCATGTGGCCTTCCTGATGTATCTGTCTCTGCGTCTCCAAATCTCTTCTTCCTCATAGGGACACCAGTCATTAGATTTAGGGGTCTCCCTAATTCTGCATGACCTATTCTTCACTTGATTACATCTGCAAAGACTCTATTTCCAAATAAGGTCACATTCACAGGTACCACGGGTTGAGACTTTAACATATCTTTTTTTTTTGGGGGGGGTACAATTTAACCCACAACATGTGGGTACTGTTATTATTTCCATTTTACAAATGGGAACTCAAAGGGACTGAGAGGTTAGGAATTTGTCCAAGGTCACACAGCTTTATCAGCAGACTCAGGATTTAAACTCAGGTATTCTGGAAGTCTCTGCTCTTAACCACTGTGTGAACAACTGCTTTGCCTGCAGAACTGCCTGGCCCTCCCAAAGCACCTGGCATTGACAAACGCCAATTGAATTAGCTGAACGTGAATGTCTAACGCATGTGTGGCCATGTCAGTGGTGGCTCCCAGGAGCCTGAGGACAGGTGAGGGACTTGGCAGAGCGTGAGGATTCTCATTCGTCTGAACAGGGAACCGGTCTCTCCGTGCGGCTGGGTGGGCACATGACCAACTCCGGCTGCCACCTGGGTAATTGGTTTCCTGTGTTCCCTTCAATAATGAACAATATTAAAGGAGGCTGGAGATGCAATGGAGATAGAAGCATTGTGGAAGAAACAAAGAGATTTTAATGTGTTGAGTCTTGGGTCCAGGGAAGATGAGGGACATGATAATCGAGTATTAAAACAGAAAAGATTATGCAGCGGGCCTGGCACCATTCATCATCACTCCCATCCTCGGCTGGCGGGAGAACTGGGCGTCTGACGAGACTCCGGCATTATCTCCGCAGTTTATTTACATCTCAAATCAGGTTGCACTCACAGGAGAGAGGAATTCCAAGGATGAAATGTAACTACATGATATATTTCCTACAGAAAGTGCAAACACAATACAGACTATCTGGTTAAATAT
The DNA here is from genome assembly GCF_000001405.40 of Homo sapiens. NCBI lineage: Eukaryota > Metazoa > Chordata > Mammalia > Primates > Hominidae > Homo > Homo sapiens. The sequence continues at coordinate 22,624,757 of NC_000016.10, forward strand.
ATCAACCCAAAACGACCCAGCTGCCAAATGCTTGAGTTTGCATTTTATATTTCTTGCTGTGAGACCATTATATACCCTCTGAGACCACCTGCCTCTTCTGTCTTCTATTTTTCGGACTGCTTCCCCACCACCTTTTCTTCTACCCCACTCCTTAAACTTCCTTCTCTCTTCACATCTGTCTAGACAACTTCACCTTCTTCATGGCTTTAAATGCTGGCTGTGTGCTGATGGCTTCCAAGTTGTACCTTCCTAGGCACACAGCTCTTTTTTTCCTTTCTCAGTTATTTAAAATCTTTTTGAATGGGCACTGCATTTTCATAGTTAAAAATCCAGATAGTATAAACAGTTAGTAAAAATTCTCTCTCTTCGTTGTCTTGTATATGCCTAGTTTCTGTCCTCATGAGAGATTATTGCACTTAATTTTGCGTTTCTTTCCTTTCCTTTCCCCCAGCCCCTTTCATTTCCTTTCTTAACAAAGTCTTGCTCTGTCACCCAGGCTAGAATGCAGTGGTGCAGTCATAGCTCACTGCAGCCTCCAAATCCCGGGCTCAAGTGATCGTCCTGCCTCAGCTTGCCAAAGTGCTAGCATTATGGGTGAGAGCCACCACGCCTGGCACTCTTGGTTTCTTATGACTCATTCCAGAAGTTCTTTACACGTATGCAAAAAGATTGATATATAAATTGTAATTTTTCCTCATTTTCCTTCAAATGTATCATATTACACACAAATTCTACACTTTGCTTTTTTCACTTTAGATCTTTCTGTGATAGCATATAGAGAATATCTTCGTTCTTCTTTTTCTTCTTAAAATTTGTAATTGCACAATGTTCTATTGTCTGGATGTCCCATCATTTACTTAACCAGTTTCCTATTGATAGGCATGTGAGCTGTTTCCAGTTGCTTGTCATGTTGGATAATTTTATGTGTCACCTTGACTGGGCCACAGGCTGCCCAGATGTTTGGTTATATTATTTCTGGGTGTGTTTGACATGAGGGTGTTTCTGGATGAGATTAACATTTGAATTGATCGACTGAATCAATCAAGCAAACTGTCTTCTACTGTGGGTGCCCCTCATCAAATCTATTGAAGGCCTGAATAAAATAAAAGGCTAAGTAAGGCTCTTTCTCTGCCTGTCTTTGAGCTGAGACATCAGTCTTATTTTGCCTTCAGACATGGACTTGGATAGAACTTACTGCATCGGTTCTCTTGGGTCTGGACTTCTCAGCTTCCATAATTGTGTGAGCCATTTCCTTATATTCTCTTTCTCTCTGTCCCTTTCTCTCTCTCCTCTTCAAACACACACTCACATATATATGCATGTACTTATACATACACATTTGTATTAGTCAGGGTTCTCTAGAGAAACAGAACCAACAGGGTGTGTGTGTGTGTGTGTGTGTGTGTGTGTCCTGTTGGTCTGTTTCTCTCGAGGACCCTGACTAATACACTTGCATTACAAATGATGTTGTAATGAGTAATTTCGTGCAAATACAATTCACAGTTGTGCATGTATATCCTTAGGATAAATTCTCCAAAGTGGAATTTTTGGAATAAAGGATATGTACATTCATAATTTCACTGGAGTGCCAAATTGCTCTTCAGAGTGATTATATGAAATTAAATCCTCACCAGCAATGTAGAAGCATTCCTGTTTCCCCACAGCCCTTATCAACAAAATGTGTTACCAAACGTTTGGGTTTTTTCCAATTTGATAGGTGAGAAATGTTATCCAGGTAGTCAATTTGCATTTCTTATATTATGAGTGAGGTTGAACATCTTTTTCTATATTTAAGAGCTGTTTTTGTCCTTTTCTGTGAACTGAGTGATCATATTCTTTGTCCCTTTTTTGATGTGGGTTTTTCTCTAGGGCCAAGCTCTAGATTTGAACATCTGACACTCTACTTGGATATCCTAGATGTGCCTCAAATTTACCATAGCCCCAAAGAGAACAAATCATCGCCTCTTTCCTTGCCTTAGCCCAGGACCTTCTTGTATTTTCCTAGCTTGGGTAATGAGACCCAGCCCAGAAATTTCCAAGCTATTCTAGATTCTTCTCTTTTTCATTTGGTCAAGCAGCACTATAAAAATACCTGATCTAGTTCCTTGACAGGGAGAGGTAATCTGGGTGTAAGTTTGTTTTGCAACTATAGATGAGAGGCAACAGTGAAGAAGAAAGTACCCCTGCCTCTGAGCCACAGGATGTTATGAGAAAAACCTGGTACTGTATGAAAAAATGTCCCCCCAAACTGGGAAGGAGCCAAGAGACCAAAGAATGACTCGGACCAGTCCAGCTTGATGAGTAGATGAGTTTATTGGGACTTACATACAGGGTACTCCTGGGTGGCGGCAAGACAGCTCCAGAGACCCACCCGCCTCCTGTCTGTAAGCTGCTATTAAGCTACCTGTTTTGGCTCTTTACCTATTGCATACAATGAGACTTTCTCTTGGTATAATCCCAGATATGCTGTGGGATGTTTGGGTTGTCAGGGACACCTGCTCGTTGGCTGGGTGCTATGACCTTGGCCCACTGCCCAGCCTTTAGGGTTCCACCAGCAGACACACACCGTTAAGTAATCTCACGAGGATCAATCACTGTATACTTACAAAGAACAAGAAGCCCATGAAACTTGGGCATTACTACTCCAAAGAGGCTGGCTCACCTAAAGAGGGTGGATGCATGGACTTGTGAAGAATACTCTCCATCTTACACCAACAAGATGAGCTCCAGACAGGTAGAGCTAGTCCCAGTATAGAAGGTTAGCCAAATTCAGAGGGGGGTGAGAGAGAGAGGAGAGAGAGAGAGAGAGCGAGCCGGTGGGGGGGTGGTGGGGTGGGGAGGGGGTTGCGGGGAGAGAGAGAGAGAGAGACAGAGAGACTTTAAGAAAGATTGTGTCTGAGTGTGGTGGCTCACACCTGCAATCCCAGGAGGCCAAGGTGGGCGGATCACTTGAATCACTTGAGTCCAGGAGTTCAAGACCAGCCTGGACCACAAAGTGAGACCCCATCTCTACAAAAAGATAAAAAATTACCTGAGCATGATGCTGTGCTCCTGTAGTCCCAGCCACCCCAGAGGCTGAGTTGGGATGATTGCTTGAGCCCAGGAGGTTGGGGCTGCAGTGAGCTATGATCATGCCACTACCATTGCACGCTGGCCTGGGTGACAGTGAGACGCTGTCTCAAAAAAAAAAAAAAAAAAAGAAAGAATGATTGTGTCTTTCTCACCTTTAAGTCCTTACGTTCCTTCAATGCTGGATTATGGGATGGGCCAGCCAGGCCGCTGCATGCAATGTTCGCTTATAAAGGACATTAAAATATGTCTATGATGCTAAAAAGTTCCGGAAATGTGATGAGAGGAGAACATTTTACCCATGGGAACACTCTGGGAGACTACCAAATGCAGCTGGAAAGAATCCAACTCTCACATCTTTGGGACAGGGAATGGGAACCTCTCCTTTCTTTGCAGAAGGGGGTATGATCTTAGTAGAATCACAGGTGGCTGCTAATTGGCCTTGTAAGGGGCCTTATTGATTTTGGGGCTTTGGTTTTGCTGACTGGGGCATGCAGTCGGATCAGAGAGGAATTGCTGAGGATGCATAGGAGAGGCTGTGCATTGTCAACACACACCCATCGTCTCTCCCTTTCCCCTGATAGGCCCAGTGTCTTCCTAAATACATGTTGAAAAAAATACTTAGACCTTAGAAGTTTGAAGGTCTTCACCTTATTACCCCTCATCAGGCTCTGGTCCTGTGTCTCTTTCTTTCTTCAAAGTTGGGGAATTAGAGGCCTGCTTTGTGCTGCTACAGGTCAACCAAAGGGGGTCTGGGTCTATTGCCATAGTTATTTCTCAATGCACCCTTTTCTAGGATGTCTAACAGGTAAGGAGATATCCAAGGGAAAGCGAGTGGTGGGGCAAAGACTTCTTAGAGCAGGACAACAGTACACCCTTAGGGAGAAGGAGAAGAAAATTAGAGGAGGAAGGTATAATCTCTGGCTGGGCCTCCTCATTTTGGGAATCATCATGATCTTGACTGATTTGTCCAGGATTCTGAGAAAAGGAGCCTGTGTGTTGTTGTTACAGGATACAAGTCATGGCCCATTGTTATGGACAGAACTGTGTCCTTCCTAAATTTATATGTTGAAGCCTTAACCCCCAGTTTGACTGTATTTGGATATAGGTCATTTAGGGAGGTAATTAAGGTTAAACGAGGTCATAAGGGTGGGGCCCTAATCTAATAGGACTGATGTCCTTAGAAGAAGAAGCATAGATACTAGAGAGCACCTCTTCCCCTCCCTCTTTGTGTAAGCACAGAGAAAAGACAATGTGAGGATACAGTGGGAAGTCAGCTGTCTGCAAACCAGGAAGAAAGGGCTCACTAGAAACCAACCCTGAGCTGGGCATGGTGGTTCATGCCTGTAATCCCAGCACTTTGGGAGGCCAAGGTGGGAGGGCCACTTGGGCTCAGGAGTTCGAGACCAGCCTGGGCAACATAGCGAGATCCTATCTCTTAATAAATAAATCAGTCAATCTTGTATGTATGTATTTATGAAATTATAGAAACCAACCCTGGCACCTTGATCATGGACTTTTAACCTCCAGAAGGTGAGAAAATAAATGTCTGTTTTTGTTTTTTGTTTTTTGTTTTTTTTTCTGAGACAGAGTCTCGCTCTGTCACCCAGGCTGGGGTACAGTGGTGCGATCTTGGCTAACTGCAACCTCCACCTCCCGAGTTTAAGTGATTCTCCTACCTCAGCCTCCTGAGTAGCTGGGACTACAGGCATACGCCACCACGCCTGGCTAATTTTTTTTTGTATTTTTAGTAGAGATGGGGTTTCACCATGTTGGCTAGGCTGGTCTTGAACTCCTGACCTCAAATGATCCACCCAGCTTAGCCTCCCAAAGTGCTGAGATTACAGGCGTGAGCCACTGCACCTGGCTAACAAATGTCTGTTTTTAAAGCCACGCAGTCTGTACTATTTTCTTTTAGCAGCCTAAGCAGACTAATACACCCACATCTTTGTTTCAAATTCATTTTAATTACATATGTAAGAGATGCTTTCATTCTCCCTGTAAAAAAAAAAAAAAAAAAAATTAAACATGAGAGGCTTCACACCTCTCCTCTTGGTTCTCCAGACCAGGAGTTGGAAAACTACTGCAGGCCCAATCTGGCTCGCTGTCTTTATTGAAATAAAGTTTTATTAAAACACAGCTCATTCATTTGTATATTATCTGTGGCTGCATTCACACTCCAAAGGAATTGCTGATTAGTCATGACAGAGCCCCTAAGGCCTGCAGAGCCTAAAATATTTACTATCTGGCTTTTTACAAAAGAGGTTTACCAACCACTCTCCTAGATAATCTCGAGAAACAAGCACTGTTGCCAGTTTGATGTGAATTGTTTCAGCTTATAAAGCTCTGTATTGATGTATGTGTGTGACATTAATGTATTATATATTTTTGCACATTTTTCTTTTACTTGTTGTCTAGTTGACAAATAAAAATTGTAAATGTTGACCATGTGTGGTGGCTCACGCCTGTAGTCCCAGCACTTTACGAGGCCAAGGTGGGAGGACAGCTTGAGTTCAGGAGTTTCAGACCAGCCTGGGCAACATGGTGAGACCTTGTCTCTACAAAAAATACAAAAAGTAGCTGGGCATGGTGGCATGTGCCTGTGGTGCCAGCTACTCAGGAGGCTGAGTCTGGAGAATCGCTTAAGCCCAGGAGTTCAAAGCTGCAGTGAGTGATGATTGTGCCACTGCACTCTAGCCTGGGCGACAGAGAGAGACCTTGTCACAGAAAAAAAATTGTATGTTTATGGTGTACAGTGTGATGTTTTGATATATGTATACATTGTGGGATGGCTAAATCAACCTAATTAACATATTTACCACCTCACAGACTTATTTTTTTTTGTTGTGAGAACATTTAAAATCTATTCTTAGCCTGGGCGTGGTGGCTTACACCTGTAATCCCAGCACTTTGGGAGGCCAAGGCAGGCAGATCACCTGAGGTCAGGAGATAGAGACCATCCTGGCTAACATGGTGAAACCCCATTTCTACTAAAAATACAAAAAATTAGCAGGGTGTCGTGGTGCACCTGTAGTCCCAGCTACTCAGGAGGCTGAGGCAGAAGAATCACTTGAACCAAGGAGGCTGAGGTTGCAGTGAGCCGAGATCACACCACTGCACTCCAGCCTGGGCAACAGAGTGAGACTCTGTCTCAAAAAAAAAAATCTACTCTTAGCAATTTTCAAGTATACAATACATTATTATTATTATTATTATTAATTATTATTATTATTACTTTGGACAGAGTCTTGCTCTGTTGCCCAGGCTGGAGTGCAGTGGTACCATCTCAGCTCACTGCAACCTCCCCCTCCCCAGTTCAAGTGATTCTCATGTCTCAGCCTCCCAAGTAGCTGGGATTACAGGCGCACGCCACTATACCAGGCTAAGTTTTGTATTTTTTGTAGAGATGAGGTTTCACCATGTTGGCCAGGCTGCTCTCGAACTCCTGAACTCAAGCTATCTGCCCACCTCGGCCTCCTAAAGGGCTAGGATTACAGCCGTGAGTCACTACACCTTGCTTACAATACGTTATTATTAACTATAGTCACCATGCTATGCAATGGATCTCCTGAACTTATTCCTAACTGAAGCTTTGTACCCTTTGACCTACATCTGCCCATCGCTTTCCCCTCCCCTTGCCCCTGACAATCACCATTCTCGATTTTTCTTACGCAATAGTAAATCTTGGAGATTTGTCCATGTTAGTAGACATACATCTACCTCGTGGTTTTAACTCCTGCATAATATTCAAAGTATGAACGTGCCACAGTTTATTCTGTAACTCCACTAATGGACATTTTGGTTATTTCTACTGTGTTTTCCTCTATAATAAGCAGTACTACAACAAATATCCTTCTATATACCTCCTTATGCACATGTGTGAGTGATTCTCTATGGTTGATACCAAGACTGAAATTTCTGGGCCATGAGGCAGGCCCATGTTAAAATTAAGTTCTCCTTTTTGAATAGGTCACACATTTAGTTAATTCAAAAATAAAAAATGATATGCAAGATATATGTCACAAAGTCTTTCCCCCATCTTTTTCCTAATCTATTTTCCCTTCTCTCACCCCTGTAGATATTAATTTGTTGTGTATACCTCCACAGTTCCTTTATGAAAACAAAGCAAAGAAGAACATGTATTCCTATTTTCTCTTCTTTCTTACACAAAAGATACCATACTATATATATATATATATATATATATATATATATATTCTTCTTTATTTCACTTTTTTTCACTTGATAATATATCTTGGAGCTCTTCCCATAACCATAAATCTTCTATAACTATAGAGAGTGTATACTCATGCTATTTTTTTTTTTTTTTTTTGGAGACAGAGTCTTGCTCTGTGGCCCAGGCTGGAGTGCAGTGGCACAATCTCAGCTCACTGCAACCTCTGCCTCCTGGGTTCAAGTGATTCTATTGCCTCAGCCTCCTGAGTGGCTGGGATTACAGGCACGTGCCACCACGCCTGGCTAATTTTTGTACTTTTAGTAGAGATGGGGTTTCACCATGTTGGCCAGGCTGGTCTTGAACTCCTGACCTCAAGTGATCCACCTGCCTTGGCCTCCCAAAGTGCTGGGATTACAGGTGTGAGCCACAGCACCCGGCTAACTCATGCCTTTTTACATAGTATTTAATTTACATAGTATTTCTTTACATAGATGTGCTATAATTTTTTTAACTAGTCTCTTATAGATCACTTTTCCCTGATCTTTTGCTACTACAAACAAGACATAAGCATTTTATTATTTTTTAAAATTTTTGTAGATTTAGGCTTTGAGATGTTTTATTCATTCATTTAGTTATCCAAGTATGTATGTCTGTACTAAATATTTGCTAAGGTCTTGTGTGGTGGCATTATCTTAGGCACTGCTGATAACAGGATTCACAGAACAGGCACAGCCTTTCTTCTCACAATGCTTAAGATCTTGTTAGGACAACAGACCTTGGAAAGAAAACACAATCGTAATGTATTTCCATAATGAATATGAACCTCTGTTAACCCATCCAAGATTTTTTTTTTCCCTCGTGATCGCACATTTTGTGGAGGAAATGTATAATTATGCTTGTGAGACAGAGAAAAACTAACTGGGCCATGAGGACCTGAATCCATTGCCTCCGTAATTATTACAGAGACAGGCACATTTTAAATTTCAATAGACATAGCCATGCTGCCTTTCAAAGGGGTTGTGCAGTTTACATGTCCACCTGGGTGGATTTTATTTTTAAAAGCTTTTTATTTATACTTATTTAATTTAAAAAATTATTTATTTATTTAGAGACAGGATCTCACTTTGTCACTCATGCTGGAGTGCAGTGACGTGAGATCGTAGCTCATTGTAGCCTTGAATTCCTGGGCTTAAGGGATTCTCTTGCCTCAGCCTCCCTGTAGCTGGGCCTACAGGCACACCTCACCATGCTTAGCTAATTTTTTATGTTTTGTAGAGATGGGGATGTCTTGCTATGTTGCCCAGGCTGGTCCTAAACTCCTGGCCTCAAGCGATCCTCTCACCTCGGCCTCCCAAAGTGTTGGGATTACAGGCATGAGCCACAACAGCTGGCCTTGGGTGGATTTTTAAAGGAGCCAAAATAGAACAGACACTGGCACCTTCTGCTTTAGCCAGATAAAACTCCTGTGGTTCCCAGAACAGGACGCACGTCGTCAAGTGTTCTTGCAACAGCAAGAGAACACTCTTGATGGAAACCCCCCTTTCTACAGTTTGTCTGTCTAGCTAACATCTTCCTCTAAGCTACACCATGAAAATCTGTGGCACCATCTCCAACCCCTGTAGGTAGAGTTGATCACCCCTCCTCTGTATCACCACTGACATTTGCCCATATCTCTATTTTTGTACTTGTTCCTAGTTCGTTTTCTTTCCCGGCCTCGTCTCACTTCCTTCATTGTGGACTTCTTGAAGGAAGAGACCATATCTTTATTTACCTTTGTATTCCTAAAGCCTAAGACAGTGCCTGTTTCCGAATAGCTGCTTCATCATGTTGGCTAATGAATAAATTAACAAATAAATGATCACTGAAAATGGAGATGAAACCACCAAATTGAATTTGGACAATGAATCCTGGGGTGTGTTTATCCACTAGTTTGCCAATCATGCAGATGAGCTTATCTGCGTCTGCTGATGGGATTTCGGCATAATTTGCATGCTAGAGGAGGAGGCTGCCAATTCACAGAGGATTCTTCTAGGCATTTGTCATTCATTATAGAACATAAGCTTGCATTGGAGTCTATGCAGCACAGCATCAGCCAATTAGAGGAGATTGTAGCTTTGGAAACAAACATCTGCTTGATGCTGGGTAAATAATATTTAGAGTCTGGTGTTTTATGCCTGTCCATGTGATTAATTTGAATCCTGTATAATTTTGTATTTGATCATGTGGGACTCACAGAGATCATTTCTATTACCTAAGTTACAAAAGCCATATCTGGCATTTCCCAGGATTGGTCCCATGTTTTAGGAGAGGCTTTCTGGTTTGGGTCACACCTGGGACTGGAGGTAAGTGTCTATACAGTGGTAGCCAACTTCCATAAAGGAAAATAGAGAAGGACGTCTGTCTCCAAATTCTATCCTGGATAACACTTCTGTAGAAAATTCAGGAGTATTGGGAAAACGTGAATGTCTTTTCTTAGCTGTTGCTAATTGGTTCTCCTCTTTCCAGGGGTAAGGAGGTTAAAAGAAATGTAGTGAGTTGAGTACCATTTATAAAGTTCCTACTCCATGGCAGTTCTTCCCCAGATGCTTTTCTTACATTTTCCCCATTTGAAACTCTTTTTTTTTTGGATGGAGTCTTGCTCTTGTTGCCCAGGCTGGAGTGCAATGACGTGATCTTGGCTCACTGCAACCCATGCCTCCCAGGTTCAAGTGATTCTCCTGCCTCAGCCTTCTGAGTAGCTGAGATTACAGGTCCTGGCCACCATGCCCAGCTGTTTTTTTTTTTTATTTTATTTTATTTATTTTTAGTAGCAATGGGGTTTCACCATGTTGGCTAGGCTGGTCTTGAACTCCTGACCTCAGGTGATCCACCCACCTTGACCTCCCAAAGTGCTGGGATTGCAGGCATGAGCCACTGTGCCCAGCCCCATTTGAAACTTATATTACTGTGGGGTCAGTAGAATTCTTTCCAGTTTTACAAACAACAAACAGGGTTGAAAGAACATATCCTGGGCCCCCAGCTAGCAGGCAGCAGTGCTGGGAGTTAAAGCCAATCTGCTACAGTCTCTGCTCCTCCCAGGACACCATCCTGCCTTCCCAGGGGATGCAGCCAAAGGTATTCAACAGAGCTATTTGCTGTAACATAGCTGTGATTCTCTGCAGAGAGTGCTGGGTGGATTGGCTGTGAATTTTGCCTCCCTTGCTTCCAAATGAAATAATCAAATGCATTGGCATCCTCATCCATGGGGTTCTCAAGTATATCATCCAAATGCTTTTTGTAAAAAGATGAGAGACCCAGTAAAGAGCCTGCTGCTGGTGGGCTTGGGTATACAGCAAATGCTAGCCAAGTGGTTAAGAGTACAAAATATTTGCTAAGCTAATAGTACTGCCTAGCTCTGTAGCTACCATCAGAATTAAACAAAGAGATAGGCCACTGCATTTCAACAGAATCACCTATGGAGCTTGAAAACATATGCATGTCTGGTCACCACCCACAGATATTCTGATTCCATTGGTATTTTAAACGAGCTTCCCGTGCTATTCTGATGCACAGTCAGGCTTTGGAATCTGTGATCTAGTCTATGGATCATTTGAGTCATCAGAACTTGAATAAGAATTGCTTTCTTTGGATACATCTTTTCTTTATCACATCAAATCAATCTCCCCCCAACCCCCACCTTCCCTCTCCCTTTTTCTCTAGCAGTCAGAAATTCTTAAAAGCTTTTTGCCACTAAACCATCTGCTGGAGAAATCTCCCACTAGGTTTCAAATGCCAAACCTTTCCCAGTAGCAATTTTCTTTATTATTTTGGGGGAAAAGAATGCATTACATTTCTTCCCTATGAAATAAAGTACTTTAAAAATAAAAATGTTCATTATGGAACCATAGCAGTTGCTTATATTTTAAAAAAGAAAATAGCTGTATTAGACATGTGTCCTGGGAGTTTACTCCAGGCTTCCTTCACAGGCTTGATTCGGACTTCAAGGACAGGAAGTGTGGCTGATCATAGCACCACGATGCCCCGGTGAAGAGCAGTCACATAGAGAATGGAGATTAATTTCAGTCAAAGAATAGTAGGATGCTTTCTTGGCTTCCCGATGCCCACAAGCTTTATGGCAGCAGACCACGCTTAAAGCCTAATTTAAAGGTTTATGTAGGTTATAACCTTGTCACACTGCATAATCCCCTCCCAGTTCGAAGTCTTTACCCATTGGCATAAAAACCTATATCCTGTGACAGGGAACAGGAGTGTTAAGAGACTTGGAAAGAATAGGCTGGATGTGGTGGCTCACACCTGTAATCCCAGCACTTTGGGAGGCCAAGGCAGGAGGAATGCTTGAGGCCAGGAGCTTGAGACTAGCCTGGGCAACATAGCAAGACCTGAACTCTCTAAAAGAAAAAAAATAGCTAGGCATAGTGGCACCCGTCTGTAGTCCCAGCTAGTTGGGAGACTAAAGGAGGTGGATTGATTGAGCCCAGGAGTTCAAGGCTGCAGTGAGCTCTGATCCCACCATTGCACTCCAGCCTGGGTGACAGAGTGAGATCCTGTCTATTAAAATAAATACATCTGAAAATGTTGTGTTTTTTTTTCTTTTTTGAGACAGAGTCTCACTCTGTCACCCAGGCAGGAGTGCAGTGGCACAATCTCAGCTCACTGCAACCTCCACCTCCCAGGTTCAAGCAATTCTCCTGCCTCAGCCTCCTGAGTAGCTGGGACTACAGGCATGCACCACCACGCCCGGCTAATTTTCATATTTTTAGTTGAGGCAGGATTCACCATGTTGCCCAGGCTGGCCTTGAACTCCTAACTTCAAGTGATCCACCTGCCTCGGCCTCCCACAGTGCTTGGATTACAGGTGTGAGCCATGGCGCCTGGCCTGGAGATTTCTTAAGAGTCTCATTAGATGATTTTCTAATTCTAAGTAGAAGATCATCTGAGTCCTTTGCAATTCATTGGCTGTGGCAGATGACTAGCTATCCACGAAAAATTCCTGATCCCCTTTCTACAGCATGAAGTGGTTGCTGTGAGGCAACTTCTAGGCCAGCAATGCCATTTCCCAGTTTCCCTCACATCAGCAGGGAGTCATGTGATTAGTTCTCATCACAGGAACACGAGCAGAAGTGATGTGTGTTACCTCTGGGTTAGCTTTACTTATTTATTTATGTTTTGTGAGAGTTTCTCTTCTTTTTTTTCCCCCCAACTTTTATTTTAGAGGTACATGTGCAGGTTTATTGTAAAAGTGTATTGTGTGATGCTGAAGTTTGGAGTACAAATGAGTCTGTCACCCAGGTAGTGAGGATAGTACCCAATAGGTAGTTTTTCAAATCTTGCCCCACTTCGCCCCTCCTCCATTTTGTATTCCCCAATGTCTGTTGTTCCCATCTTTACGTCCATGTGTTAGGTCAGGATTTTTTTTTTTTAAGAAGTGGGTACCCTCTTTCCTTCTTTATTTCTCTTTCCTTCTCTGCCAGCGGAGTGCAGATAATCCCAAAGCTTTAGGGAAAAGTGGAACTGTAAGATGGAAAGAGCCTGGGTCCCTGAATCACTGTGTGGAAGAAAGTTGCCTGTTGATCAGATACACCCCCACTGTGCTTTATGTGCATGAGAAATAAGCAAAACCACTGGAATTGGAGGGATTTTCTTATGACGTTGGTTTGGATCACCCTCATTAACCATACACTGACCAATCATCAGGATACTGAAGACTTTCATCTGGCTGGAGGCACTTTGGCTTCCTGACACAGGGAAGCTGCTAAGAGCAAAGATGGTTTCTAATGTCTGGCACGAAGCATATGGGATGGGTAAAGAGTTTTTGTCCTGTGACAAACATTCTAGGTGAAAAGGGAATAATATTTGTTATCAGAAAAGAGTAGATAAAAATATTAAGGATGAGAGAGGTCTGTAAAAGCCATGCCCATTGTGACAAACAGGCAGACAAATAATTTCTGCCCCTTAAGATGGGAGAGTATTTCTCACCCCAGTCCTGTTCAAGCCTCCAGTAATAGGCTCTGTATTGTCCAAGCACTAACCATGCAGTGACAATTGTGGTAGTAACCAGGGAGGAGGATCCCTTTGCAAATAACATGTATCAATAGCAGTAAATAGGGCCAGAATGCAGTGGCGCGATCATAGCTCACTGCAGCCTCGACCTCCAGGCTCAGATGATCCTCCCACCTCAGCCTCCTAAGTAACTGGGATCACAGCTGCATGCCACAATGCACAGCTAACTTTTTGTATTTTTTTTTTTTTTTTTTTTAGAGACAGGGTCTCCCTATGTCATCCAGGCTAGTCTCAAACTCCTGGGCTCAAGCAATTCTCCCACCTCGGCCTCCCAAAGTGCTGGGATTATAGATGTGAACCAGCCAATAAATATCCTTGAAGGTCTACTACAAACCAGTCAGTAGGTTAGGTACAGTGAGGCCAAAAAAAAAAAAAAAGTTGCCCAACTGTATGTCTTCACAGTGCTTACAAAGCAGTCAGGGTGACAGAACATAATAACAAGAAATATTAAGCAACAGAGGCTAAGTATGAAATAAGTGGGAGGAAGGGAGCTGACACAGGCCTGCAGAAAACAATGAGCACACTCAGGTGCATGACATGACATCAGGGAGAGTCTTGGGTAGCAATCCCAATTCAGCAGCTTGCATCTGGGCGAAATGCAAACCAGAATCATTTTTAAAATTTGGGTAAGCCTATGAGAGTGAGTCCTTTATGTAAAAGTCATTTGACATGTGAGTCATGACCGCAATAAAAATTGCGAACCGATGTTCTAAAATTCTTCCAGCAGGAGCGTCATTATGCAATTCTGATTGGAGCCAACATGAGGTTTAAAAAAAAAAAAAAAATCACCACTTTTTTGGGGAGGGGAAAAAGACGATATTTTAAAAATTAACAATTTTCCCAGCCTGTAAACAGATCAAGCTGAATGGACCCTGCCCTTAGAATTATATTAGGGAATCTGGAAGCTCCCGGATGTACTTGGTGTTAACCCTTCACCTGCTGGATCGTGAGTGGATTGGGGAGAGTTCTTGTGGGGCTTGGGACAGTGGCTTTCTCCAGCTAGTACAGAAGCATTTTATTATTTTAAATACCCACACAGCTGGTGAAACATACTGCATATTAGCCACATGTCAACCCAATATAGAATCTGCTATGGTCTGATTATTGGTGTCTCCCCAAATTCCTAAGTTGGAACCTAAACCCAGTGTGATGGTATTAATAGTGGGGCCTTCAGTAGGTGATTAGGTCATGAAGGCCAAAACCTCAGCTAAAAGTTGCTCTCAGTGAGGAATGGGACCTCACTAGGCACTGAATCTGGCAGTGATATTGGACTTCTCAGCCTCTAGAACTGTGAGACATGGAATGTTTGCTGTTTATAAGCCACCCAGTTTGTGATATTTTTGTTACAGCAGCCAAACAGACTAAGACAGAATAATTATAAAAAATGAAAATACTGGTGAGAAAGTAAAATCTCACTATGATCCCTCCTCTCAGAGATGCCTACCATTAACAGTTTAGGGTATATTTTTCCAGACTTTGAAAAGTTTTCTATGCAAACATAAACAAGATTATACTGTACATTCTATACTACAAGCTGTCCTTCCCTTCCCTCTCAAAACAGAGTATATTGTGAGTATGATGCTATGTGAGCACATAAAGAATTATCTTTTTCTCTTGCTCTTTCTTTTATCACCTAATTAGAAGTTTTGGACCTAAACCAATACTGTTATTGCAGTGTTTTTGTGCACTACCAAGCTACATCCTTACACTCAGGCTGCATTTTTAAGTGTACACAGTTCTTCGGTGTTTCTGAAACTACATTGAGTCCTCTCCTCATGAACATTTTCACAAAAAGACATACATGCAGCCAACAAGCATATGAAAAGAGCTCAATATCACTGATGATTAGAGAAATGCAAATCAAAACCACAATGAAATATCATCTCACATCTGTCAGAAAGGCTATTATTATTATTATTTTTTGAGACAGAGTCTCACTCTGTCACCTAGGCTGGAGTGCAGTGGCACGATCTCAGCTCACTGCAAACTCTGCCTTCCAGGTTCAACCGATTCTCTTGCTTCAGCCTCCTGAGTAGCTGGGACTACAGGTGTGTGCCACCACGTCCAGCTAAATTTTGTAATTTTTTTAGTAGAGATGGGGTTTCACCATGTTGACCAGGTTGGTCTCGAACTCCTGACCTCAAATCTGCCTGCCTTGGCCTCCCATGCTGGGATTACAGGCATGAGCCACTGTGCCCAACCCTGAATGGCTAATGGCTATATTAAAAAGTAAAAAAATAACAGGTGCCGGCAAGGTTGTGGAGAAAAGGGAACACTTATACACTGTTGGTGGGAGTGTAAATTAACCATTGTGGAAAGCAGTATGGCTATTCCTCAAAGAGCTAAAAACAAAACTGTCATTCAACCCAGCAATCCCATTACTGGGTATATACCCAAAGAAATATAAATCATTCCATTGCAAAGACACATGCATGCATATGTTCACTGCAGCACTGTTCACAATAGGAAAGACATACATTTAACCTAAATGCCCGCCAATGGTAGACCGGATGAAGAAAATGTGGTACATATACACAATGGAATGCTACACAGCCATAAAAAAGAATGAAGTCATATTCTTTACAGGAACATGGATGGAGCTAGAGGCCATCATTCTTAGCAAACTAATGTGGGAACAAAAAACCAAATACCGCATATTCTCACTTATAAGTGGGAGCTAAGTTGATGAGATCACGTGGACACAGAGGGGAACAACACACACTGGGGCTTATCAGAAGGTGGAGAGTGAGGGGAGGGACAGGATCAGAAAAAAATAACTATTGGGTACTGGGCTTGGTACCTGCGTGATGAAATCATCTGTACATCAACCCCCTATGACACAAGTTTACCTGTATAACAAGCCTGCACATGTACCCCGAACCTAAAATAAAAGTTTAAAAAAGTGAGTCCTCTCCTGAAGCTACCCTTCTTTCCATTATCTCCCCACGCCATTTTCCCAGTTTCTCTCACCCTATATTCTGCAGGGCTCACTCTAATCTTGACTTCCTGAATGAACTTCAGCCTTTGGAAGGATCTGTTGAGCATGAATAATTTTTCAGCCAGTTCTCTTGTAGTGTAGCATTTGAGGAGGTCAGTGGGGCAGTGAGGGATAGGACAGAAGGCAAGATACATAGGAGGCTGATTTAAACCTAGATTTGTCAAAAGGGCCACTGGGAGAGCTGTCCAAGGTGCTACACAATGGGTTCTGACACATCCCTGAATATGAAATGTATCAGCATGGTTTTTGTCAGCAACAGCAGGGGCACGAATCAAACAAGACTCACAAGATAGAAGCTTTTCTTTCCTGGCTGTTTCTTCTTTACATAAGGAGAGTCAGAACAAATATAGGAGGCTGGCTGAATTTTCTTTCTGGACATATCCTCTTGAGTGCCTTGCAGTCATCTCAAATTCAGCATGTCTAGAAATGAATTCATCACCCTTACTCATCAAACCTACCCCTCCTTCAGTTTTCCCTATCTCAAAATGACACCATTGTCCTTAAAAGGTTAAATCAGCTTCCATGCTAACTTCTCTACCTTCATATGCTTGTTGGCTGCCTGTATGTCTCTGGCCTCATGCAGTCTCTCACCAGGTTTTGTTGCACTTACCAAAAACATGCCTAGATACCATCCATTTCATTTCCAATGGTTTAGCCACTGGAAATGGCCAGCTTTCATCTGGACAATTGCAAAGGACTGCAATTTACTTCCTCCTTGTTCTCTTATTTCTTCCCACACAGCCATTAGAATTATCTTTAAGAATGCAAATAGATCCAGTCACTCCTTTGCTTAGATCATTTAATGGCTTTCCCCTGCCTTCAGGATAAATATGGACTCCCTGAGATGACCTGTCAGGCCCAATATGATCCAGTATCTTTGCTTTATCTTACATCACTCTCTTCCTTGTTCTATAGTTCTTTCTCTTATTCAAAGCTGACATACTCTATCCTGACTCAGGGCCTTTTCTCACATTATTCCTTCTGCCTGGAATGATTCGTCTGTCCCCCCTACCATCCAGCTAACAACTGCTTCATTTCTTAGCTCAGATATCACTTACTCCAGGAGACCCCATGCTGGTTTAGATCTACCATGATATGTTTCTGGTGTACTCTGTACATCTTCCCAATAGCCATACTCTGTACATCTTCTCAATAGCCAGTTAACTTACTCAAAGTTTGTTTTCCCTTGTAGACTTTGTTTCATGAGGGCAGAACCTGCATCTTTCTTGTTCACCATTGTATCATCAAGAGCAATGTTTGGCACATAGCCGGTGCTTAGCAAGTATTTGTTAAATAAATAAGCAGAAGTCCAAGGACCCAGACTCGTTGGAGACTGAGATAAATACCCTAAGACACTTCATGTTTGTCCACAAGCCTGAAGTGACCTCAGAGAGGGAACGGTTACAAGTTTAAAACAGCTGCAAAGTGCAGAGAAAAGGCCAGCAGATGTTCTGACTGTTAGATGTTCCCGGTGGGTTGTGTGCTGTGTCATATGGGACTGCCAGCCAGGGCCTGCCATGTCGGGAGACCTTGGGGGAAGGAGCAGATCTCAAGCTATAGCAGATGGTAAGTGCTGTCTTTAGTCTTTAACATTTAAGGAAAAGAACTGGGAATAGACGTTCGGCTCAGTAGCAGTTATGATGCATTTAAATAAGCCTTGCAAATCATTTACAGAATGCATATGCCTCCAAAATTCTTCATTGCTCATAGATTTTGTGGGAGCTTCCTCTGGTCCATCTTTGTATCCTCAATGTACAGTAGTGTCTGTGGCATGGGGCGAACCTTCAGTGTGGGTGGGCTACCCACTGAAGGAAGGCACATACTTGAGACATATTGGCATTTGGCCGGCTGTGGGTAATTGATCATCTTCCCCAGGAGAGTCACGCCCCCTAAATGCAGAGACTGTGCCTTGTGCCTTTTTGTACTCCCTCTCCCACTTTACTCAGTTTCTTGTTCCCCTCCAGCTAATATCAGGGCAGGTGGGTGGGACACTACTCGCCCTATCTTAGTTCAGGTTGCTGTAACACAAATACCATAGATTGTGTGGCTTAAATAGCAGAAATTTCTTTCTTACAGTTCTGAGTCTGGGAAGTCCAAGATCAAGGTTCTAGATGATTTGATTTGGAGAGAGTTTTCTTCCTGGTTTGCACAGACACCTTCTTGCTGTATCTTCACATGACAGAAAGAGAGAGAGATGGGGGTGGAGTGAGGGATGAGAGAGAGAGAGAGAGAGAGAGAAAGAGAGAGAAAGGAGAGTGAACTCAAGAGTGCTCCATCTCATCTTAGAAAGGTACTAATGCTGGCCAGGCATGGTGGCTCATGCCTGTAATCCCAGAACTTTCGGAGGCTGAGGTGGGTGGATCACCTGAGGTTGGGAGTTCAAGACCAGCCTGATCAACATGGAGAAACCCTATCTCTACTAAAAATACAAAATTAGCCAGGCGTGGTGGCACACTTCTGTAATCCCAGCCACTCAGGAGGCTGAGGCAGGAGAATCGCTTGAATCTGGGAGGCAGAGGTTGCAGTGAGCCGAGATCGTGCCATTGCACTCTAGCCTGAGCAGCAAGAGTGAAACTCTGTCTCAAAATAAATAAATAAATAAACAAATAAATAAATATATAGGTACTAATCCCATCAAGAGGGCTCCACCCTCATGACCTAATTACCTCCCAGAAGCTCATCTCCAAATACAATCACATAGGGCATTAGGGTTTCAACGTATGAATTTTGGGGTGACACAAACATTCAGCCCATAGCATGCTCTATCATATTTTCCTGGAGAACCGTGGTTTTGGAACAAGGGAAGTAGGGCTTGGATATTTCAATTAGCTTCCATTTGAAAATGGGAATGAGAATACCTGCTTCATAGGATTATTGTAAAGATTAAATGAAATTGCATATTTAAAATGCCTCAGCCTATGCCCGACTCATGATAAGTAGTTAGAAAATTATGGAATTGAAGAGACAGTATGCCATGCCATTATGGTCATGGGCCTTGCAGCCATAGAGTCCTGGGCTTCATTATGGGCCCTGCCACTAGTAAGTGAACTTGACAAGTTATTTAACTTTTCTGAGCCTCAGTGTCCTCATGGGGAAAAACAGGGCTAAAAATCTGTCTAGCTCATGGAGTGGGTGTAGGATTAAATGCAATATACATATAAAATGCCTTGCCATATAGTAAATGCTCAATAAAAAGATAGTAATTGTTATTACCATCGTTATTATTGAACAGCAAGTGATAAATTGGGATATCCTGACTGTCCTAAATTGTGTCAGAAATGTGGGATCTGGTTCATATTTATAGAGACTTCTTGTTCTTTCAATTGTTCAACCTAAAAAGCTTAGAGTTGTCGTTAAATCTTCCATTTTTCTCACTTTCCACAACCTGTCCATTGGATATTCTTGTTGATTCTACCTTATAATCTAGGTAGAGTCAAGCTACTTCATTTTTTTTTTTTTTGGCAAAATTCAGAAGACAATGTAAAATACATGTTATCAAATGCATTACAAATAACATTTCTATATTGATCAGTGATTTTTTTTCCTTTTCAACTTCTATTTTAGGTTCAGAAGGTATGTGTGCTGATATGTTACATGAGTAAATTGCGTGTCACTGGGGTTTGGTGTACAGATTCTTTTGTCACCCAGGTAATGGGCATAGTACCCAACAGGTAGTTTTTTGATCCTCACCCTCCTCCCACCCTCTATCCTCAAGTAGGCCCCAGGGTCTGTTGTTCGTTTCTTTGTGTCCATGTGTATTCAGTGTTTAGCTTCCACTTATAAGTAAGAACAGGCAGTATTTGGTTTTCTGTTCCTGCATTAATTCGCTTAGGATAATGGCCTCCAGTTCCATCCATATTGCTGCAAATGACATGATTTCATTCTTTAGTATGGCTGCATATTATTCCATGGTGTGTATGTACCATATTTTCTTTATCCAGTCCCCCATTGATAGGCATTTTGGTTGATTCAATGTCTTTGCTATTGTGAATAGTGCTGTGATGAACATATGCATGCATATATCTTTATATATTTTTTGAGACAGGGTCTCACTCTGTTGCCCAGGCTGGAGTGCAGTGGTGCAATCAGGGTTCACTGCAGCCTTGACCTCCTGGGCTCAGGTGATCCCCCCACCTCAGTCTTCTGAGTAGCTGGGACTACAGGGGTGTGCTACCATGCCTGGCCAATTTTTGTGCTTTTTTTTTTTTTTTTTTTTTGTAGATACAGGGTTTTGCCATCTTGCCCAGGCTGGTCTCAAACTCCTAGGCTCAAGCAATCCACCTGCCTTGGTCTCCCAAAGTGTCAGGATTACAGGCATGAGCCACCACACCTGGCTGCATGCACTGTGTCTTTATGGTACAATGATTTATATTCTTTTGGGTATATACCCAGTAATGGGATTGCTGGGTCTAATTGTAGCTCTGTTTCAAGTTCTTTGAGAAATCTCCAAACTACTTTCCACAGTGGTTGAACTAATTTACATTCACACCAGCATTGTATACACATTACCTTTTCTCTGCAACCTCACCAGCATCTGTTGTTTTTGACTTTTTAATAGTAGCCGTTCTGACAGGTGTGAGATGGTATCTCATCGTGGTTCTGATTTGCATTTCTCTGATCAGTGATATTAAGCATTATTTTCATATGCTTGTTGTCCACATACATGTCTTCTTTTGAGAAGTGTCTGTCCATGACCTTTGGCTATTTTTTAACGGAGTTGTTTGTTTTTTGCTTGTTAATTTGTTTAAGTCCCTTATAGATTCTGGATATTCCAGAATCTAGCTACTTCTTAACACCTCCATTGCCTTCTTAACGCCTCACTCTTGTCTGAGCCACTGTTGTCTCTCTCCTAGATGCTGCTACAGCCTCCTAGCTGGTCTCCCTGCCTCTCCATCCTTGATCCCTACAGGCTTCTTTCAACATAGTAGCCAGAGGGATCCCGGTAAAAATACAAGTCTGTCTGTGTCTCTTCTGCACTCAAAACACTCCAATGGTTCTGCAACTACCCCAGAGTAAAAACCAAAGTCATTCCAATGACCTAGGAAGCCCCACGTGCTCTGCTCCCTCCCTGATGCCTCTCTCTTCTCACCTCCTGCCAGTCTCTCCCTCATTCAGTTCATTTCAGCCACCTAGTTTATTTACTGTTTCTTGAACACACTGGGTACATTTCTACTTTGGGGACTTTGCACTGGCCATTCCTTCTTCCAATGCTCTTTTCCTAGATATTTGCCTGGCTAATTTCCTCTTCTTCTACAAATCTGTTTTCCAACGTCACCTTCTGTATGACCACTGTGTCTAAATATCAGTAGGCAACCCCTGCATGATTTCCAGTTCCCTGCCCACTGTGCTTTTTCTGTCTTTTCTTAGCACCTCTCCCATTTAACATACCATATGCTTTACTTATCATGTTTATTGCTTATGGTCAATCTCCCTCTTCTAGAATATAGGCTTCCTAAAGACAGGGATCTTTGTTTTCTTCATTGTTCTATCTCCAGTGCCTACAACAATGCCTGGGACATATTAAGCATTCATTAAGTATTTGTTAAAGGGGAAAATGAACCAAAGGGAAGGAATAACCAAAGGGAAGGAATAAGTTTTTTAAAAAAACTTTGTTGGAATAAGTTTTTTAAAAAAACTTTGTTGAAAAAAGTCTTTTCTTCCCATTTAAAAACGTGGTTTTGTTTCCGATTACAATCCAAATACACAAATTTTAAAGAAGAGTGAAATGATTTGCCATCATTGGACCCTCATTCCTTCATGGCAACTGTGGGCAGAGTAGAGAAAAGTTGCCCTCTTTAGATCAGGCAGACCCTCTCCAGTTTGCTGTGGTGCCAACTGAGCTCACTTTCCTCTTAGAATTCTGACACCTGGAGGTATCAGGGTTTGCTTCCTTTGATACACTTTGCTAGGAACTGGAGTGTCTATGCTCCCATTTGCAAGGAAGGAGTTCCGTTCCTGGGAGCTGGATCTTCCCCTCTGCCTGGGCTCTCTATTCATGTTTGCAGTAATTAGACACCAGGTTGATTGACCATGAAAGATAAGTTCTCAATCACTCCTGAACACATAAACATACCATGAGTACATGAAATAAAAATGTTACGTGCTGGGAACATCAATCAGAAGGGTAATGTTTATGTAGCATTGTTAATTGGATTTCTACAATGGGATATTCGGTGGGTTGGGGTTTATCTGATAACACCGTAGTCTGTGACAGCAACTTCTGTGACTCAGTGTGGCTTCAAGGTCAAGGAACTGAGCGTCCTCCTGACCAACAGGCTGAGGAGATTGTTGGGAGTTCTTGTGGGCCAGGCTCTTATCGGTGAGCTGTATGGAGAACACCATCTCTCAGATTTATCCATAATTTTAATGAATGCTCTGTTTGAGATAATGACCCATATCTTGACTTGCACAAAGCCCTGAAAATACTTCTACGAATTGTGTTTTATCTGAAGTACTGCAGCATGCAGCATCCAACATTACCATTGATATCATCTATTGAGAACTCTTTCCCAGGTTCTTTATTAAGGTTTAATTAAATTTTATGTCTTATCAATTAGGATTAATCTATATTTAGTCTGAATTAGAGGGAGCCAATTATAAATAACACCACTTCTCATTTATTCCTGAATACAAAATGAAGGTTTTTAAACTTTCTTTGGAGGAAAAAATAAAAAACCTCACAACCCCCCTGACTCAAATGTGTCCCTTTAAAGAGTTTTATGCCCAGGAGACCACAAATTCTATTATAATAAAGTGAAAAGATGATAATTCCTATAGGAAGGTGTTACAGACAGAAATGGGGGTCCGGAGGGAAAAGAGAGAGAATTTCTGTTATGATGTGGGCAATTGAAACAAAGAGATTTTCAACTTTAAAGTTTTCACTTGGAGCAATGGCACAAAGATAAACTGAATTTTCCAAGGTTATTGTGACATCTCTGTTTCTAGAAGAGGACAGACCAGCTTGTGCCCTGCGGTTGTGTTCAATGCTGTTAATTAAATATTTCCAATTCTGTTACTTCTGGGCACGAATTGGATCATACTCCTCCCCTCTCTTCACCTTGAAGTCAAATGTGGGCATGGGACTCGTTTGGTCAATGAAATGCAAGAAGAAGCAATATCTGTCAGTTCCATTTGGAAGCGCCCATATGGACTAGAGTGCAATTTCTCATGTTTTCTTCCTCCTGCTGCAGTGGTCATGGAAACACAATTCAGACAAAAGCCCCATTAGCCCAAGATGGGTGGCGTCTTCTCTGCCAGCCTGCATTGTTTGTGCAACATGAGCAAGAAGTAAACTTTTGTTGTGTTAAGCCATTGAGATGTTGAGGTTTTTGTTACTTCAGCGTCATGTAGCTTATCCTGCCTTATAGAAGCTCTATAAGCTTTAGTTTCTTCTAAGCTTTGGTACTGACTTCATTGGGTTGTTATATGAGGAAGAATAATGAAGTAATTAACAAAAAGTGTTTCATTTAGTGCTGGCACACAAGTACTCGGTAAATATTAGTGCTTCCTATTATTGTTGTTGTAGTTGGGGATGTCTATGTATTATGGCTAAATGATCCTATTTGGAATATTCTGATGGTATGTTCAAAGTTTATTTAAACTCTTAGTATTTCAATGTCTTGCCTTTCCACCTGATCAGAACAGAAGCTTCACATCGAGCACTTCTATTACCCCCTGCTAAAGAGTTTACAAAGCCTTCTAATGCACAGTTCTATTTACTTTCTTCTTTCCCTTACAACGCTATTGAATAGTCCTGTGGTATATAGTTTAAGAAAAGGCAAAAAGCCTTATGATAAAAGTCTGTTTAGGAAGGTACTGTGTTTTCAAATGAGCCTTTGGAGATCCGGCCTGCATAGGCTTTCTGGCAGACCTGTGAATTCAAGGACCCCCTTTCCAAAATTATCCAGAGTAACTTGTAATTTATAACTTGGGTTTCTGTACATGTTCCGGCCTGGACCTCATTTAAGTGCGTCCAGCCAATATACAGTGGTGTAAGCCATGAGGTTTGTAGAGACTCAAATTCTTGTTGTGACCAATATAACAGGTACACACTGTGAACTCGTCCCATGAGCTTGGTGCATTATTGAGCCAAGAATCCTCTAGAGGTTGCCTCATAGTAGGAAATCAGAGAGCTATCCAGGAACAATGGTGAGACCAGTTCAAATATTACCTGGACCCAGCATTTAGAAAGTCCAGTTCTTATGGATGCAAAGGTCTTGTTCTAGAATCAGGGTGTGGTCCCAATATACGCAAACTCACCACAGTTGGGAGGATTTTGGTTGCAAGTGACAGAAACCCAGCACAAACCCCAAAGGAAAATCATTGGCTCTTGTAACCCAGAAATTTAATGGATAAACCCTTCCAGCTTCAAGTATGGCTGTATGTAGGTGTCCAAATGATGTCATTAGCTCTTTCTCTTCCCCCACTCTAACTCGTTTTCTCTGTATCTACTTTCTTTTTTATCAAACTCTATCTACATGGCAGCAAATATGGCATTGGCACCTGTAGGTTCCCATTGCTTTTATTGCAGTGATCCCAGAAACAAGACTGCCTCTTTTTTTTTTTTTTTTTTTTTTTTTGATAGTTTCAGGAAAAATAGTTGGGAGGGTGCCAGGGCTAGTTTTTCTGTTTCTTTTCTTTTTTAAACTTTTATTTTAAGTTCAGGGGTACAAGTGCAGGTTTGCTACATAGGTAAACTTGTGTCATGGGGGTTTGCTGTAGGTTATTTAATCATCCAGGAATTAAGCCTAGTACCTATTAGTTATGTTTCTGGATCCTCTCCTGCTCCCACCCTCCACTCTCTGAAAGGCCCCAGTGTGTGTTTTTCCCCTCTATGTGTCCATGTGTTCTTATCATTTAGCTCCCACTTATGAGAACGTGTGGTATTTAGTTTTCTGTTCATGTGTTAGTTTGCTAAGGATAATGGCCCCCAGCTCCATCTGTGTGCCTGCAAGGGACATAATCTTGTTTTTTATGGCTGCAGAGTATTCCAGGGTGTATATGTACCACATTTTCTTTATCCATCTCTCATTGAAGGGTATTTAGGTTGATCTAACCAGTGCTAATTTTTCTAATCCACAAATAACTTCTGCAAATTGAAAAAGACTTAAAAATCCAGTACAGAAATAGGTAAAGAATAGAAGTAGGCAATCTTTAGAAGTGGAAATGCAAATAGCCAATAAACAAATGAAATTATGCTCATTCTTTTCGGGGAAGGGGAAATGTAAATAAAAATGACAATAGATTACTTTAGAAATTAATCAATTTGACCCAAACAGAAATGATTTATTACCATCACTTATGATTGTATGGAGGAAGAAAGGACTCTCATACTTTGCTGTTATGAGTAAGAATTGCTTTAACCATTCAAGAAAAATCTGAAAGTAGCTACTGGAATTCAAAATATACTTATGCTCAGAAATTTCACTTTTGGCATGCAGAAATGGAAGTACCAATTCCACAGAAAAATGTTTATTACTTTAAGTACCTGATTCTTGCAAAAATCTGGAAACAAAATTAATATCCAAAAGCAGGGATTTATTGAATAAATTATAATGTTTTATGTTTCAGAATTTTATGCAACTGTTGAAAAAAGCCAGGTATATGGAGAGATGCCTATACTTTCTTGTTAAGTAAAGAAGCACATTTGTGTAATATCATCCTATTTCTGAAAAAAAAAAAAAGAAAGAAAGAAAACCTTTCATCTGGTTTTCATGTATGATGCTTGCATGAACTCAGGAAAAACATGGAAAAAATACATAGTAAATTGTTGACATTAGTTACTTTGAAGGGAAGGCGGCATGTGACATATACTGCAACTTGAATTTGAAGTGAAAATTCATTAAAGTGCATATAAAACAGGATAACTTGTACCTGTGTCCTTAAGACAAATTACCGCAAAGGACAGGTACAGTGTGACATCCTAAATCTTGGGGTAGGCATAAGGGGATATGCATGTCTTGTCAAGGTCTGTTTCATGGTGTTTAAAGAACTTTATTTTATTTTATTTTATTTTTATTTTTTTCTTTGCCTTCTTTTTTTTTCTTTTTTTTCCTATTTATTTATTTATTTTACTTTAAGTTCTAGGGTACATGTGCACAATGTGCAGGTTTGTTACATATGTATACATGTGCCATGTTGGTGTGCTGTACCCGTTAACTCGTCATTTACATTAGGTATATCTCCTAATGCTATCACTCCCCGCTCCCCCCACCCCCTGGCAGGCCCCAATGTGTGATGTTCCCCACCCTGTGTCCATGTGTTCTTATTGTTCAATTCCCACCTATGAGTGAGAACATGTGGTGTTTGGTTTTCTGTCCTTGCGATAGTTTGCTCAGAATGATGGTTTCCAGCTTCATCCATGTCCCTATAAAGGACATGAACTCATTCTTTTTTATGGCTGCATAGTATTCCATGGTGTATATTTTTTTGAGACAGGGTATCATTCTGTCGCCCAGGCTGGAGTGCAGTGGCACAATCACAGCTCATTGCAGCCTCAATCTCCCTGGGCTCAGGTGATCCTCCCACCTCATCCTCCCAAGTAGCTAGGACTACAGGTGCTCACCACCGCACCCCAGCTGACTTAAAAAT
Source organism: Homo sapiens (assembly GCF_000001405.40). Classification (NCBI taxonomy): domain Eukaryota; kingdom Metazoa; phylum Chordata; class Mammalia; order Primates; family Hominidae; genus Homo; species Homo sapiens. The sequence continues at coordinate 22,651,651 of NC_000016.10, forward strand.
ATTTTTTAGTGATGGGGTCTCATTATGTTGCCCAGGCTGGTCTTGAACTCCTGGTCTCAAGCAATCCTCCTGCCTCAGCCTCTCAAAGTGCTGGGATTACAGGTGTGAAACACCATGCTTGGCCCAGAAGAAGTTTAGACAAATGAAATTTAACAGAGTTTAACTGAGCAAAGAACAATTTGAGAATAGGGCAGTCCTCCTTTTCAGAGAGACTCCTGCACTGCCGTGTGGTTGGAGAGGATTTATGGACAGAAAAGGGAGGTGAGGTGCAGAAACAGCTGGCTTGGTCACAGCTTGGCATTTGCCATATTTGAACACAGTTTGAACAGTTGGTTGCCTGTGATTGGCCGAAACTTGGTGATTGGCACAAGAGTAGATTACAGACTATTGACACATCCAGTTAGGTTACAGTTCACTAAGTGCGGAGAAACCTTAGGCCCAACTTAGAATATGTCAGGAGGGGCTGGGTGCAGTGGCTCACGCCTGTAATCTCAGCACTTTGGGAGGCCGAGGCAGGTGGATCACCTGAGGTCAGGAGTTCGAGACCAGCCTGGCCAACACGGTGAAACCCCATCTCTACTAAAAATACAAAAATTAGCCGGGTGTGGTGGCATATGCTTGTAATCCCAGCTACTCCAGAGGCTGAGACAAGAGAATCGCTTGAACCCGGGAGGCGGAGTTGCAGCGAGCCGAGATTGTGTCATTGCACTCCAGCCTGGGTAACAGAGAGAGGCTCTGCCTCAAAAAAAAAAAAAAAAAAAAAAATCACCAAGATGTTACAGTGTGACTCTATGTAAGGAAATACAAATGATTCAATGATGCAGATATTTTTAATAAAATATGAATTACAAAAATTGAATTATGAAAAAGTAATGTCTGGAATAAAAAAAATATACAAAAATAAAAAGTGCTTGGGCATGCTGGCTCACACCTGTAATCCCAGCAACTTTTTGGGAGGCCGAGGTGGGAGGATTGCTTGAGGCCAGGAGTCTGAGACCATCCTGGGCAATATTGTGAGATCCTGATCTTTACAAAAAATAAAAAACTATCTGGGCTTGGAGGTGTGCACCTGTATTTCCAGCTACTTCGGAGGCTGAGGTGGTAGGATCCCTTGAGACCAGGAGTTTGAAGATGCAGTGAGCTATGATCACACCACTGCACTCCAGCCTGGGTGACAGAATAAGACCCCATCTCTTTAAAAAATAAAATAAATAAAAATAGAAAAGTTAAAGTATTATCAAATGGTCATTTTAAAATAGCCTCCTTAAACAGATTTTTCTAATGTATTTGTTCTCTTCAAATTTTCTGGTGACAAATTTATTCCTATACTCAATGAATGGTTCCAGATTATAGAAAACCATGGAAAACTTTCTAATTCATTTTACGAGAACGATACAACCCTGAAATTCAATCTTGAAGAGTATAGTGGAAAAAAAATAGAACAGAAGACCAAGGCACTAGATGAAAAACTATAAATAAAATAATAGCAAACAGAATTCAATAATACATTAATAGAGTCACTAACCATGACCAAGGAGGATTTAGCCTAGGAATGCAAAGACGTTTGTTTTTCAAATCATTTTATTAAAAAAAAAATAATAAAATCTTATAGGTTACAGTGACACTTTTTGTACCCCTCCTGGGTTTTCTTCTCTTCCTTTTTCCATCCCCTATAAATTGCAAAAACCAGAGATAAGGACTATTTTGAAGTTGGTATTTATCTTTCCAATATATGTTTCATATCCCTACCACTTTTATAAGTATCCATCAATATTTAGCTACATATTATCTTGTATGTTCTTTAAAATTCCATAACTGGTTTTATTCTAGGTGTGTTCCTGTGGAACTGGCTTTTGTTCATTTAGCCTTCTGTTTTTGAGATTATCCATGTTGATACAAGTAGATCTAGCTCATTCATTGTATAAATGTACTGGTGGGGCATGGTGGCTCATGCCTGTAATCCCAGCACTTTGGGAGGCGGAGGTGGGTGGATCACATGAGGTCAGGAGTTCGAGACCAGCCTGACCAACATGGTGAAGCCCTGACTCTACTAAAAATACAAAATTTAGCCGGGAGTGATGGTGCGTGCCTTAGTCCCAGCTACTCGGGAGGCTGAGACAGGAGAATCGCTTGAACCCGGGAGGCAGAGGTTGCAGTGAGCCAAGATCATGCCTTTGCACTCCAGCCTGGGCAACAGAGCAAGATTCCATCTCAAAAAAAAAAAAGTGCCATTATTTATAATTTTTTACATGTAGACTGAATGTTTGTGTCCCTTGTCCCCCAAATTGAAATGTTGAAATCCTAACTCCCGATTTGATAGTATTAGAAGGTAGATCCTTTGGGAAGTGATTAGGTCACGAGGGTGAAGCCTCATGAATGGAGTTAGTGCCATTACACAAACAGCCCCTGGGAGCTTTCTTTCCCTCATTCCCCCATGTAAGGATACAGCAAGAAGGTAGCCACCCGCAATCCGGAAGAGAGCCCTTACCAGAACCCGACCATGCTGGCACCCTGATCTCAGACTTCCAGCCCCCAGAACCGTGAGCAATACATTTCTGTTGTTTATAAGCTACCCAGTTTATGATATTTTGTTATAGCAGCCTGAACTAAGACAAATTTGGGTTGTTTTATTTTTTTCGGTAGCTATTATAAACAATGCTATAACAAACACGGTGCACATTTTTTACACTGCCATGTGTGAATAAGGTTGTGGCAGTTTACTGTCCTATCAACAGAGTGTGAGAGTTCTGTATTCCACATTCTTGCTAACTCTTGTGTGGGATGCGATTTTATTCCCATTTTTATTTGCATTTCCCTGATTACTAGTGAGGTGGAAATTTTTCCAGTGTTTACTGATCTGGAGTACTTCCCATATTCAGAATTGTCTGTCTGTATCCATTGTCTAATTTATACTAGATTTTAAAAAAATCCCTTTCCTATTGATTTGTAGGATTTCTTTTTATATTCTCAATGCCGACCCAGGACTGTTTAATAACAGGAAATCTATTAATGTATTCTATCAAAAGAAGAGATAAAAATTCTGTATGATTTAGTCAATAAGTACCAAAAGGCATTCAATAGGCCTGATATCCATTCCTGATAAAAAAGCTCTTTGAAAATTTGAGATAGAAATGTGATAAAAATATCTCTTTTAAATCAAAGTACACATCAGGCTTGAAGAAACATCAGATATCTTCCTATTAGAGACAAGAAATGTTCACTGTTATGGATTGAATTGCATTTCCACAAAATTCCTTTTTTTTTTTTTTTTTTTTGAGACAGAGTCTCACTCTGTCACCTTAGCTGGAGTGCAGTGGTGCGATCTAGGGTCACTGCAACTTTCGCCTCCTGGGTTCAGGTGATTCTCCTGCCTCAGCCTCCCGAGTAGCTGGGATTACAGGTGCTTGCCATCACGCCCAGCTAATTTTTGTATTTTTAGTAGAGACGGGGTTTAGCCATGTTGGCCAGGGTGGTCTTGAACTCCTGACCTCAGGTGATCTACCCGCCTCGGCCTCCCGAAGGGCTGGGATTACAGGTGTGAGCCACGACACCCGACCCATTTCTCCAAAATTCTTATGTTGAAGTCCTAACCCCAAATGCCTCTGAATATGTCTAGAGACATTACCTTTAAGGAGGTAAATATGTTGAAGTGAGGTCGTTATGGTGGGTACTAATCCTATATAACTGATGTCCTTATAAAAAGAGAAAATAAGAACACTGACATGTACAGAGGCAAGACCATGTGAAGACACAGGGAGAAGATGGCCATCTGTAAGCCAAGGAGAGAGGCCTCAGAAGAAACAGACCCTGCTGACACCTTGATGTTAAGCTTCTAGCTTCTAGAACCAGGAGAAAATAAATTTCTGTTGTGTAAGCCACCTGGTTGTGGTACTTCATTAGGAAGCCCTAGTCAACTAATATCCTTTCATTTACTGATCTAAGTGTGCTGTGATTTTTTTTTTCTTTTGACACAGGGTCTTGCTCTGTCACCCAGGCTGGAGTGCAGTGGCATGATCTCCACTCACCGCAGCCTCAGCTTCCCAGGTTCAAGTGATCCTCCCACCTCAGCCTCCTGAGTAGCTGAGATTACAGGTGCACACCACTATACCCAGCTATTTTTTATTTTTTAAGAGATGAGGCCTCACTATATTGCTCAGGCTGGTCTTGAATTCCTGGGCTCAAGTGATCCTCCCGCCTCAGTCTCCCAAAGTGCCAGGATTACAGGCCTGAGCCCCCATTCCTGGCCTGCTGTGAAGTTTTTGACCAATGGTGTAAGTGAGAAATAAGAGACAGAACTATGAGAATGAAAGAAACCAATTTATCATTTATAAGTGACATGATTATATGATAAGAATTATAACAATCTCAATAAGACAGTTCAGGAAAGTGGTCAGATGTGAGATAAACCTCTGAAAATCAGTAACAAATAAGGAAACGATTATTAAAAGTATTTTGTGCAATAGCAATGAAAAAATAAAATAACCAGTCTGTATGTAACATAAGATGTACATGAGGAAAAACTATAAAAATTTACAGAGCAATACAGATGGTTTAAATAAATAAAGAGAGGTTTCAGTTGCTTGCATTGGAACCTAAAGAGTTTAGAGATTTAAATTCTTCCAAAATTAGCTGACAGACTCAACATATGGAATTTACAGTTTTTAGTAGCTTAATAAAATAATCCTGTGGTTCAATTAGAACAATTTGAGAAAGGTGGGAACATGAGATATAATGACTTATTTCAAAGCTCTAACAATTAAAACAAGGTGGGATGGCTAAAAATTCAAAGCCAGGGAAATGGAACAGATACCTAACCACGTGTTACTTTATTATTATTGTTATTATTATTATTATTTTGAGACAGAGTCTCACTCTGTCGCCCAGACTGGAGTGCAGTGGTATGATCTCGGCTCACTGCAACCTCCACCTCCTGGGTTCAAGCGATTCTCCTGCCTCAGCTTCCCGCGTAGCTGGGACTACAGGCATGCACCATCACACCCGGCTACTTTTTGTATTTTTGATAGAGACGGGGTTTAACCATGTTGGCCAGTGTGGTCTTGAACTCCTGACCTCAAGTAATCTGCCCACCTCAGCCTCCCAAAATGCTGGGATTACAGGCATGAGCCACCGTGCCTCACCACGATGTTACTTTACCTATTAGCAAAAGTAGTAAATAAGGAATAAATAACGCAAAGATAATGTTTTATTATTATTATTATTATTGAGACAGGATCTCACTCTGTCACCCAGACTGGAGTGCAGTGCAGATCATGGTTCAACGCAGCCTCAATTTCCTTGTGTTCAGCCTCCCAAGTAGCTGGGACTTCTAGTTCTAGATCCCTGAGGAATCGCCACACTGACTTCCACAATGGTTGAACTAGTTTACAGTCCCACCAACAGTGTAAAAGTGTTCCTATTTCTCCACATCCTCTCCAGCACCTGTTGTTTCCTGACTTTTTAATGATTGCCATTCTAACTGGTGTGAGATGATATCTCATAGTGGTTTTGATTTGCATTTCTCTGATGGCCAGTGATGATGAGCATTTTTTCATGTGTTTTTTGGCTGCATAAATGTCTTCTTTTGAGAAGTGTCTGTTCATGTCCTTCGCCCACTTTTTGATGGGGTTGTTTGTTTTTTTCTTGTAAATTTGTTTGAGTTCATTGTAGATTCTGGATATTAGCCCTTTGTCAGATGAGTAGGTTGCAAAAATTTTCTCCCATGTTGTAGGTTGCCTGTTCACTCTGATGGTAGACCCAGACATCCCATTACTGGGTATATACCCAAATGACTATAAATCATGCTGCTATAAAGACACATGCACACGTATGTTTATTGAGGCATTATTCACAATAGCAAAGACTTGGAACCAACCCAAATGTCCAACAATGATAGACTGGATTAAGAAAATGTGGCACATATACACCATGGAATACTATGCAGCCATAAAAAATGATGAGTTCATGTCCTTTGTAGGGACATGGATGAAATTGGAAACCATCATTCTCAGTAAACTATCGCAAGAACAAAAAACCAAACACCGCATATTCTCACTCATAGGTGGGAATTGAACAATGAGATCACATGGACACAGGAAGGGGAATATCACACTCTGGGGACTGTGGTGGGGTGGGGGGAGGGGGGAGGGATAGCATTGGGAGATATACCTAATGCTAGATGACGAGTTAGTGGGTGCAGCGCACCAGCATGGCACATGTATACATATGTAACTAACCTGCACAATGTGCACATGTACCCTAAAACTTAAAGTATAATAAAAAAAAATAATAAAAAAAATAGGGTTTGTAATGTAAGTTTGATATGGTTTGGCTCTGTGTCCCCACCTAAATCTCACCTTGAATTGTAATTTCCATAATCCCCACGTGTCAAGGGCAGGACCAGGTGGAAGGAATTGAATCATGGGGGCAGTTTCCCCCATGCTGTTCTTGTCATAATGAGTGAGTCTCACTAGATCTGATGGTTTTATAAGCATCTGGCATTTCCGCTGCTTGCATTCATTCTCTCTCCCACTGCCCTGTGAAGAGGTGTCTTCCACCATGATTGTAAGTTTCCTAAGGCATCCTCAGCCATGTGGAACTGTGAGTCAATTATACCTCTTTTCTTTATAAATTACCCAGTCTCAGGTATTTCTTCATAGCAGCGTGAGAATGGACTAATATGAAGTTTTAATTTAGATAAGTCCATCTTCAAATAATACTATACTCCTTCATGTTTTTTGCTAGAACCTCATGCCAGTGTTTTCCCAATTCCTCCTTCCCACCCCTTGTGCCATTGTTGTTATACACTTTACTCTTACATATGATACAAATACATAAACATTGTCACTATTAGTTATTTAACTTTTATAGCAACTAGAAGAAATTTTAAAAACTATTTTATTACTGATGTTTTAAAAATTTATTTATGGCCAAGAGCGGTGGCTCACGCCTGTAATCCCAGCAACTTTGGGAGGCCGAGGCGGGCAGATCACAAGGTCAGGAGATCAAGACCATCCTGGCTAACACGGTGAAACCCCGTCTCTACTAAAAATACAAAAAATTAGCCAGGCGAGGTGGCGGGTGCCTGTAGTCCCAGCTACGCAGGAGGCTGAGGCAGGAGAAGGCGTGAACACCGGGGGGCGGAGCCTGCAGTGAGCCGAGATCGCGCCACTGCACTACAGCCTGGGTGAAAGAACGAGACTCCGTCTCAAAAAAAAAAAAATAAAATAAAATAAAAAAATAAAAATTAAAAAAAAAAAAAAAAAGTAGCTGGGACTACAGTCTTGTGCAGCTATGCCTGCCTAATTCTTGTTTTTTGTTTTTCTGTAGAGACGAGGTCTTGTTATGTTGCCCAGGTTGGTCTCCAACTCCTGGCCTTAAGTGATCCTCCTGCCTTAGCCTCCTCAAGTGCTGGGGTTACAGGCATGAGCCACCATGCCCCACCCAAAGAAAATATTTAAAAAATCAAAGAGCAAGTGGAACTTGGAGCAAAGGAGCAACATAGATCTAGTAAGGCCAGAATAGGCTGTGAATACAGTTGCTGGAAAGTTAGAGGAATCTACAGTGTCTGCCTCTGACCCTCATCTTCCCTTTGCATCTATTCCTGCTGGCTTTGGGACAGGGCTGTGGGATGGTCACCCTAGGCATTCCATCCTTATTTCTCCTCCAGCTGGCTGCATAGAGTTTCTATAAGGGCCCCTCATGGAAAGACTTCGTGCGATAAAAGTCAGACTTGAGATGAGTGTTTCCTAGAACTCATGCAGCTCAGGGCCCTATGGTTGCCTGTACATAGCACGAGTACTTCTTAAGAAATCACTTGTGGGATGTGTGCTCCCCAGGTGAGTGCTCCACAGGTAAGTCCACTGGCTCATTCCCTGAGGTAGCAGAACTGGTGTAGGAGGCACAAGTTTTCCAGGAGTCCTGCTTGTGATGGCCTAGGCTTCACCCTACCCCTCCTCTCAACAACAGAGCAGGACAAGGAGGAAGGAAGCCAGCTGGGGCCAGGCGCAGTGGCTCACACCTGTAATCCCAGCATTTTGGGAGGCCAAGGTAGGGGAATCACTTGAGGTCAGGAGTTAGAGACCAGCATGGCCAACATGGTGAAACCCTGTCTCTACTAAAAATACAAAAATTAGCCAGGCGTGGTGGCGTGCACCTGTAGTCCCAGCTACTCAGGTGGCTGAGGCAGGAGAATTGGTTCAACCCAGGAGGCAGAGGTTGCAGTGAGTTTGCAGTGAGACTCTGTCTCAAAAAAAAAAAAAAAAAAAAAAAAAAGACGGAAGGATGCCAGGGGTCTTTGCAAGCTGGCTGTGGGAGTGGGAGGATCCCGGGAGTCCCACTCAACCATCTGGAATAGGTCTCCAACTTGTGAGTGGGGTGGATGGTATAGAAATGTCCTGAAGGAGTAGGAGGAGGAGTTATGAGGAAACGCTCGCTGTGCAATGTATGTTCTAGAACAGGAATTGGCAAACTTCTTCTGTAAAGGGACAGACAGTAAATATTTTAGGCTCTGTGGACCATCTGGTCTCTTTTGGCAAGGACTCAGCCCTGCCCTTGGAGTGGGAAAACAGCCATAGGCAGTAGGTAAACAAATGGTCATGTTTTATGTTCCAATAAAACTTTATTTACAAAAACAAGGGCAGGTGGGATTTTGCCCACAGGCCATCGTTTGCAGATCTCTGGTTTTAGAACTTGTTTTCATAGTTAGACCCATCTCCACTGCTTCCTTGTAAGTCATTGGCAAATATTTCTGAGATTCTGTTTCCTCAAGTCTAAAGTGGGGGTGATAATAGGTCTGTCTCCTAATGTTGTACATAGTAAGTGCTCCAGAAATGGTATCTGTTGTTGCTTGGTTGTTAACTTCTTCATTATGATTATTATTTCTTGTGAGGAACAGAAGGTACTCAGGAAAGTCACCCTAGGACAAACACGATCTCCCCTCCTGGCTTAAAAATAAAATGGGAACACTGATTCTACTTAACACTTCTGTCAGTAGGCATGAGTCTCTAACATTTCCAAAACCCTCTAACATCTGTTGGCAGGTCTTTGGATAGACTTAACAGTAAATCTGAATTCCTGAAGGATCCAAACTCATTTTTGTAACTTCAAATTGGAGACTGAACTAGAGATTTTTATGGAACTGAGACAGGTCAGGACTTGATGGTGGTTTAGGAGATTAAGTCATTGTCCCCGTAAATCATATCTGACTTCTAGTTTCACAGTGTGGCAAGACCATCCTTCTGCACTCTAAATTTCTTTCTTGCCGGGCAGTCATTTGTTGCTGGACACTTAGGAAGGAACATACATTTTCCTTTTACCTCTCTGTGTGCTGCCCGAACATCCCCAAGTCCCTGCGCTGGGGACTGCCTGTGTGGTGGCTCTGTTTGTCACTGTGAGGACCCAACATGTGGTCTCTGAAAAGCTGGCTTTTATTTAATCAAAGGGCCTCTGGCACTAAGATGTCCAAATTATTTTATTTGATTTTTTCAGAGCCAATAAATCAGAGTCTGAGATATATCTTGCAGCCATCTCCTTACCTGTATCCCTACCGCCTTGATAGAGGCCATTGTGTTGCCTTCCTGGATTATTTTCACAGCCTCCAGACTGAACTCTACGCTTCTGCTCTTACGGGTCCTCACCACAGCCTCCCCACCGCCCCCATCATCACACAGCAGCCAAAGTGGTCTTGGAAACATGAAGATCAGATTACATTAAAACTTTTTAATGGGGATGGGCATGGTGGCTCACGCCTGTAATCCCAGCACTTTGGGGAGCCAAGGAAGGAGGATCGCTTGAGGCCAGAAGTTTGAAACAAGCCTGGGCAACATAGTGAGACCCCGTCTTTCAAAAAAAAATTTTTTTAAGTTGAAAGATTAGCTGGGCATGGTGGTGCTTGCCTGTAGTCCTAGCTACTTGGGAGGCTGAGGCAAGAGTCTGCAGTGAACTATGATTGTTCCACTGCACTACAGCCTAGACAACAGAGCTAGATCCCATCTACAAAAACAAAAACAAACAAAAACCAAAAACACTTTCTTTTTTCTTTTTTTGAGTTGGAGTCTCGCTCTGTCGCCCAGGCTGGAGTGCAGTGGCACGATCTCAGCTCACTGCAACCTCCACCTCCTGGGTTCAGGTGATTCTCCTGTCTCAGCCTCCCGAGTAGCTGGGATTACAGGCATGTGCCACCACACCCAGCTAATTTTTGTATTTTTAATAGAGATGAGATTTCACCATGTTGGCCAGGCTGGTCTCGAACTCCTGACTTCAACTGATCCACCCATCTTGGCCTCCCAAAGTGCTGTGATTACAGGTGTGAGCCACCACACCCTGCCCCACAAACACTTTTTAATGGCTTCCCGTCAATCTTAGAATAAAATCCCAACTTCCTGTGGAGGGTGGTACATGAGGGCCTGCATCATCTTGTCCACTTCTACCTCCTGGCCCACTGGGTACCAGCCACATGGATCTGTTTCACATTTCTCAAATAAAAGCCCTCCTGCCTCAGGACTGTGTACATGCTGATCCCTCTGAGGTGACACTTGTGTTAATTTCCTCTTTGTGCTGTGACTTCATGACCACGGACTTAGTGGCTTAAAACAACACACATTTCTTATCTTCCAGTTCTGTAGGTCAGAAGTCCAAGATGGATCTCCCTGGGCTAAAATCAAGGGGCATTCTTTCTGGAGGCTCTCAGGATAATCTGTTTCCTTGCCTTTTCCAGAGGTACAGGCAGCCTGCATGCCTTGGCTCATGGCTACATCACTCTGACCTCTGCCTCCATCATCACGTCTCCTTCTCTGACCACCCCCCTGTCTCCCTCCTTCCCTTATTAAGGACCCTTGTGATTACAGTGGAACAACCTAAATCATCCAGGATGATCACCCACCTCATGATTCTTAGTTTAATCACATCCAGAAAGTCTTTACTGCCATGTGAGGTTACATGTTCACAGGTTCTGGTGATCGGGACGTGAACATCTCTAGGGGCCACTGTGCTCTTGTGAAACAGCTGATCCCTCTCCATCTTCTGGTCTTGATTTAAATGCACCTTCCTTAGAGAGGCTTTTGCCAACACCATCTGCATTGACTTCTGATTTTCTCTTCCACAACACCCTGTTATTTTGCTTTATAGCAATTCCTTCAATAAACATGTCTCTATTATGTAAGCCTTTTTAAAATTAGGTAGTCTGTGTCCTAAAGCTGAAGACATCCTTGCTACAAAAACCTTAACAGCCTGCACCTCAGCCCCCTAAGATCCTCTAGTCAGAGGAACCTCCTTCTCTCCACCCAAAAGCTTGGTTCTGCCCTGCCCTGGTCGCACATAACATCTTTTCTTCTTCTTCTTCCTCTTCTTCTTCTTCTTCTTCCTCTTCTTCTTCTTCTTCTTCTTCTTCTTCTTCTTCTTCTTCTTCTTCTTCTTCCTCTTCCTCCTCTTCCTCCTCTTCCTCCTCTTCCTCCTCTTCCTCTTCTTCCTCTTCTTCTTCCTCTTCTTCTTCCTCTTCTTCTTCTTCTTCTTCTTCTTTTTTTTTTGACAGGGTCTTACTGTGTTACCCATGCTGGAGTGCAGTGGCACAATCATGGCTCACTGCAGCCTCCACCTCCCAGGTTCTAGCAATCCTCCTACTTCAGCCTCCCAAGTAGCTGGGACAACAGGTGTGCATCACCATGCCCAGATAATTTTTTATTTTTTGTAGAGATGGGATCTCACTGTGTTGCCCAAGCTGGTCTCGAGCTTCTGGGCTCTAGCTATTCACCTACCTTGAGAAGGAGCAGGAGCATCTTAAAGATGATCTTGGCTTACCCCCAAGTCAGTCTTGCTGCTGAGCTCCAATGTCCAGTTTGGTTGGGATCTCAGTGGCACAGACTTCTCATGCTGTCTCAGTGGGGCACTGGGCTAGTCGGGGAGAAGGTTCAAGACTAGAGGGGCTTAGCTTGTTGACATGAATATGCCCTGCCAGTTACAGTGTTACTAGCAGGACTTTATCCTTGTCTGAATCAGCAAATGGCCTGTCTGGTTAGAGTGCTTGCATGCTCTAAAATGTATGATCTTAATCACAGCTCAGTGAGAATATTTGCAGGCAGAAGACTCTCTGTTTTAGGTTGGGCTCCCTGGAAGCAGACGCTGAGACGAGGATTTGTGTAAAAGTGATTTATTATGAGGGGTTCTCAGAAACACTAGTAGGGGAGTGGGAAAATAGAATGGAGAAGAGAAGAAGCCAAGAAGGGTGTTGGATCAAGCAAGGTCCTACAGGAGGACTGCTGTGGCTCAGTCCCCAGGACAGCTCCAGGGAGAGTTCAGGCTGCTCCTTGCAGTTTTCCGATCAAGACAAGAGAGCTGGCGTGATGTTTCAGAGACAGGGGCTTGCTCTGTCACCAAGGTTGGACTGCAATGGTGCGATCATAGGTCACTGCAGCCTCAAACTCCTGAGCTCAAGCAATTCTCTTGCCTCAGCCTCCCAAATAGCTGGGACTATAGGCACTCACCACCATGTCCGGCTATTTTTAATTTTTTTTTTTTGTAGAGATAGGGTCTTGCTGTGTTGCCCAGGCTGGATTTGAACTCCTGGCCTCAAGTGATCCTCCTGCCTTGGCCTCCCAAAGTGTTGAGATTACAGGCATGAGCCATTCCACCCGGCCAGCTGGCATGCTTCTAAGCCTGCCTTCACCACTAATTGGTTAAGGGCTGGCCTCCAAGGGGAGTGCAAATTCCCAGGCACTCCAGTCTCAGCACACACAGGCAAAGTGAGAGCAGCCCTCTGCCAACATGCAGGTGCTGGCTAAGAGAAAGCACACAAGGAGCTGTGTGCAGAGCGTGGTCTGAGTGCGTGTGGGCAGAGGCCCCAAGAGCCCTGCTATGTGCTCTTATTCCAAGTGGATCCATTAGTTTGTTCTGCACACATTCATCCATCTTCAACTCTGTGCCAGGCTCTGGGCATGCAGGCGACAAAGACACAGCCCTAACCCTCATGAAATTTTTACAGCCAAGTAGGGGAGACAGACATTAAGTTTTAAAAATCCTCCCAAAATGAGGAACTGTGATTGTGAGTAGCGCTGTGGATGAGAAGAACACCTGGGAGGAGACCTCGTCTAGCAGGTGGGCGGGGATGAAGCTTCTCCAAACAAGTGACGCTGAGCCAAGAGCTGAAGGATGAGTAAGAGTGAACCAGGCATAAAAGGGAAGAAGGAGCATTACAAGCCTGGGGTGCATGTGCAAGGGTCCTGGGGCAGGAATCCACAGGAGCAAGTGAAAGGCTGGTGTGACTGGGGTCCGAAGACCCAGGGGAGAGCAGTAAGTGATGAGCCTGTGGGTTGCTGAGGAGTGATTATTCCCCACTTACCACCTGGTTCCTTTTCGAGCCTGTTCAATGTCGTTCAGACCCAGATGTGTGAGCCATTCTCTGGTACGTTCCCTGGAAGCAGAGGGGAAATGGGGACATAGCGAGGATGTTAGGGTGGAAGAGACTATTTTCAATGGTTCATCTTTTCCCCACTGAAGCTTATAGCTGAAATTAATACATAAATTTACAGCCACAAGTCAGTTGTGATAAATAATCCCAGAAGTGTTCCGATTATTTACATTTTTATGGAATCTTGCCTGAGCAAACCCAGAGAGCACACCAGGCACTTGAAGAATTATGTCTTGTTCAAAACCAATTTAATAGCAATGGAAAATAAAGCCATCTGTGGGAACTTGTAGAGCAGAGTAGTAATTCTCTGCCAGATGAGCAATATACAAAAAGCACCAAATCAACCCGAGCACACCAAGCGTTTGCACAGTTCAAGGGAAAGTAACAACTGCAACTTCAATGAACCGTCGGAAGACATCAGGCCTCAGAGTGTCTTTTGCTTGTGTTTTCAGCAGATGTCAGACAGATGAGGATTCTGCTCACGTAGCAATGTGAGAAGAGTCCCTCATGGTCTCCCTACATACAGTGGGGCTGACTGGTGAGAGGCTGTGCAAAAGGGAAGAAAGATCACATGGCGGAGGGGTTAAGAGCATGCGTTTGGGGCCAAAGAGTTGGGAGTTTGCATCTGGGCTCCCCCACTTACTAGCTGGGTGACATAGGGCAAGTCATTGTTTCTTATTTTCCTAATGTGTAAAAATGGGTAATATATGTGAGTGTTTTTCTCTCCCAGTCCAGCATCCTTTCCCCCTGTGTTAGTCTGCTTTGCATTGCTGTAAAGAAATGCCTAAGTCTGGGGTCTGGGTAATTTATAAGGAAAAGGGGTTTATTTTGGCTCACAGTTTTGCAGGCTGTACAGGAAGCATGGTGCTGTCTTGGAGCTCAGGAAGCTTCCAATCATGGCGAAAGGCGAAGGGGGAGCCCATGTGTCACATGGCAAGAGAGGGAGCAAGAGAGAGAGGGGGAGGTGCCAGACTCTTTTAAACAACCAGATCTCATGTGAACTAAGAGCAAGAACTCACTTATTACTGCAAGGCGGGCACCAAGCCATTCATCAGGGATCCACCCCCATGACCCAAACACATCGCACCAGGTCCCACTCCAACACTGGGGATCACATTTCAACATGAGACTTGGAGGGGACAAATATCCAAACCATATAATCCCCAATCTAACAGCATCATGGTTTCCTCTTTTCTCTTGCTTATTTTTTCATGGTTTATTATTTATTTTTTAACAGCTTTATTGAGGTATAATTTACATACATTAAAATTCACCCGTTTAAAATGTACAGTTCGATGAGTTTTAGCAAATTCATATAATGCCACAATTATCTCTACAATCCAGTTTTAGAAAACTTCCATCTCTCCCAAAAGTTTTCTCATTTCCATTTATAGTCAATCCCAACTCCAACCTCCAGCTCCAGGCAACCACCAATGTGGTTACCATCTCTACTGTTTCCCTTTTTCTAGAAATTTCATGTAAATGGAATCATACAATATATAGTCTTATATGTCTGTCTTCTTTCACTTAACATAATGTTTTTGAGATTAATCTATGTTGTTCATTTATTTATTTATTTTTTGAGACGGAGTCTCACTCTGTCGCCAGGCTGGAGTGCAGTGGCACGATCTCGGCTCACTGCAGCCTCTGCCTCCCGGGTTCAAGCAATTCTCCTGCCTCAGCCTCCCGAGTAGCTGGGACTACAGGCGCGTGCCACCACACCCAGCTAATTTTTGTATTTTTAGTAGACATGAGATTTCACCATGTTGGCCAGTATGGTCTTGATTTCCTGAGCTCATGATCCGTCCGCCTCGGCCTCCCAAAGTGCTGGGATTACAGGCATGAGCCACCATGCCCGGCTGATCTATGTTGTTTTAAGTATGTATAGTTTATTCGTTTTTATTGCTTTATGTATACACCACATTTTGTTTACCCATTCACTAATTGATGGATTTAGATGAATTTGAATTTGGATTGTCCACTTTTTTTGGCTGTTATGAATAATGCTGCTTTGAGCAATTGGATATATGTCTTTGCCCTGATATATCCTGCATTTGAATCTTGATTAAATACTTATGAGTGGAATTGCTGGATATTTGGTGCATAACTTAAAAAACTGCCCAATTGTTTTCAAAAGTGGCTGCACAATTTTACATTCCTACCATCAATATATGAGGATTACAGTTACTCCATGTCCTTACTAACATTAGGTATTGTTGGCCTTTTCTATCTAACCATTCTATTAAGTGTGTCATGGCATCTCATTGTGGCTTAAACTTGCATTTCTGCAACAGCTAATGGTATGGAGCAACTTTTTATATGCTTATTATTCATTGGTATATCATCTTCTTTGGTGAACGGTCTATTCTTTCATTTATTTAAAAAATTAGGTTATCTATCTTCATATTATCGAGTGTAAGCATTCACTGTGTTCAGTACAGGTCCTTTATGTGTTTTGCAGATATTTTCTTCCAGTCTATGGCTTATCTTTTCATTTTTCTTGGTGGCATCTTTTAAAGCGCAAAAATGTTAAATTCTGATGAAATCTAACTTGTCAATTTTTTTCTTTCATGAATTGTACTTTTTAGGGTTATTTCTAAGAAATGTTTGCCTAGCTCAAAGTCACAGGAGTTTTCCTCCCAGCCCAAGGTCACACAAGTTTTCCTCCTATGTTTTCTTCTATATGTTTTATAGTTTTAGCTCTTATATTTAGGTTTCTGATCCATTTTGAGTATTTTGAGTTAATTTTTGTGTGTGAGGTAAGGGCCTAAGTTCTTTTTTTTTTTTTTTTTTGACAGGGTCTTGCTCTGTTGCCCAGGCTGGCGTGCAGTGGTGCAATCATAGCTCACTGCAGCCTCAGACTTCTGGGCTTAAGCAATCCTCCTGCCTCAGCCTCTCCTGAGTAGCTGGTACTACAGATGTGCAACACCACCATGCTCAGCTAATTAAAAAAAATGTTTTTTAGAGATCTTTTTAGGTCTTGCTATGTTGCTCAGGCTGGTCTTGAACTCTTGGCCTCAAGCGATCCTCCCGCCTCAGCAGCATATATGTATCCAACTGTTCTAACACCATGTGTTGAAGATTGTCCTTTTCTTCTTGAATTACATTGTCCACTTGTTGAAAGTCATTTGATCATTTGTGTGTGGATTTATTTCTAGGCTCTTTTAGTTTCCTTTTGAGGAATAAGCTCTTTTCTATTTGATGCAGATTCATAGGACAGTAATAGGAGAATTGATCTGGGATTCTCTGAGGCTTTCAACCTAGGATTTGAATCTCGAGCAGAGAGAAAGACTTTGGTTATAATAGTGGTTTCGTAGCCACAAAACTATCAATGGTAACAGCTAGCACCCATATGGCTCTAAGTGCCCAGCACTCATGCAAAACACTTTAATTATATTAATTCATTTAACACTTATAATAAAACCATCAGACACATACTATCATTGTCCCCATTTCTCAGAGGGGAAAACCAAGGCATGCAGAACCTAAGTAACTTGCCAACCTCAAAATTAGTAAGTAGCAGGGCCAGGATTTGAACCCAGGAAGTCTGGCTCCAGAGCCCATGCCTTATTTTTTTAGAGACAGGGGTCTCAGTATGTTGCCCAGGTTGATCTTGAACTCCTGGGCTCAAGCGATCCTCCTGCCTCAGCTTCTTAAATAGCTGGGATTATGGGTGAGCCACTATACCCAGTGTGAGCCTATGCTTTTAAACATCAGGCTATCCTGTGTTGGTTATGATTCCTCTTTTCTACCCTCTGGGGATGCCTTAGTTCCTGTCTTCTTCCAGGCTTGGCCATAGTATAAGCCCATCTTAGAGGATCTGGTCCCAATTTCCTCCCAGGAAATGGTACAGGAGTTGCTGAAGGGGTTTACTTCCTGGGGTAACATTGTCAGATGTACGTTTAAAAAACAACTGTGATTTCCACCACAAAGTGATATTTTCTTCAATAGTGTGTGAGTTTGCTAGGGTTGCCGTAATGAAATTCCACAGGCTGTGTAGCGGAAAGAACAGAAATTTACATCTCACAGTTCTGGAGGCTGGAAGTCCAAGATCAAGATGTTGGCAAGTTTGCTTTCTCTTGAGGCCTCTCTCCCTGGGTTGCAGGCGGCACCTTCTTGCTACATCCTTACATGCCCTTTTCTCTGTGCACACCCATCCCTGGTGTCTCTTCCTCTTCTTATTAGGACACCAATCCTATTGGATTAGGCCCCACCCTTATGACTTCATTTAACCTTAATTACCCCTTTGCAGGCCATATCTCACATTGGGGGTTAGGATTTCAGCATATGAATGAGGGGCAATAATTTAGTCTATAACAAATAGCTACAATTTGATGGAACATTTATTATCTCCTGTCTGTGCTAAGTAATTCCCATGCAGTCTTTCATTTCATCCCATACTAGCTTTGCAACCTTAGACAACTAACAACCTCTCTGTGCTGAGTTTCCTCATCTGCAAAATGGGGACACAAATAGTACCTGCCTTATAGTGTTGTTACGAGTATTACGAGTATTAAATCAACGAATATGTGTAAAGCACCTAGAACAGTGTCTGGTGCAGAGAGTTTGTTAAATAAATAAACCCGCGCTGTGAAGTTGGTAGAATTCACATCCAAAGATAAGCAAACCAAGCTCCTCTGAGGATATGAAGCAAGCACTTTGTCCAAGGTCAACTGGCAGAAACATGTTTAAATTCAGTGCTGTGGGCAAGGTGCGGTGGCTTACACCTGTAATCCCAGCACTTTGGGAAGCTGAGGTGGGCAGATCACCTGAGGCCAGGAGTTCGAGACCAACCTGGCTGACATGGTGAAATCCCGTCTCTACTAAAAATACAAAAATTAGCCAGGTGTGGTGGCGGATACCTGTAATCCCAGCTACATGGGATGCTGAGGCAAGAGAATCTCTTGAACTTGGGAGTTGGAGGTTGCAGTGAGACGAGGTCGTGCTACTGCCCTCCAGCCTAGGCAACAGAGCAAGACTCCGTCTCAAAAAAAAAATCACTGTCATCCTGGATCCTTGTAATGGGCTCAGGAACTGGCCCCAGAGTCCTGGTAGATTCTAGCGTGCGTCTCCAGGGAAGGAGAGACTGACCAATCTTACATTTGGAGAGCAGGACTTAAGAAAAAGCAATCACCAACGGCCATTCTGCCCAAGCAGAACTCGCACTCTGATCCACTGCAATCCACTGCCTCGAGTGATCGGTAGGGAATTTTTCAGGTGAGGAAGCGGGAATACAGCAGAGAAATCTATGCCATGCTTTGGGAGAAAGAGCAGGAATTCCATGTGACTGAAGCGGCAGGTGGCTGGGGGGATAGGGCAGTGGGGAGGCAGGGGCTTGGAAAGTGGGGAAGCTGAGCCACAGTTGTGCACATTGGGACTTGTCTGTCCTGTCTGCCCTTTGTGTTGTAGGCCACAAGGATGCACTGGAGAGTTTTATGCAGGATCACTGACTGCATCAGTATCAAGCCACAAAAATGGATTCTGGCCAACTTAAGCCAAAAAAACAAAAGCTAAAATAGAAAGAAAGCTCTTTTGAAAAGGCTGCCTCAAAGATCTAGGCAACAGGAACTAACTGAAAACCCATTAAGGTACCTTACCACGTTTCTCCGGAATGGGGCCTGGGGGGCACCTCCAGGCCTATTCTAGGGAGAGCTAATCTGATTGGTTTAGCCTGGGTCACATGACCATGCCTGGGCAGGCAGAGAGCCTCTTGATTGACAGTCCCACCCGACAGTTTTGAATGAGGGAGGGAGGTTCCCCAGCGTGAGGGTGGGTGCTGTTGCCTGAGGAAGGGGAGTTGTTTAAAACAAGAGGAGAAGCTGCAAGTAGACTACTAGTAACGAGAGAGCAGACCTGAGAAGCAAACCAGAAAAAGGGACTTCTATTAATTTGTCACCAGGACACACTGCCGTTTCATGTGCAATGCAGCTGTGCTTCAAATCGGCCCCCTGTGTAATTTCAAGGATAAATATAGAGCTTTTTCAATAGTTAAAAAAAATCTAATGGCAAGAACTAGATACATTTCTGTGCGTTTTATGAAGAAATTTACTATTTTTTTGAGTAGAGAATACTTGAGTAATATATTCATGTAGTTCAGAACTCAACATGATGCAAAAATATATACACGTGACAGTCTCATTCACATCCCATTCTCACCCTCAGGCTTATATGTAAGCACTTACTTGTTTCTTATATACCCTTCTGGTTTTTTTTTATTATTATTTATTTTTTATTCTGCTATAAGTTCAGATGAGTATGTATGAGTATATGAAAGATTTGTGCTGAATTTCCTTTCTGGATGGTGTTGGGGACCTGAGGAAGCCCAGGGGAAGTTGGAGGTCTATTTCATCAGCCTAGTAACACCTCTGGGATTCTCCCATTGACCCTAGGTCTTTTGTGGGGTCTTGGGTACACTACAGTCCTCGGCCCCCTGCTGTATTTCTGGGGGAAGGTCTCAGGCTTCCGGGCCTGGGAATAAGTACTCTTATTTCAATGGAATACTCCAGTTCTTCAGGCCTGGGGAATGTAGGAGTTCAGCTTAGTTTCCAGATTCCTCCCAGTCCTCTAGGGCAGGGGTCTGCAAACTGCAGTTGGAGGGCCAAATCCTGTCCATCACTTGTTTTTTTTTAAATAAAGTTTTATTGGAACACAGCCACAATAATTTGTTTACATATTACTTGTGGCTGCTTTTGCTTTATAGCAGCAGAGTTGAGTCATTGAGACAAAGATGGTACAGCTTTTGAAATCTAAAATATTTTTTATGTTGTTCTTTATGGAAGTTTGCCAGTCCCTGCTGTGAGAGCTGAAAAGGAAATGAGGACCTTGTTCTGGAAGTGCTTCCCAGTGGTTGGAGAAGCCCTTAGTGGCCCAAAACGAGGAGGCCATCACTGCAGAGAAGGAGCAGCTCAGTCAAAAGTCTGGGAGTCATCCTTGTCACCTCCTTTCCTTCATCCTATCCCCACCCCACATTCGATTCCATACCAATGACTCTTGATTTTTCTTCTCCAAAATATTTCTGGATTCTGTCCTCTTCTCTCCGTCTCCAGCAGCATCACTGCTTCATCTCTTGCCTGGACCACTGCAGTCACCTCCTCAGCCCCTTTCCTCCTGCTTTCACGGTGAGGCTGTTGCAATCCATTCTCCACCGAGCAACCGAAGTCATCCTTGCAAGGTGTGGATCTGAAAATCCTTCAATGGCTTCCTGTTGCACTTGGGATAGTGACCCAAAGCACAATCTGGCCTCTGCCCACTTCTCCGGAGCCCTCTTGTGTCATGCCTACCACCAGCTCTCTCTGCACTCTGGCCACACTGGTGGTGCTGGGCTCCTCCGGAACAGGGCTTTCCCACAGACTATTTCCTGTGCCCACATGCTCCCCACTCTTCCTGCTTTTCCAGTGAGCTCCTTCTCATCCTTCAGGTGTTACCTTGACCATCACTTCCTCTGACAAATCTCTCTTGACGTCTTTTACTGGGTAAATGCCCTCATTACAGGCTGCTGCAGCCCTGTGTCCCCATTCTCCTGAATCGTGTTGAAGTTGCAGTTCTACATGTATGTGTGAGTGTGTGTGTGTGTGTGTGTGTGTGTGTGTGTGTGTGTGTGTGTGTTGGTCACCTTCTCCATGAAGGCAGGAACCCACATCTGGCCTTGCTGACTATGGCGTCCCCATTGCCTAGTATAGTGCTTGGCACATAGACCCTCCATAAATATTTATCAAATAGATAAATAATGAATCTTACTCCATTCCAGCCATTTCCGGGTATGGGAGAGATTCTGCTCTGCTCTGCAACTTGCTGAGGTTTTAGGTGCCAAAGTCTTAACTTCATCCCTTGAGAACCACGTTTAACAGAGTGAGTTGGCAGAGCCAACCTAGCCTGGTGTTGATTGAATGCCACTTTGAGATGGCAGCTGCTGTATTTCTTCCAGTTGGTGTCTCCAGCCCCAAACAGGGTGTACACGACAAGCTTTTCTCCAGACTGTGTCTTGGAGATCTGTCATACCAAGAGGGATGGATGCTTGTTCCATTTGCTTTTCCAGCTTCTCTGCACCTGGTCTCCCCACAACCCAACCAGTGAAGATGCTAGTGAGGAAGGCAGACAGGTGTCTCAGCGCCTTCCCCATCCACACCCCCACTAGCTGTTAAGTATTCCATGGGATCCAGACAGAGAATTTTATTTGTTTTTCTGGACCCAAGCTGCCCCTTGACACAGCCGGTGATTGCTTTTTTTTTAAAAACCACGAAGGAGAAACTAGGTTTTTTCATATACTGATAAGGTGTCAGGTGACAGAGAGATCAGCATCCCAACACATAAATCTGCAACTAATCCTTAGAAATCAATATTTTTCATTAAGAACCTGTGAGAGTTGGACCATTATGGGGAAAATCTGTTTAGGTTGACACCTTGATGAAGTTATTCAGTTCAGGGGCTTAAGTCATTGAAAGGTAATAAAGAGCACGGAGCAATCTTGGGACTGGTTAGGGGAGAAAACGATGGGAGTATTTAGCTTCAGTTCAGTGAAAAATGACCTCCTGATTTATTGGGGAATGATGGGGTGCTGGCCTCTTGGGCAGGCTGAGCCAGACACCATGCACATGGCAGCCTTTCACTCTCACCACCTCTCCTCCCTCTGCAGTCACTGCTGTTTATAAGCTGCCTGGCAATAACAAAGCAGTAGGGATATATTTAGAGGGTTTGGGAGATTTCCAATATTCTCTAAGTCCCCACCCACATAATGCTCTTTCACATTTTGGACTTTCTCCTGTAGGTCACAAGGAATGGGGGTATTTAATTATTCTAATAGTTTAACAATGAGATTGAATTCACTTTTGTAAAATTGCCTTTATGACCTATTAGATCTGAAAGGACCCAGTTCATTGTCAGAAAGAACCAGGGTTATTCGAAGCCAATCCCTGGTATCGTCAGGATCAAAAGGGTAGCATCAAATATTTCCTCGTGGGTCTCAATTGTCCATAGACAATCACATTGGATGGGATCTAGGAAGTACATTTTCTTATCTCTCTCTCCTTCTCTCCTTTCTTTCTTTCTCTTTCTTTCTTTTTTCTTTCTTTCTTTCTCTTTCTTTCTTTCTTTTCTTTCTTTCTTTCTCTCTCTCTCTCTTTCTTTCTTTCTTTCTTTCTTTCTTTCTTTCTTTCTTTCCTTCCTTCCTTCCTTCCTTCTCTCTCTCTTTCCCTTCCTTCCTTCCTTTCTCTCTTTCTCGCCTCTCCTTCTCTTACTCTTTCTTTCTTTCTTCCCTGTCCATGATCCCAGATCCATCTTTCTCCAGTCCTCTGTAATCAATGCCAGATGACAGCCATTCCTGATTTTGTCCTGGGAACTGCATGGTGGATTCTCACATTCTTGGAGTAGACCATTTAGAAGACAAACAAATCTCTGTCTTATGACTATTGATTCCCTCTCAGCATAACTTTCATCCATTTATAAGTGCTGGCAGCCACGCTGCATGGAAATATCCCTTTGGTACCTTCTTGAAAGGTCAACAGAGTGCTGCAGCACAGTGTTTTAGATTTGATGAAATATGATATGATTTCTGATTTAATACAGTTGAAAGATGTCCTGTCTGGGTGTGAGGCTGAGGAAGTATTCAAGTGATGAAAGGTACAGAGAGTCCCATTCCACTGAAAAGCCACACTGGCAGCTGGGTGGGATGTGTGTGGGCAATTGCAGTAGGGATAGTAAGAGGAGGGTGGATTCAAGAAAGAGTTAAGAATTCAAATGGATAGGAGTGCTAACAATTTGGATTAGGAATCCGTTCATGTGTTGAGCTTTCACTACCTCCTCATCACTTAGAAAGAGTGGGAGGAAAAAGAAGATAAGAAGAGCCAAGAAGGGAATTCAGATGAATGTCAAGAACTAAGGCACAAATAGAGGCACAGTCAGAGAGAGAGAGGGAAAAGCAGAAGGGAGTGGAGTCAGGGGAGCCAAGGGTGGAGAAGGACAGAAGGATTGACCGAGCCACTGTCCTCAGAGGTTGTGTAAGATCACTACTCAAAATGTCTATTTCGCTGGGCAAATATGGTGTTTTCTATGACCCTACTCAGAACTGGCTCAGTGCGGTGATGAGAGCCAGAGAGCAGTGGATGGAGGGGTGGGTAGAACTCAAATCCTGGGGCTTCTCTCTTGCTGTGTTCCACAGAGCTATGTTTCCAGATATGTCACCCTCACAGAGCATGATGTGAATGGCACTCCTGGAGGTTCTGGATGGAAGTGGAGTCCCTGAGCATAGACTACACTACTCTTGAGTCTCTTGGCTGAGAAGAGAAGGGAGGAGGCAGTAGCTAGTGGGGAGTATCTAGCTCTGAGGGGATGGTGGTGGTGAAGAGGCATCCATTACTATTAAAAACAAAGAGGGGCCAGGTGCGGTGGCTCACACCTGTAATCCTAGCACTTTGGGAGGCCAAAGTGGACAGATCGCCTGAGGTCAGGAGTTCAAGACCAGCCTGACCAACATGGTGAAACCCCGTCTCTACTAAAAATAGAGAAAATTAGCCTGGTGCAGTGGCACGCACCTGTAATCCCAGCTACTTGGGAGGCTGAGGCAGGAGAATCGCTTGAATCCGGAAGGCAGAGGTTGTGACGATGAGCTGAGATCGTGCCACTGCACTCCAGCCTGAGTGACAAAGCAAGACTTTGTCTCAAACAAACAAACAAACAATAAAACAAACAGGGCAGGAAATAAATGAAAGGGTGGGATCTAGAAAAAAAATGGGGAACCTAACTTTGTACAGGAGCCACCTGTCTTCCACTGAGCAGCAGGAAAGGGGATAAGTGTCCACCCATCCCTAGCTCTTTAATGGAGCTCGTTCCCTGATACAACATACGCTGGGATTCTGTTGGGCTCAGTCTTTTTCTAGATCACAGTTGCCAGGCCAGACCAGGAATTGGGCTCAGTGTTTTTCTAGATTACAGTCTGGCTTGCCTACATGAGCTGTCAGTCTAGCTCTTATTTCCTGGCAGTGTATTCTAACACCTCATCCATTCACTTATCCATTCAACAAGTATTCATTGAGCACCTACTCTGTTCTAGATATTGTACTAGGCACAGGTGAGTACAAAGCTGAACACGATCCAATTCCTGTCCCCAAGGAGCTTAGAGTTTTGTGAGAGAGGCCAACAAGCAAACAGGAGATTACAGCATCATGTGGTAGGGGCTTTTCTATGGGTAAATCGCAGGCAACAGACTCAGTCTTGGAGCAAGATGCTACCTGGAAGAAGAGACATCTGAGACTAAAAGGGCAAGTGCAGTTTAGCCAAGCCAAGAGGTGGTAGGAATGGTATTTTGGGAGAAGAGCAGTCCAGTGAAAAGGCTCAATGGGTAGGGAAGGAGTGGCACATTGGATGAATGGAATAAGGCCTAAGAGGCTGGACTGTGGATTGAGAGGAGGGAAGTGGCAAGAAGTGAGGCTAGGGGAGAGTTTCTTAGCCTTGGGACAATTCACATTTGGTGCTGGGGTAACTCTTTATTACAGAGGTCTGTCGTGCACACTCTAGGATGCTTAGCATCCCTGGCCTCTTCCTGCTAGATACCAGTAGTACTCATTCCCTGCTTGTGACCACCAAAAATGTCTCCGGGCATTATTGCCAAATATCCCCAATTGGAGGTGGGGGAGCAAAATCACCCCCGACTGAGAACCACTGAATTAGAAAAATCAGGCAGGGATCCTATCGAAAAGGGTCCTACAAATCATGATAAAGAGTTAGGGCTTTATCTGGGAGGCAATGGGCAGCCCTTGAGGGTTTTAATCATGGGGTGGGGGAGGGGTTCCACGAACAAATCCATGACTTAGAAAGATCACCTTGGCTGCAATGACCCAGAGATAGAAGTGAGATCAAAGGCAGGAAGACCACTTTTGAGGCTGCTGCTGTGACCCTGGTGAGAGAGAATGGGGACACGGATCAGGGGGCAATACAGTTCTGGTGGCCCAGTGAGATGTTTTCTTTGGTTTACAAATCTCAGCTTCTCTCTCCCCCTACCCTGTTTCAGGATGTTCCCTGAGTTGGAGACAGTGGTTCTCAAACTTTGTGGGCAGTCACCAAGAGTGCTAATAATAAGTGCAGTGGCTCAGGCTCCTTGAAGGAGGAAAGGGCCCAGGCCTTGGCATTCCTCCTGGCTTCCCTGGGTGATTCTGATTCCCACCAGCATTTGGAAACCATTGACTTAGGGTATCCATAGCTACAGGCAAGATACATTCTGTGGGTCTCAGTCCCACCTGACCTGCAGAATCTGGGATGAATGTCCCACCTGATGCACAGAATCTGGGATAAATGTCCCACCTGATCCATGGAATCTGGGATGAATGTGCTACCTGACCTGCAGAATCTGGGATAAATGTCCCATTTGACTCTCGGAATCTGGGTTGAATGTCCCACTTGACCCACAGAATCTGAGATAAATATCTAACCTACGCACGGAATCTGGGATAAATGTCCCACCTGACCCATGGAATCTGGGATAAACATCTGACCTACCTGTGGAATCTGGGATAAATGCCTCACCTGACTCATGGAATCTGGGATGAATGTCCTACCTGACCCGCGGAATCTGGGATGAATGTCCTTCCCCTAGACGTGGTCTTTTCCAGGCTGCTCAGGGTTCATACTCGGAACACTTGGTTCCTGGGCGTCCCTCCTGTCACATATCTGGGAGCAGTGCATGAGGTCCTGGTTGTGAAATTGCATATGTGCCTCTTGCTGACAGCTCCTGCAGGTCAGGGGATGCCTTGAGGACAGAAGTTGGCCATGGACATGTCTGCTGCTCCCATACAAGAGAAATTCGTAGGTGATTCCAAGCCCAGCTTCCTGGCCCTGATGCAGTCATATATCAAAATAAAGAGGGGCTGTTTCCAGGGGAACCTAGGCAACAGTAATAACAATAATCAAGAACAGTAGTGATAACAGCAATGGTAAGAACTGCCATTTACAGGGGGCTTACAGTGTACCAGGCATTATGCTGAGAACATCGTATATATTATATCATTAAATCTTCACACTAAACTAGAACATAATTGCTAGAACATTACCCACATGTTACTGATAAGAAAAGGGAGGCTCACAGAGGTTAAGAAACTTGCCCGAGTTCATGTAGCTATTAAAAGGTAGAATTAGGAACTCAGGTCTGCTTGACTTGAGCATAAGCTCCTAACCACCGCACAGCCACTATAACCTTTCCCACGTCAGCCCAGCATCCATCTCCAGTAACTTGAGACAGAGAATTTGCGAGTCCTTGTTTAGCCCCTGAGTATATCCATTAGGATCATGTTTGTCTGTGACAGAAACCCCAAATAAAAGTAGTTTATGCAAGGTGGAATTTTGTCTCCTCTAAAAAAGAAGTCCAGAGGTATGCAGTTTAGAGCTGGTGTTATGCCCCTTTTACCTTGATGCTCTGTGATTCTCAGCAGACGACTGCTACCTCATGATCCAAGATGGCAGCTCACATGAAGCCATCACATCTGCATTCCAGCCAGCAGTAGGGAGGAAGGATCAAAGAAGGTGCTGTCTTTCTCCGAAGTCACACATAACCCTAGTTACATGTTGTTAGCCAGAACTTAGTCACATAATACCCAGTAGCAAGGGAATCTGCTCATCAACTAAAAATGAGTGTTTATTTCTAAGGTAGGCAGAGGAGAAGAAATTAGTGGCAGCTAATGGTCTCTGCCAGTGGAATGCTGCTAAGGATCTAGGCTAGATAATTTTTTAGATTGTTTTATTTTACAACTTTCACTTTTGTGGGTACATAGGAGATGTATATATTTATGGGGTACATAAGATATTTTGACACAGACATACAATGTGTAATAATCACATCAGGGTAAATGGGGTATGTATCACCTCAAGTATCTATCCTTTGTGTTACAAACAATCCAGTTATACTCTTTTAGTATTTTAAAATGTATAGTTAGATTATTATTGGCTGTAGTCAATCTATTGTGCTATCAAACACTAGATGTTACTCATTCTTTCTATTTTTTGTAGACATTAACCATCCTCCCCTCCCCCTATTCCCCATCATCCTTCCCTTCCCAGCCTCTGGTAACCATCACTCTAGGTTAGATAAATGTTTTGGGAGGGTAGCCATGTAATTTATCATCGTAAGTGGGACACTTTGGGGGAGCAAAAGAAAGCACTAAAAATACTGAATAGGTATGAATAGATTTAGTTCAGGCATGGGACTGTCCAGGAGAATTGGAATGTAAAATCACCCTACTGGAGGAATCTGCCTCCTGTATTAGAAACAAGACTGGGTCAAGGTCGTTCTCATTATAAACCTGATAAAGTCCGACTCCATCCCTGCAGAATGTATATGTCCACTCTCTGGCTGGCTCTCAGCACAAACATTTTGATTGAGGTTTTGTCTAAATGCCAACTTGAGGTAACATCTTTGCCTTAGGTATTTGTCCTCAAAGGGCAGCAACCACCATTGATTTCTGCACTATGTGGCAGCTGTTTAATTCATTCCTTACCTAATTTCCCCTCCACCCTCTGAGGTCTATGAGTCAGGTGCTATCATCTCCAGTTTACATGCATCCACTGAGGCTGGGGGTGGTGGGGTTGAAAGACGTTCCCAAAGTCCCTCAACAAATAAATGGCAGAGCCTGGGTTTGAACTGGTACCTTGTGGATACTGAGCACCCTTCTTATAACCACTCTATTATACTTCAGCCCCATCTCAGGCCATCCACTTGCCTACCTGACCCACTGTACTGCTCACCTGTCTTTTCCATTCCTGATTCCATAAACTGGGCTGCCTCATCACTGGGGCAACCATTTGGACCTCCTAGTTGATGTTCCTTTGTTATTCAAACCTCCTCCTTAGCTCCACATCCTCTCCTTTCCTATTCCACTCTCAGCTCTCCATGCCATCTTGGTTTCTATTCATTGGTAGCTCCATGGCCTTGGGCCCTTCATGGAGCTCAGACCAACTGGATCATCTCTGAGGTTTTCCCCACAGTGAGGAAGGATGAAGATAAGACACAAAGAATGGAAGACGTAGAGGCAGAGAAGTTTGCTGGTGGAGCGGTGGAAGCTTTAAGCTCTTCCTACTGTTGGCCACAGCTTTATAGGAGAAAGAAGATGTGGGGTCTTAAGAACTCACCTTGAAGATATGGAAGGGGGAGCTGACCAGGTGCACTTGAAAGGATGGCATAGCAGCATGAGAGCTCTGCAGAGGTTGAAGAGTTTGTATGTAGAGCTGCACCAGTTCACAGTGTGGTGTGATTTGCTTTACTATGGCTCAGTCTCCTCTGGGATGGGGAAAGAGAAGGCATGGTTGAGGGAAGCCTTGGTGTATATCCCCTGTGCTATTCTGCCTTAACTCATAGTTAATTTTTCACATGTCTCTCATCTTATCAATTCTTGTATCCCCAGGGTCAGACACAAAGCCTGACACCTGGGAAGGTGTTTCTCAGATGTGAGTGATGAATGTTTCCTTTCAGCTCTAAACCCTGATGGCCTTTCAAATGCTGAGTACTCCTGTACCCCTTTCATGATCCATCCTCTGCCTCCCTCCCCACCAAATACTCACTCAAAAAAGATGCAGCTTTTTAAAACCAGCTATATTTATTAATAGCCATTAATGCATGTGGTCATTTAAACATTAATCATTCAATAAAGCAATACATCACAACATAAAATAGAAATAACACAAAAAACAGTGCTTTCCCTTTATTTAACTAGTTGGTTGGGTCTTTGTGAGCCAGCTGTCTTTTGTAGCGAAATGTCCACATTTCATTAGGTGTTTGTGACGCCCTGGAAATAGCTTGTCGGTTCCCTTTCCTCTTCCTGCAGATGGCAGCATGGAGTAGTGGTTAAGCCCGTGGACTTTGGAATCAGGTTTTCTGCGCTCAAGTCTTGTCACTGCGATCTACTAGCTGTGTGACCTTGGGTGAGTTACTTAACCTCAGTTTCTCCATCTGCAAAATGGAGAGAATAATAAATACCCGTCTCACAGGGTTGTTATTAGATCTTTCATAAAAAGCTGTGAATAGAATTGCTACTTTCCTTTCTACCACCCAGGTGGGGTGGGAAACTTCTGCTCTTGGCAGTCATTTAAATCCTGTGCTCTGGCCAGGTGGCTCACGCCTGTAGTCCCAGCACTTTGGGAGGCTGAGGCGGGTGGATCTCTTGAGGTCAGGAGTTCGAGACCAACCTGGCCAACATGGTGAAACCCCATTTCTACTAAAAATACAAAATTGCAGGGGGTGGTGGTGCATGCCTGTAATCCCAGCTACTCGGGAGGCTGAGGCAGGAGAATTGCTTGAACCCGGGAGTCGGAGGCTGCAGCAAGCTGAGACCGTGCCACTGCACTCCAGCCTGGGCGACAGAGGAAGACTCTGTTTCAAAAAAAAAAAAAAAAAATCCTGTGCTCTGACGATCCAGTGACTTACTTCTTCATAGACAGCAAGAAACTCCTGGCCATCCGACTCTTGGTGGAGAGGAAGGGGCATTGCTTTTTAGTTTTACTCTCCATGATTTACAAAGGCAGCAGCATTTCTGAGTGAAAACGAATGCTCGCCTGCTGCTGGCTGGTTCTGTATGTATTGATTAGCGTCCCAGGGGTGGGACTGGGGGTACTGTTCTAGAAACACTCACTTTGATTCCTCAGATAAAACCCCCCTGGGTCCTGCTAGGAAACTAATTGGGAGTTGATTCTGATGAATAAATGTGCTGCCGCCGCCTGAGGAATTGACCACGCCGGCAGATGGCTGGAGAATGAGAAACACTCTGTTGTGGCCTTCTAAGGGGCCCATCAATAATAGATTGGCTCCAGCCTGGGGAGAGGGAAGCATTTCTGCTGCAGGTATGAATTATGGATGCCGTTTAGGGTAATGCGGATCTATCTCAAAGGTTCCGCTCAGTTTATGTGCTAGTAAAAGCCGGCAATTTGCTTGTGTTCCAGCTATAATTTGCGCTACATTAAGGGACCCTCCTTTCCATAATGGATGTGTGGTTGAACGCAGGCTCAGCCAGGCCTCGAGGGCAAGGCCTAGGCGGCCAGATCAGGAACACAGCTAGGTGTCATCCTCCGCAGCCCAGTCACAAGGCCCCAGACGTTTTGCTGAGGGTGCAAGTGGATGCCTTAAACTCTTTCCCAAGGTCCTGGAAAGAAACTGCACTACAGCCTTGCTGTGACTCACTGTCAAATGCAGTTAATGCACATACTGAGAGGAGCACAAAGGAAACCTATGGGCTACAGTCTGGACAAAGACACAGCAGTCTTGCAAGAGAAGCCATAGATAGGGTGGTTAAGAGCACAGATTCTGGAGCCAGATTGCCCAGGTCTGAATTCTGGCTTTGCCATTTTCTAGCCATGTACCCTTTGGCAAATTATGTAGCCTTTCTGTGCCTCAGTTTCCTCCTCTATAAAAAGGCAATAATAGCACTAACCAGTTATATGCTGAAGCCAGAGCAGACACGTGAAAGCCAACTGTTTAATTATCAGAAATTTTGCAAGCTGGTTGTTAAATACAGCCTTTATTAAAAATTAAATTTTATAAGCTTGCAATTAAAACCAAAGGTAATAAATGCTCCAAACTCATTAATTCCTAATTATTTTACTCCATTTTACTACTATCTATGCTCTTGGGGCTACTTATGTCTACTGTGTCTGCATGGTGGCAATGATACGTAATGTACATCCCTTTCCGATGATACATGATGTGCATCTTCCCAGTGATATATGATAGGCATTTCTTCCCAACGCCAAGATCGTGACATTACACTGACAGCTTGGAATTGGCCACAGTGGGAGTAGTTACACCAGGGACATTGGCAAGTGCTACAAATCAAAGCTTTCCCATTGAGAGCTGGTTGTTAAACTTTTAAGAGCACATCAGTGGTACTGACCTAATAAAGTTGTTTGGAGGATTGAATAGTTAACATGTTTATAAATTGCTTAGAACAGAGCCTGGCACAAAGTAAGCGCCATATAAAAATTTGCTGTTATTATTTTCAGAGATTTTTACAATTTTTTTCTAGCATAGATCAAGTGGTCACTGTGTGAATGAAGTCCTCCAAGGAACTGCAATCTTTTTCTTTCTTCCTAACCCCTGTGGTCCAACAGCCTGAGAAAAGTCTTATATACTTTCTCTTAAAGGCAAGGACACACTGAAATCTGGGGGGAAAATTGGTTTGGGTTCTCCTGAGCTTTTCGAAGTACTTTCCTTTAGTGTGAGCTGGTGTGATAGTGGACTGACTTTAGTGAGGAATGGGATTCTGGCTTTATCACTGATCTGAGCAGATTATTTTACCTCTTCAAATTAGGACCACAGGTGCACGCCACCACACCTGGCTAATTAATTTTTTTTTTTTTTTTTAAGAGATGGGGTTTTCACATTGTTGTCCAGGTTGGTCTCGAACTCCCGGTCTCAAGCAATCCTCCTGCTTTGGCCTCCTCAGTTGTAAAAAGGGGGTAATAACGGCTGCCTCATGGGTTTGGGTGGTAAAGGTGATATGGTTGCCTGAGGTCCAATTCTACCTCTAGCACTTGCTGCCCCCAAGACCTTAGGAAAGCTCCCTGATTTCTATAAACCTTAGTTTCCTCATCTATAAAATTGGAGCAATAATACTTCTGTTTCCTGGTGGCTGGGAGATGAAATGGGGTAATACAATTAAGAAGGTAGCATTTTACCTGGATATAGGAGATGCTTAATAAATATTAACAGTGACCTTAGCTGCTACTTGGCAATGATACCTCTTACCATCCCTGATAACCTGGGTGGTTTTGGCTGATCTGGCTGGTTGGCTGCGGAAGGCTCCCTTTCTTTCCTCTCTCTTGCAGAACTCTTCCTCCCAAAACTGTGCCTCACTGAGCTGAAGGGCTTGTGACCTCTCATACTGAGGCTGTGTCCTCTGGGATAGAGTGTGATCAGAAGGGCTTGTGACCTTCTCATACTGAGGCTCTTCCTCTTGGGTAGAGTGTGATCAAGCAGTGCATCCTTGCTCACGCCTGCAAGCAAATGGCTCAGAGCTGTTGTGAGGATTAAATGGGATAATGTAGGTGAGGATTGAATGGGATAATGTAGGTGCAGCAGGACCACTCATTAGGAATTTAACATGGCAGAATGGCCTGCTGAGGAACGAATTGTATCTTATTTTCTCAGCTGGATGTTCATCAGAGAAGGATGAGATGTTCTTTCTCTTCTCTTGCCCAGGGGGATGAATGGGTCTTTGTGTCCTTAAGGTTTGAGTTTGTACTGTCTCCTCTGTGGGAAGGGTTAACAGAATTTTTCTTAGGCTGTTGGATCTCAGGAGTCTAGGAAGGAAGAAAGGATTTTAGCTCCTTAGTGAGGTTTGCTCAAAAGCAGTGTCTGGGTGGTTTTCTCTGAAAAGCCAGATGCTATGGGCAGGGGCTTGTGAATCATATGAGGATATCCTGAGGCCAGGCTCTGAACGGTGGGTGACCCCTGGGTTTGCTGGCCACTACCTTCTCCCAAGTGGGAAACAGAACTTATGGCACCTTTGAATACTCAGTGGGAGGCTAGGCACTGAATGTGATTTGGGGCTTTCCAGGATCACAGAAAGAGGAATGTGGGCTTCGAGATAATGGGGAGAATCTACTTATTTGTTTATTTATTTGAGATGGGGTCTTGCTCTATTGT
Organism: Homo sapiens; assembly: GCF_000001405.40. NCBI lineage: Eukaryota > Metazoa > Chordata > Mammalia > Primates > Hominidae > Homo > Homo sapiens. The sequence continues at coordinate 22,684,662 of NC_000016.10, forward strand.
CCAGACTAGAGTGCAGTGGCTCAATCACATAGCTCACTGCAGTCTCTAACTCCTGGCCTCAAGCAATCCTGCCTCAGCACCCTGAGTAGCTGGGACTACAGGATCACACCACCACACCTGGCTAAATTTTTTTTTTTTTTTGGAGACAAGAGTCTCACTTTGTTATCCAGGCTGGTTTCAAACTTCTGGCCTTAAATAGTCCTCCCACTTTGGCCTCTCAAAGTGCTGGGATTACAGGTATAAGCCACCACACCTGGCTTGGGAGCGGCCTAATAAATGACTGGTAACTCAACTTCTTGATAACCTTGTTCTCTTGGGGTATGAGGTTGTGTTTGAACTGGATTATGTTTGGTGCAGACAGAGAAACATGCTTTTACTTTCACTTTTCAACTTGAGAGCAATTCTTATTTGTGACTCATGTAATATGCTGGCTTCATAATAGAGGCTCAATAAATGGTCGTTCTCTTCACTCTTCTGTTTATTCTTTATTACATTTAATCACAAATCTGAACCCTATAGCAGTTTAAGGGTTGAAACCTAGGGCTTGAGAGTTCAAATCCTTGATCCACCACTTACTTGGCTGTGTGAACCTTGGGTAAATTCCTTAATCTTCATGAACCTCAGTTATACCATCTGTAGAATGGGGATTAAAAAATAGTGCTGTCTGTGAAAATGAAATGACTTTTAACCCAGTGCCTCTGGTGTAATAAGTACTAAGTAAATGGTGCCTTTATTTTTGTATGCTCTATGAGTCAAGTGGGACAAAATAAATTCCATTAAACAAAGGAAGAAATGAAGGCACAGAGAGCCGGATGTCTCCCCTGAGGTCAGTAAAGGACTCATGTACCCAACACGTGGCTCTTTTGTGATCCAAGCCAGAAGGGAACATGGTGTTCCCAGTACCGCTCAGAGCCAGGATTCCACCAGCCTGAAAGTTCCATGTTCCCAAAAGTTTTTCAAAGCTATAAATATAGATGGAGCCTTCTGAGAAATGTGCTGGGTCAGGGCTTTTGCCTAAGCAGACAACTTTGGCTGGCTTTGGCCCTTTTTCCTGATTGCCCTGTTCCATGAATCTGTTGTTTTAGTGCACTCTGTGGTTTCTAGTTGAATCTTCCAGAACCACTTAAGACTTAGGGAGGAGAGGAGGGTAGGATGCCAACCTCTGGAAAAACATGGGCACTGGAAAGACCCAGTTTAACTTAGCCAGAGTCACCACTGAATCTGTCGGGGCAATTGTTTTTAAATTTTAAGTGGCATATTTCCTTGTTTAGTTATTTTTAGAGCTGGTTTTCTGATTATAAATGCATTACGTGGCAATTATAAAAAAATAAGGAAGTCAAAAATCCCATCTTTTTTTTTTTTTTTGGAAGGCAAGCAGGTTAGTAAAAACCCAATTTACCTAAATCCCATTGGAGTTTGAAAACTATACATGCCTTATAGAATTGATAGCTTTTCCAATGAATTAATCAGTAAATCAATTAACCAGAAAATCTTTATTGAGTGCCTTTTGTGTGCTAAGGCAGATTCCAGGATGAGGTAAGAAAATGAAAAGCTCTGAACTAATAAATGTCATCCAGTCCCAGAGGGAGATCAATCCAATGGCGATGGAATTAGTGATCAAGCTATTGGTCCTTAGAAGTGGCAGGAGTTGAGGCAGACAACAAATGTGCTATGAACTGTACGAAAAATGAGCCCCAAGGTGAAGGAAAGGCTTGTTGAAAAAAACCCAGTGGGGAAACATCCTGTTTCTTAGGCCACAAGTGAAGGGAAGGCAACCATATCCATCCACCCACTCAGCCACCCACCTGGTTTGCAGAAATTGAGCCAGTGATGCATCTAGTTAAAAATTGCATGCAGTTAAAAATTTTTATTACTCTGGCAGGGCGCAGTGGCTCACGCCTGTAATCCCAGCACTTTGGGAGGCAGAGGCGGGTGGGTCACGAGGTCAAGAGATCGAGACCATCCTGGCCAACATGGTGAAACCCCATCTCTAACAAAAATACAAAAATTAGCTGGGTGTGGTGGCGCACACCTGTAGTCCCAGCTACTCGGGAGGCTGAGGCAGGAGAATCACTTGAACCCGGGAGGCAGAGGTTGCAGTGAGCCGAGATCGTGCCACTGCACTCCAGCCTGGGTGACAGAGCGAGACACTGTCTCAACAAAAAATGTTTTTTACCCTTAAAAAACAGCCTTTTGAGGTATAATTGGCATATAAGGAACTGCAATATTTAAAGTGTACAATTTGATAAGTTTTGACGTAAGTCTACACCAGTGAAACCATTGACACCATCAAGATAATGAACTTATGCATCACCTTAAAAGTTTCCTTGTGGCCCTTTCTAATTCTTTCCACCTACCTTCCCGGACAACCCCTGATCTGCTTCTGTTGGTATATATTAGTCCGGATTTCCTACAATTTTATAAAAATGGAATAATACAGTATTCACTAGTTTTTGTTGAGTTTACTTCACTCAGCATAATTATTTTCAGATCTATCCACATGGTAGCATATATCAATATTTCATTATTTCTATTGCTGAGTAGTATTCCATTGTATGGATATACCACAGTTAAATTCACCTGTTGTTGAGCATTTGGGTCATTTACAGTTCTTGGATACTAAAAATAAACTTGCTTTTTGTACAAACATGTTACACAATGAGAGGTCAAAGAACAAGACTGACAAATCCAGTTTCTCAGGAAGAAACATTTAACAGGGACTTATGAACTGGAGCAATGTCTTGGGAAGCCGCAAGATGTTGGCTCACTGCATTCACCCTAAAAAACATATTCTTCCTATAGTAAGCTTTTTTGATAAAACATGTGCAGCTAGTCATGTCTCAGACTTTCTTGCAAAACTCTTGACCACTGGATAGGTTAGATAAATGTCTTTATGAAGGATTATCTAAGCTATAAGAACATCTTGGTAGGCAGGAGTCGCACATTGGTCATCGTGGTGGTTTCCCTTCAAGATGGTGTCACACTCCTGCCATGCAACAGACTGTTTTCCTGCAAGACATATGCTTTCATTTGTTCATGGGTAAACTCCTAGGAGTAGAATGGCTGGTTCATATTGTAAGTACATGTGTAACTTTTTAAGAAACTGAGAGACCATTTTCTAAAGTGATTGTACCATTTTACATTGCCACCAGCAGTATATAAGAGTTCTATTTTCTTTTTCTTTTTTTTTGAGATGGGATCTCACTCCTGGGGTCTCACCCAGGAGGCTGGAGTGCAGTGGCACAATCTTGGCTCACTGCAGCCTTGACCTTCTTGGGGTCAAGTGATCCTCACACTTCAGCCTCCCAATAGCTGGGGCCACAGGTGCATGCCACCATGCCCGGCCAATTTTTTGTATTAAATATTTTGGGTAGAGACGGGGTTTCACTATGTTGCTCAGGCTGGTCTTGAACTCCTAAGCTCAAGCAATTCTCCCACCTTGGCCTCCCAAAGTGCTGGGATTACAGGCATGAGCCACCGAACCCGGCCAAAAGTTCTATTGTAACCATTCTAATTGGCATAGGAGTGATATGTGATTTTAATTTACATTTCTCTAAAGATTAATGATTGAGTCTCTTTTCATGTACATATGTCCTGTCTGTATGTCTCCTTTGGTGACGTGTCTGTTCAAATATTTTGGCCATTTTAAAAATTGGCTTGTTTTCTTAAGTTTTGGGAGTTCTTTATGTATTTGAGATATAAATTTTTTATAAACTATATGATTGATCAGACATATGATTCTCTAACTCTGTAGCTTGTCTTGTATTCTCTTCACAGTGTCTTTTAAAGAGCAAACATTTTTTAAGTTGATGAAGTCCAGTTTATCGGTTTGTTCCTTTTTGGGTCATACTTTTGATGATGAATCTAAAAAATCTTTGCCTAGATCAAGATTAAATTTTTCAATGCCCTAAATGTTTTATAATTTTAGGATTTATATTTAGATCTACAATCCATTTTGAATTAAGTTTTATATATGATGTGAGGTATGGATAGGAGTTCGTTTTTCTTTTTGCATATTGGGATCTAATTTTCTCAGTACATTTTTGAAGGAACTTTAATTTCTCCACTGAATTCCCTTTGCATTTTTGTTAAAAATCAGCTGTCCATATATATGGGGCTATTTATGGATTTTTGTATTCTATTTCATTGATCTATTTATCATCTTTTATGCCAGTATTACACTGTCTTGATTATTACAGCTTTGTAATAAGTCTTGGATGGTGTTAGCATTACAACTTTGTTCCTTTTTTTTTTCCAGAGGTATCTTGGCTATTTTAGGTCCTTTGCAGTACCATATACATTTTAGGATGCATCAATTTCTACAAAAAATGCTTCCTGGAGATTTCTGTTTGGATTTCATTGAATCTATACATCAAGTTGGGAAAATTTACACCATCTTAACAATATTGAGTTTTCTTGAACCTATAAGTATAGGTTCAAGACCAACATTTTATTTATTTATTTATTTATTTATTTAATTTATTTATTTATTGCGATGGTATCTCTGTTGCCCAGGCTGGAGTACAGTGGTGCACTCCATCTGGGCTCACTTCAACCTCTGCCTCCCAAGTTAAAGCAATTCTCCTGCCTCAGCCTCCTGAGTAGCTGGGATTACAGGCATGCACCACCACACTCAGCTAATTTTAGTATTTTTAGTACAGATGGGGTTTTACTATGTTGGCCAGGCTGGTCTTGAACTCCTGACTTCAAGTAATCCACCTGCCTCGGTCTCCCAAAGTGCTGGGTTTACAGGCATGAGCCACCATGCCTGGCCTATTTTGGTATTTAACTTCTCTTGGCAGTAGTTAGTAATTTTCATAGTATAAGTTTTTCACATCTTTTGCCAGATTTATCTCTAAGTATTTAATATTTTTGATGTTATTGTGAATGGTATTGTTTATTAATTTCAATTTCTGGTTGTTTATTGGCATCATATAGATATATAATAGGTTTTTGTATCTTGAGATTGTATCCTGCAACTTCACTAAACTCAATTATTGGTTCTAGTAGCTTATTTGTTGCTTCTATCAGATATTCTGCATAGATGACCACATCATCTGTGAAGAAAGAGAGTTTTACTTCTTTCCTATCTGAATGCCACTTTTTTCTTTGCACTACTGCACTGGTTAGAACCTTTAGTACAATGTTGAATAGAAGCAGTGATAGTGAACATACTTGCCTTGTTCTTATCCTCAGAGGAAAGCACTTATTCTTTCATTATGATGTTTGCTATAGGTTATTTGAAGATGCTACATAGTTGAAAATGTTCTCTTCAGGTTCTACATTGCTGAAAATTTTTATTAGAAACGAATGTTGTTAAATATTTGCAAACGAGTTTTTTGCATCTATTGAGATAATTTTTTTTTCTTTTTTAGTTTGTGAATTTGGTAAACTACTTGATTTGTTTTTGAATGTTAAACCAACCTTGCATTTCTGGGATGAAGCACTACTCATCATAATGTATTATCCTTTTTACGTATTGTGGGATTCAATGTGCTAATATTTTGTTTTGCAGTTTTACATGTATAGTCATGAAGAATATCCATCTGCAGCCTTCTTTTCCTGTAATATCTTTGTCTGATTTTAATGGTAGGGTGATAGTGGTCTTATAGAGTCAGCTGGGGAGTATTCTTCCCTGTCCTATTTTCTGGATGACTTTATACAGAATTGGAACTTGCCAAGTATGTGAGCTTGGGGAACATGCATCTGCAAAATTGAGGAATAACAATGCAGTAGTGCCTACATCACAAAATTGTTGTGAGAATTAAATGAGATGATGTATACATTCAATAACTTTTACGTGTTATAATTATTACCATAAGCCAGTGTCTCCGAGACAAGACTAAACTGGAGAATGGGATAGAAAAGGGCCTCAAGGAAGGGTATGGACTGTTTTTCTCTCCAGATATGGTCTCACTTGGGCCTTCATGTGCCTTACTCCTTAAGGTCATTGGAAAGACAAAAACTGGCCCCCCTACTTAATCTCTGCCCACATTAATTAACTTCTGCTAGCCTTGTTTTCTTCATTCACAAGGAAGGGATATTATTAATAGCAAATATTTGTTGGGCACTTTCTAGATGCCAGACACTGTCCTGAGCACTATCCATGTGTCATCACTTAATCTTCACGGCAGCTTATGAGGTAGGTACTATTATGATCCCCAATTTTGGTGATGGGAAACTGAGGCAGAGAGCTGTTAGTAACATTTAAAGTCACACAGCTAATAAATGGCAGAACTGGGATATGAACCCAGGCAGTTCGGCTCTAGAGTGCACTTTCTTACCCTTTCTCTCTTCTTACCTTATAGATGTTGTTGTCATTGGTGGTGGTGGTGGTGGTGTGTGTGCATGTTGATTGAGATAACCTGGAACACATGAAAGATGTCAATAAATGTCACTTTACTTTCCACAAGTTCTACAAAACTCTGGAAGGAATAGCACACTGATTATTTTGTCTTCTCTCAACTTCCATCCCCATGCCAGCCCCAATCCAGGGCTGACTCCAATTAGAAGAGGCTCTGTTTCAGCAGACAGGATAAGCTGTAGTCCCAGAAGAACCCTGACTCTCAGGGTAGAGTGCAATGCCAAGGCCCCCTGGCCCTTTGCTACTCAAAGTGTGGTCCTGGGACCAGCAGCATTAGTATCATCTGGGAGCTTGTTAGAAATGCATGATCTCAGGCTTCACTATGACCTACTGCACCAGAATTTGTATTTTAACAAGACCCCAGGTGATTTGTGTGCACATTAAAGTCTAGGAATCACTGCCCAAAATCAATACTTTTTCTGTTTGATCCTTCCAAGCGGTCACTCATTTGCTGAGGTGATGGGAGTTCACCAATGCATCCCTTCACAGATGCGATGTTTATATTGAGTACACATTTATCTTCTCTGTGCAGGAGATGCAAAGTCAAATCCCTTCAGTTGGCCAGATGGGAACTCTGGTAGAGTGTGCATGTTCTGTCTAAAAGGGACAGCTACCATTTCACTCCAGCCAACTGCTACATGGAAACGCTATCCCAGTGTTTAGATCTTCTGATATTTTCTTTTAAGATGGGCCTCACTCTGTTGCTCAGGTTAGAGTGCAGTGGCATGATCACAGCTCACTGCAGCCTCAACTTCTCAGGCTCAAGTGATTCTCCTGAGTCAGCCTTTGGAGTAGTTGGGACTATAGGCATGCACCACCATGCCTGGCTTATTAATTTTTTTTTTTTTTAGTAGAGACAAGAGCTTGCTATGTTGCCCAGGCTGTTCTTGAACTCCTGAGCTTGAATGAGGTGTGATCCCCACACCTGTTGGGATCTTCTGATATTTTAATCAAAGCTGGAAATGTGGATCTTCATCTGAAATCTCTTATTTGTTAAATGTTAATAACTAATTCAAACTAGTAAAATAACTTTGAGGGCCAAAGAAGCATGTGTGCTGGCCATATTCTCCAAGGGATGCCAGCTTGTGACCTCTGACCTAAAAATGACTTCTAAAGAGTGCAGCTTCTCAAATAAATCAAGTATGTATTGTACATGACAGTCTTTTGAAAGTTCAGAGGTTTTTGCAAAGCATGCAAGATTTTCCATTACTTGGTTGTCTCTACTGTCAGCTACACTCAACCACAAATATTTAATTGCTGTTTCATCTTCTGTACTTTGGCATGTATCTGTTCTCTTTGCTTTGACTATCCATTCCCCTTCATCCGTCTAGCTAGCTTTGATTCATCCTTCAAGATGCAAACCAAATTTCACCTCCTCTGTGAATATTTTCTGGTTTCCCTCCATTACAGTTGCCCACTAGTGCAATTCTCCACCCTGGGCCATGTTGTGCTGGAATCATTTGTTTATATCATTGTTTCCCCTATAAATGCTCAGACGTCAGGGACCAAGTCTTATTCCTAACATCTAGGAAGTGTTAGGCACAGAGTAGATGCACTCACTAACTATTGCAGCATAACCAATCACTCCACAACTTAGCAGCTTGAAACAGCAAACATTTATTGTCTCAGTTTCTGTGGGTTAGGAATTTGGGCATGGCTTTCCTGTGTATCTCTGGCTTGAGGTTGCTTACCAGGTTGCAGTCAGACCTCAAAGTCTCTTACCAGGTTGCAGTCAGAGTACATGCTGGAGCTGTGGTCTCATGTGAAGTCTCAGCTGGGGAGAATCTGCTTCTAGGCTCCCTCCCATGGTTTTTGGAAGGTTTCAGTTATTTGTAGGCTGTTGGAGCTAAGGGTCTAGGGTCTCGGTTTCTTGCTGACTGCTGGCCAGAGGACTTCCTCAGTTCTTTGTCACTGGGATCCTTGGACAGCTCACAACATGGCAGCTGGCTTCCCTTGGAGTGAGAGTGAGAGAGTGCTCCAGACGGAAGATGCCATCTCTTTGTAATCTAATTCCAGAAGTGACATCTCTCCTCTTCTGCATTCTGCTTGCTAGAAGTCGGCCACTAAATAAAGCCCACACACAAGCGGGGAGGGAATTACACAAGAGTGGGGCTACCAGGAGGCAGGGAGTATTGAGGTCATCCAAGAAGCTGCGTACCGAAATGCCCTGCTTATAGTTATGTGCTGTGGTTACTCAGCCTTGGGATTCAGATTGCCCAGGTTCAAATCTTAGTCCTGTCACTCTGTGAAAGTTTACTTACCTGTAATGGGCATCAAGGGCTTCTTGACCCATAGAATTGATATGGGGACTGTGTTTAACAGAATGCCTGCTTGCCTCTAAAAAGGTGACCTATGATTAATGTTGTTTTAAGAAATGATGATGATGATTTTTTTTTTTTGAGATAGGTTCTCTCTCTGTCACCCAGGCTGGGGTGCAGTGCCATGAACATGACTCACTGCAGCCTGGACCTTCTGGACTTAAGTGGCCTCCTGAGTAGCTGGGACCACACGTGAATGCCACCATGCTTGGGTAATTTTTAAAATTTTTGTAAAGAGAGGGTCTCACCATGTTGCCCAGGCTGATCTTGAACTCCTGGGCTCAAGGAATCCTCCTGCCTTGGGCTCCCTAAGAGTTGGGATTACAGGTGTGAGCCACCGTGTCTGGCCAAAGTAATGATTATTGAATGTATCATAGGTATCTAGGTAAGAGAGTGACCATACGAAAAAATGGAAGAAGCATGACTGGTTATATGCTCAGTTCTCTGAATCACCCCCTCCGACTCAAGTTCCTCATTTCTAGATTTTTTCCTTCCTATAAATTAGCTTGATCTTTCCCTGGTATGACTCCTACAACTCTGCCCCGGCCTCCAAGTCTAAGTGAGCTCTCCCTATTGTGCTCAAATCCTGTCCTTTTCCCACACCAGATCATTTTAACCCTTGCCATTCTTCAAGCCAACAATTCTCCCAACAATTTATTTCTTCCGCTCCCACCACTCCAGTGCTCAGTCAGTGAGTGATTCTGGGAAGAGTGGTCTGGCTGGGTTGGATGGCCAGGTCTATTTCAAGTTCATCTCAGCTGTCTGGTCATTTTTTATTTAAAAAAAAAAAAAGCTTTGGGAAGTAGTCTATTTAAACACACGTAAGCAGCTGTTCCTCCCTTTCCACCTGCTTTCATCCCTTTCTCAGCAGATGGGATCATCATCTATTTTATTGAAATAACAATAATACCCCCAAGTTTTGTTTTGTTTCATTTTGTTTTTATGAGACGGACTCTTACTCTGTCTCCCAGGCTGAAGTGCAGTGGCACGATCTTGGCTCACTGCAACCTCTGCCTCCTGGGTTCAAACGATTCTCCTGGCTCAGCCTCCTGAGTAGCTGGGATTACAGATTTGCGCCACCATGCCTGGCTAATTTTTGTATTTTTAGTAGAGATGGGGTTTCACCATGTTGCCCAGGCTGGTCTTGAACTCCCGACCTTAAGTGATCCACCAGCCTTGGCCTCCCAAAGTGCTGGGATTACAGGCATGAGCCACTGTGCCCCGCAAATACCCCCAAGTTTACTGACCTCTTAACTATGTTAGATGCCAATCTAAGCCCCTTTAATGGATTATCTCCATTGTCACAATAACTCCTACGAAGATAGTACTGGGACTATCCTATTTTACATATAAGGAAAGTTAGGCTCAGAGATATGGAATGATTGACAAATGTCCAACAGTAGAGCTGAGATGTGAATCCATGTTAACCTGATCCCCAAATTGAAGCTCTTACCCACTTTTACTGAAAAGCCGTTTGGATTCTTTAGTCCACCTACTTTCTATCTCTGCTTAATGGGCTGCAAGATGCCCATTTCACTGAACTTGTTTCTCCTAAGGACCTGCAGGCTGCTTTGCTGAATGCTCCTCCTCCGCCTTGATCCTGCTTTGGCATTCCAAACTGCTGGGTTTGTGATCCTTTTTGGATCTCTTCACTAGTTTATGGGGCTCTGCATGCTCTTGGCTCTCCAACAACCACTAGAACTTCTTACTGACCGGCTGTTTTCATTCCATCCCTTAAATGTCAGCATGTTCTGAGGTTCTGTCTCAGCCTTCCTTGCAGGCTACACATTCTCCCTGGGTGACCTCATGTCCTCTCGTAGCTCCAGAATCGTTGCTTCTTAAATAATCTCTCTGTTAATTTTTTAGTCCCTGCTTTTATTTGAAGCTTCTGATCTGCCTTTCTAACCAGTGGGTGTTCTGGGAGTGCTTCAAAATCAGCTTGACTCAACTCAATGTCATCTTTCCCGAAATACTCTCTTCACCCGTGTTCCTTAGCCTAGTAGTAAAAACAGTCTACCCAGTCTGGACTTTAGTTAACAAATTCTGTTTATTTCTCCAAAGCAGTACCAGCGATTATTCCTCTGGAAAGACCTCTGTCTCAGCTCAATTTTCCTCTACCATTTGACTGGACTATTGCAATAATTTCCTAAGGGTCTCTCTGTCTTCAGAATCCTCACTGCTATCCATCTCCAAAGACATAGACCTATTTATGTTATTTGGCATCTTGAATTTTTCCTGCTATATATTTCATAAATACCAGATTTCTTGGACTAGCATTCCATGACCTTCTCATATTGCCCACACTGACTTTGCTAAGTTTATTTAATTATTAAAAGTACTATGTGGGGCTGGGCGCAGTGGCTCACTCCTATAATACCAGCACTTTGGGAGGCTGACGCTGGAGGATTACTGGAGCCAGGAGTTTGAGACCAGCCTGGGCAATATGGAGAAACCTTGTCTCTACGAAGAAAAATGCAAAAATTAGCTGGATGCGGTGGCACGCCTGTAGTCCCAGCTACTTAGGAGGCTGAGGTGGGAGGATCGCTTGAGCCCAGGATATGGAGGATGCAGTGAGCTGTGACTGCACCACTGCACTACAGCCTGGGCAACAGAGCGAGATCCTGTATCAAAGTCCCAGCTACTTAGGAGGCTGAGGTGGGAGGATCGCTTGAGCCCAGGATATGGAGGATGCAGTGAGCTGTGACTGCACCACTGCACTACAGCCTGGGCAACAGAGCGAGATCCTGTATCAAAAAAATAAATAAATAAAATAAAAAGTACTATGTGATAATTACTGATAGAAAAGCTCTTCATTTTTATAGGTTTATCTTACAACCATACAGCATCTGAAATTTCTACTTTAAGTGGTAGATATAATGGATCACAGTGATAGATTCTCCTGCATCAGCCTCCCAAGTAGCTGGAATTACAGGTGCCCACCATGATGCCCAGCTATGATGTTAAGCCATTCTTGTGCTCCTAATATAAGTGTATTATTCTTTTGATGAACTGATGAGCTTAATTTTCTAATATTTATTTACAAATGTGTATCTGTATTCATAAATGAATTTGTCTGTGGCTTTCTGTTTTTGTGCTTTCTTCATCAGGCTTAACTAATAAGGTGATTCTAATTTCATAAAAGTAGTAATATCAAATATGTATGCATGTGGGCCTTAATAGGCACCAGACACTGTTCTAAGCAGTTGATAGTTATAAACTCACTTAATCTTCACAACAATCTCCATGAAGTAGAGTTTCCTCGTCATTTAACAGAGAAGGGAGTGGAGAAAGGAAGAGAATAAATAACTTGCCCAAGGTCACACAGCCAGTAAGTATTATAGCCATGACTTGAACAAGGCAGAATGGTTCTAAGAGCTTTGTGCAAAGTGCTTTGCTAACTTCTTCGAAGTCATAGTCAACTTGGGGAGTTTCATTTTTTTCTGTAGTCTAAGATACTTTAATAATATAGGAAGAATTATCTTTTTTTTAAGGCTTGGTAAACTTGGATGTAAATCTATGCAAGTGTGGTGATTTTTAAAATGGTAGATCTTGACCTTTCCAATCGTTCATGTTATTGATCTGTTTAGGTTTTCTTCTTCTTTGGTCAATTACTTAAGTTTTAATTTTGTTAGACTTTCTTCAATTTCCCTTTGATATTTAAATCTGTTGCCATGGCCTTGCACAGATTTGAAGATATTGCTCCATTGTTTTCCAGTTAATATTTGTTGTTAATTAAAAATGTGATGCCAATCAGATTATTGTCTCCCCTATACTTTCTATATTGATTTCTTTCTTTTTCTTTCTAATTCTTTTTTTTCTCTCTCTCTCTTTTTAGTAGAGTTTCTCTGTGTTGCCCAGGCTGGAGTGCAGTGGCGTGATCTTGGCTCACTGCAACCTCCACCTCCCAGGTTCAAGCAATTCTCCTACCTCAGCCTCCCTAGTAGCTGGGATTACAGGTGTGTGCCACCATGCTTGGGTAATTTTTGTATTTTGTATTTTTTTTTTTAATGGAGTCTAGCTCTGTTGCCCAGGCTGGAGAGCAGTGGTGTGGTCTCGGCTCACTGCAACCTCTGCCTCCCAGGTTCAAGTGATTTTCCTGCCTCAGCCTACTGACTAGCTGGGATTACAGGCACCCACCATGATGCCCAGGTAATTTTTGTATTTTTAGTAGAGATGGAGTTTCACCATGTTGGCCAGCTGGTCTCGAACTCCTGACCTCAAGTGATCCTCCTGCCTTGCCTCCCAAAGTGCTGAGATTGCAGGTGTGAGCCACTGTGCCTGGCCTAATTTTTGTATTTTGGTAGAGATGGGATTTTTCCATGTTGGCCAGGTTGGTCTTGAACTCCTGGCCTCAAGTGATCCACCCACCTCGGCCTCCCAAAGTGCTGGGATTATAGGCATGAGCCACTGCATCTGGCTTCTTATATTGGTTTCATGTTGATGCTGTAGCAAATTACTACAAATTTAGTGACTTGAAACAACACAAATGAATAGGTGTGTAGAAGTCTGAAGTGGGTCTCACCGGGCTGAAACCGACAGGTGGGTAGGGCTGCATTCCTTCTGGGGGCTTTAAGGAGAATACATTTATTTGTCTTGGTCAGTTGTAGAGGTGATGCATCTCCAGCCCAGAAATAGGGCTTTATAGACAGGGAGTCACACTCTCTGTCTCTCTCTCTTTTTTTTTTTTTTTTTTTTTTTTTTGAGACAGAGTCTTGCTCTGTCACCCAGCCTGGAGCGCAATGGTGCGATCTCAGCTCACTGCAACCTCCTCCACCTCCCAGGTTCAAGCGAATCCTCCTACCTCAGCCTCCTAAGTATCTGGGATTACAGGTGCCCACCCCTACTCCTGGCTAATTTTTGTATTTTTAGTAGGGACAGGTTTTCACCATGTTTGTCAGGCTGGTCTCGAACTCTTGACCTCAAGTGATCGGCCCGCTTTGGCCTCCCAAAGTGCTGGGATTACAGGCATGAGCCACTGTGCCCAGCCTATCTCTTAATCTCCATTACTTTCTAGGGCAAATGATACAAACTTGGTCTTCTCTTCAGGGCTCATGCAGTTATTTCCCTAATCAACTTATCCCATAAATCACATGACCTACTTCAGAGACCAAATAATTACAAATAAAAGATTCCCCCCAAACCATAGATTCTTGTTGGCAATGAGCATCAGTTGAGCTCAGATTCGGTAAAAAGTAAAAATGAAAAAAGATCCATAGCTATAGATTTCTGTTAGCCTTTTTTCTATGGTTTTTGGTAACCACTGTCCAAAATACCAATAATGTAAGTATAAACCCTTCCCAATGCAAAAAGACCAGTCTTTTTTGTTTCGAAAGCCAATTTCTACCTGGTGGGATTTTTTTTTTTTTAAACAAAATCTAAAGTCTTCTTCTCTTTTAAATATTTCTGACTTGGAAAACTGGTAGGTAGAATAGCTGCTGGCAGCCCAAATGCTCAAAATCACTTCTTCATTCTTTCAATGGTTGCTTTGTTCATTTAAAACACTAACAACCACTGCAAACCATGATGGAGTGCCCACTGTGTTCCATGTGCTGAGGTTACAGAAATGATGAAGCCTGAAGGCCTTGAAATGCCTATAATCATGCATGACTTCCCCCTCCACCTTTCTCTCTCCCACTGCCTTCCTTTGGAGCTATTATACATTGGTCTCCTCTGAGTTCCTTAAAGCATCTAGATCCCTTTTGCCCAAGGCCTCTGCATGGAGAAGTTCTATTTTCTTGAAAAGCCTTTTCCTTTCTTCTGCCATCCAGGCCTCTTTCTTAGGAAAGCCTTCCCTGAGCCTCCAGTACCCGTACACCTTACTCACTGGGCACCCTGTACTTCTCCTTCCAGGCATGTAGCTCAAATGTAATTAACAATGTAAATAACTTTGGTTTATTGTGTGTTCCCTCCTGAACCCAAGTTTCATGCAAGCAGAGGCCATTATGTCTTTTTTGCTACCGTATCTCCAGTGCTTAGCACAGGGCAGACCATTGGTGCTCAATAAATGCTTGACAGGGAAGGAATGTGGACAGTTTCCCTACCCTTGGGATGTCCCCAATCCGGTGGGTTTGCTCGTCACCACCTGAGTGACTGTAGATACTTTACCGCCTTCTCTGTGCCTCAGTTTCCCCTTCTGTGAAAGGGATGATAACAGTACTGGTCATAGAGTTGTGGTGAGAATTCAATGAAATAATGCACGTGAGGTTCTTAGAAAGTGTGTCATGCATAGGAAGTGCAGTGTTCAACCAATCTTAGTAATTATGATGATGATGGCAAATACACAGAGTTCTGTACATCTGTGAGGAGGAAGCGATCTGAGTCAACTTTGGGTTGGGTTTCAGAGGATTCACTAACAAATACACATCCAAAAATCTGAAATTAGAAATGCTCCAAAATCCAAAACTTTTGGAGCACCAACATGATGCCACGAGTGGAAAATTCCACACCTGACCTCAGCGGATGGGAGCACAAAATTACTAAAAATATTGCATAAAATTACAATAAAATATTGTATAAAATTTAAATATTGTATATTTTATCTGATATACAATTGTATCAGGTGTGTATATAAAACAGATTAATTTCTTTTTTTTTATTTTATTTTATTTTTTTTTTAATTTTTTTTATTATACTCTAAGTTTTAGGGTACATGTGCACATTGTGCAGGTTAGTTACATATGTATACATGTGCCATGCTGGTGCGCTGCACCCACTAATGTGTCATCTAGCATTAGGTATATCTCCCAATGCTATCCCTCCCCCCTCCCCCGACCCCACCACAGTCCCCAGAGTGTGATATTCCCCTTCCTGTGTCCATGTGATCTCATTGTTCAATTCCCACCTATGAGTGAGAATATGCGGTGTTTGGTTTTTTGTTCTTGCGATAGTTTACTGAGAATGATGGTTTCCAATTTCATCCATGTCCCTACAAAGGATATGAACTCATCATTTTTTATGGCTGCATAGTATTCCATGGTGTATATGTGCCACATTTTCTTAATCCAGTCTATCATTGTTGGACATTTGGGTTGGTTCCAAGTCTTTGCTATTGTGAATAGTGCCGCAATAAACATACGTGTGCATGTGTCTTTATAGCAGCATGATTTATAGTCCTTTGGGTATATACCCAGTAATGGGATGGCTGGGTCAAATGGTATTTCTAGTTCTAGATCCCTGAGGAATCGCCACACTGACTTCCACAATGGTTGAATTAGTTTACAGTCCCACCAACAGTGTAAAAGTTTTCCTATTTCTCCACATCCTCTCCAGCACCTGTTGTTTCCTGACTTTTTAATGATTGCCATTCTAACTGGTGTGAGATGATATCTCATAGTGGTTTTGATTTGCATTTCTCTGATGGCCAGTGATGATGAGCATTTCTTCATGTGTAAAACAGATTAATTTCATGTTGAGACTTGGGTCCCATTTCCAAGGTATCTTAGTAGGCATATGCAAATGTTTCAAAATCTGAATTATCTAGAATTGGAAACAGTTCTGGTCCTAAGCATTTCGGTTGGATATTCAACCTGAAACATTGGACTGGGTGGTCAGGGGAAGGCAGCTTTGAGGAGAGGACTTTTGGGCTGAGACCTGAGTGGCAAGAAGGAAGGAGCCATGGGTAGGGCTTGGGGATGAGCCTCCCAGGAAGAGAGGACAGGAGGTGCCGTGGACTTTATGAGGAACCATGTTGGGTTTGCTCAAGGAGTGGCAAGGAGGCCAGGGTGGCTGGAGCAGCGCAAGCGAAGGGGAGAGTGGCAGGAGAGGAGGTCAGGTCAGGTCATTCAAGATCCTTTAGGTCATGGCAAAGAGTTGGGATCTTATATTGGAGTTTTAAGAAGCGGCATAACACAATCCAATTTTAAAAGGGTCACTCTGATCACTCTATGAAGACTGCACTGCGGGGACAGACTTGGAAATGTGAACAGAATGTGCCAGCCAGAGAATGGCATTTCAGGGGGAGAAAATGGCATAGTCAAAGCCCCTGAGCTGGGAATCAACATAGCTTGTTTTGGGGGACTGAGAAATTTCAGGGGGGCAGGAGCTTAGTGTGCCTAGAGGAAGATGTGTCTACAAATGTGACCCAGTCCTGCATTGCAATAGGCCTGAAGGACATTCCAAGGTGTTTGAATGCAATCGTGGAGAAAAAGATAGAGATTCTGGCAAAGTATTTAAGCAGGGGATTTATAAGGAGTATCAGTTGCTCAAGATCCAAGCAGAAAAACATAAACCTCCCTAGATACTTCTAACAGAGGCCATTTAAGGGAAGGAATTAGCTACACAGGTGAAGGAAGAGCGGAGAAACCAACCAGGGCATGTGAAGCAACTCATAGATTATTATCACCAGTAGGAAGCCAGTACCACCGTTTGGGCTGGGGGAATGCTGAGGGAGGAGGTGGTGTTAGTAGAATCTAGGAGCTGGGGCTGGTCAGTGGGATTAGATTCACTTGGGGACTGTCTGGAAGGAGCCATTATAAACTAGATATATGATGAGGGCTGTCCAGTAGGCATTAGTAGGAACTAGAACTGCAGTGGGGACTGTCCAGTTGAGCTTAAACCTTGGGAAAGATGCAGCAGCTTCCAGAGTCACTGCCTGGTGCACTGAGGCTGGGAGATAAATGCCCTGACTTCTTCCTTTCCCACCGTGACTCTCCCACCCATGCCTCCCACTGGCCAAACCCGGCCATAAGTCAGAGATCAGGAAGCTGGAGAAACCCAGCTCGCAGGAGAAGGACAAGCATAGGTCTGTAAGCAGCAGGACATGGCTGGCCCATAGGACCAGGTCTGTTTTCTAGGGAGATCCCAGTACTGACTGTGTGGGAAGGGCTGGCTGGCCTCAAGGAGTCAAACTGATTTTGAAGGATCCATAACGAGAATAGGGCATAAGCTCTACCATGAACTTGGGCAAAGGCAGTGGAGATGGAGAGGAGGGGTGGATTGAAAAGACCTGACTAAGTCTAGGTGACCACCTGAATGTAGAGAGGGAGAGGGAGGAAAGAGAGCAGGTGTTGGATGTTTCATGTTTGGGCAGCTGCACAGAATCCAGGTGCAGAGTGGGAGGAATGATGAGTAAAGAACTCCATTTCAATGTTCTAAGTTTGAGGTTCCTACAGGTCACCCACATGAAGGGGAAGCCCTTGTGCTTCTCTTCAGACCTCTGCTTAATGATGATGAGTAATAGTAGATAACATTAATTAATGTTTATTATGTGCCAGACATGGCTCTAAGCACTTTATGTGTAGTAACTAATTTAATCTTTACAATACCCTTATGAGGTTGATAATATTGCTTCCCCCATTTTACTCATGGGGCAACTGAGACACAAAGGGATGGTGATGCCTGACTACACTTACCTAGCTTGTAAGGGTGATGATTTAAACCCAGGCAACCTGGATTCAGCCTCCTAGTGCTGTTGTGAGAATTAATTGAGATAATGTAGATCACTTGTTTTTTTGTTTTGAGACAGGGTCTCACTCTGTCGCTAAGGCTGGAGTAGTGCAGTGGCTGTGATCATAGCTCACTGCAGTCTCGAATTCCTGAGCTCAAGCGATTCTTCCACCTCAGCCTCCCAAGTAGCTTGGACTACAGGCACATGCCACTGTGCCCAGCTAAATTTCAAGGTTTTTTTGTGTAGATAGGGGGCCTCGCTATGTTGCCCAGGCTGGTCTTGAACTCCTGGCCTCAAACAATCTTACTGTCTTGGCCTCCCAAAATGCTAGGATTACAGGTGTGAGCCACCACACCCTGCCACTTGTTTTTGTTTTAATATTATTATTGGAATATGTTAGTGTTTGCGAGAATTTTTGGCTCATACAACTTGACATTTAAGATCGTGTTAACATCACCCTGAGAGAGGAAGAGGATGTGAGGATGGAAATAACAGTATTAAAAGTTTAATAGACTTGAATTGAAATATGGTTACCTTTCTTGACATCTTGGTGATCTGGACAAGTTGACTTGAACTCTTTGAGCCTTAGTTTATTTATTGGTTAAAGATGGCACAATAACACCTCACTTGGATGTTGGGAGGGTTTAGCAAGGTTAAGTATGTGCAGCGCCTAGCTTGGTGCATGGTACATAGTAGGTGGGCAGCAATGTAAAGGTCTCCTTTCCTGGGGAATCTCCTGGTTTAATGGAGCAAGGGAATATGGGGTCTAATCCAGCCTCACTAGGGACTTGTCTTTGGTGAGTCCCTCCTACACTTGATCTTGGTTCCTCAACATCAAAAGAGTTGGACGGATCTCCAAGGCTCCAGCTCTGGAAGCCCAGTAAGTAACCTGTGATTTCATGTCCCCAAGATTCCATGCTGTGAAGTGGAACTATAACGTCAACCTCCAAAGCAGACTGAGTGCTGGGGGCCAGGTAGAGGACACATGGTCTTTGGGGATAGTGTTTTGTCCTCTGAGGGCATGGATTTGACATCATGAGAGCATTCTGAATCTACTCAAGGCGAAGGAAGAAGGCTTGGGGCAGGATCAGCGAGGGGATAACATCTGTAGGCGGTTTTTTTTTTGTTTGTTTACATGGAGTCTCATTCTGTTGCCCAGGCTGGAGTGCAGTGGCATGATCTCAGCTTAGTGCAACCTCCACCTCCCAGCTTCAAGCAATTCTCCTGCCTCAGCCTCCCAGGTACCTGGGGTTACAGGTGCACACTACCACTTCCAGCTAATTTTTGTATTTTTAGTAGAGATGGGGTTTCACCATGTTGGCCAGGCTGGTCTCAAACTCCTGACCTCAGGTGATCCGCCCACTTCGGCCTCCCAAAGTGCTGGGATTACAGCTGTGAGCCACTGTGCCCAGCCACATCTGTAGGAGTTTTAAGCATTTTTGAGAAGAGTGTTCTGTTTATAAAATGCCCTATTAATACTCTGTTAATTTGGGCATGGGCCAATAGATCAAATTCCTTTTGCTTTCCTTTATTTGCTCATGGAAAAATGATTGAGGACCTATTATGTGCCATGCAGAGCAAAAGGGGCTGCAGCTACAGCAGCAAACAGGAGTCCTCCTGGATCTTATAGTCTAGTAGGAGAACCAATGAACAAATCAACACATAAGACAATTTAGCTTGACAAGAAGTGTTATGCAGAAAATGAAACAGAGGCAAGGAATTGTGGTCGGGAAGGAGCGGTCAGGGAGGCCTTTCTGAGAAGGTAACGTCTGAGCTGAGACCTGAACAGTGAGGGGAAGAGAATTCCAGGCAGAGGGAACAGCAAGAGCTAAAACCCCAAGGCAGAATAAGCTGCAAGCCTGTGATGAAACGGGAGTGAGTAGGAGCCAGATTCTTGACGTCTCCTAAGTAGAGTTTTGCTTTTATTCCAGGTGTACTCATCGCCATTGGAATGCTTTTAGCATGGAAGGGGCAGTCTAGGTTGAGACTTCATTTACGTTTTAAGAGTGCTCAGAAATCTTCGGAAGCTGTTTTCTCTGCTGACTTAGGAGAATTAATTAGCTAATATCTGCACAACACTTGATAACCTTGGAGGAACAGAGATACATTATGATTATTTCCCCATTGAGATTCTCTAAATGGAGGTCTGAATACCTGGGATTCTCACCCTTAGGAGACTGAATGAGAAATGGCACACCGTTCCCTGCTAAAGAAAACATTTCTTTCTCCTGCCCTGCAGGGAAATCTCACTTCCATTTTTACGAGGCCAAAAAGGGACTTGAAAACAGGGCCAGTTCTGACTCTGTAATTAATTTCAAAGAAAGTCTTTTACCTTTACTGCCTATAAAGATATACAAAATAATTTTTATTTAGGTAAACCCTTTCTCTAGAGAGCTCACACAAGGAGTTTGATCTTCTCACCTTGCTGTGAAGTAGGCAGGAAACTTACTACCTTTTAATTTTTACTTTTAAAACAGGCAGAAGAATTACACAAAAGGGTTTCCGGCAACCTAGGGAAATCCAGCTCTCGGTAGCTCCACCCTTCACTGTATCCCAGATCCTTGTCCCTGACTCCATTTCATTTCTTTATTTTATTTTATTATTATTATACTTTAAGTTTTAGGGTACATGTGACTCCATTTCATTTCTTTTGAGAATTTGGATTTTTGCTGATTTTCATCCAGTTAATCTCTCTCCCTGCCTTTTCCTAATAACAGCTAAAGCTGATGGTGCTCTTACCCTAAGCCACACACGCTGCATGCATCATCTCATTTAATTGAAAATTTACGGAGGTAAATTTTGTTGATACCACCAATGTCACAGATGCGGAAACTGAGGCTCACAGGAGCCAAGCAACATCCTGAAATCACGTTGTTTGCAAGAGTCAGGGTTGGGGCTTGGACCCAGGCAATTTGATGCCAGAGTGCACATGCTGAAACATTACCATGTATTGCATCCTTAGACTTAAAACCCTAAGAATAACTTGGATGTCTTTGCAGATTCTTCTTGCAGTACCGTATTCAGGGCACTGAAGGCATACTCTTTATTGTTTATTTACTTATGTTTTGGGCAGCGATATCATTTTTTTCTTTTTTTTTTCTTAAATGTGAAGTGCTGGAGGTGGGAGGTGGGTGGGTACTGAGTGGAGAAAAAATGCCTTTTATGGATTGTCTGTTAAGCCTTGTGAAGTTGGAGCTATGTCTCAGTGCCAGACAACTGTGCCTGCTGACTTAATGGCTCTGAAAGATGACAAGGCTTAAAAAATCGACTGTCACTGCAGCACTTGGAACAGATTGAAATAGAGCACTTGAGTCATCTGTTAACGTTGCCACTCTGGGCCCCTGTCATGCAATGCCCAGTTAGAGGCAGGAATGTATTTTAAAAAAAACTTTGATTCAATTCTGATGGCTAAGGTGCCCTGTCTCAGGTGAGGGGACTGTGGGATGGACACTGCTGCTTGGCAAATACCCAACTTCCAGTAGCTGCTTTGCAGCTGAAGGGTGCAGCTGGGTTGCTGTGGTTAGTAAACAGTGATGTTCCCAGTAGAGCTCATGACAAGGGCTAGGAGATATATACTGTACTGTCTGCAATGCCCCTGTATCTACTCTGTTTGAAATAATCCTATAATCCTTGGCATGCCACATAGCCCAGTGCCCACATGTGTTCCCAATGCTTGTACATCTGTACCTACAGCCCCACCCACAGCCTCCTGCCAGACTATCTCTAACCCAAACTTCACACCAAGCCTTGTCTAGAACTCACCTCCAATGTTATGGAAATTATTAAGAGCATGGGGTTTAGAATCAGAGGAGCTCTAAATGGAAAGTCCCCACTGTTCCAAAGGTACATAAAACAAACCCACACAAACTGAAGAATGCCTGACTGCATCGAATCAGGATGTCAGCGGAAGCCAGTATAGCTCAGATGGTATATTTGGGTTTCTTAAGTATTACTGTGTAAGAGGTGCAATGTGTGTTTTGTTGAACAAGGTGGACAAGGGCCTTTGGGAGGTAGAGGTGGGTTTACAGATATGATGGCAGGTAGGGCTGGAGGGCAAATGTATGAGAAGACCAATTGGCTTTGAATCCAGCTCCATTAACTACCAGCTGTGTGACCTTGGACAAGTTACTACCTAACCTCTCTGTCCTTCTATTTCCCCACCAGCTCTAAAATGTCGAGATGAATAATAGTATCTAACTTTTGGGTTGCCATAAAGATTAGATCAGTCAGAAGTGCAAGTGTCTGCCACTGTGTTAGTTCTCAGAGAACTTTAGTTAAAAAAAGAAAACCAATAAACAGAATGTAGGATCTTATTTTCAACCCAGGAAGATGGAGAGAATTGGTACAAGTGGAGGTAGCTAGATGATATGGAATAGGAAGTCCCATGAGCTTCTATAGCCATTAGCCTGGGGGAATTGATAACCTTGTCTTATATGAAGTATCATGACAGCCCCAATGGGTACTATTGACCAGAAAGAAAATCTGTAATACTGGAAGAGGGAAATGCAGTAGGGAAAAAAATATGTTTGTAAAAAGTAATTTATACAAGGTTTGATGGTTTGGCGGTGCCACTTGAGGAATGTTCTGCATGTTGTCTGGGTTTCTACTATGGAAGTATAGGAATATTAGTGAGTTTGAAAGGACAAGTCTTGATTGGAAAGAGAGCTGAAGACTACCATGAGATGAAGAGGAAGCTCTGGGGAATTTCTTTCTATAATCATAAGAATGAGGTAAGACAAGGACACAGCTGAAGTTCATCCATATGGAACAGAAGGCCCAGGTCTTGTCAAGTTGTGTGGATACCACTCCCAGATTACAAAGACTGGCTTCCCATTAATGAAATTATACCGACACGTGTCACAAGCTAATGAAGAAAATGTTAACCACAGGCAGGACAAAATGTGGACTTGCCTGATCCACTGTGAGAGAGGGTCTGCAGGGAAATTTGGGAGGGGCTCATAGAGAACAGTGAGATCACAAGCAGAAGGCTAGCGCCATGCATAGTGGATATGGAATGGGCGGCAGCATTCTGTAGAGCATCTTGGAGGGTATGTTTAACTGACATCAT
The DNA here is from genome assembly GCF_000001405.40 of Homo sapiens. Lineage (NCBI taxonomy): Eukaryota > Metazoa > Chordata > Mammalia > Primates > Hominidae > Homo > Homo sapiens. Next base: position 22,707,797 of record NC_000016.10, read on the forward strand.
ATTTTGAACCCAATAGTATAGTAATTTGGGGAAAATTAATAGAAGAACCCATACATGTACAGACACACACACACACACACACAAAGATATGTAATTAGATATTTTGATCAACACACTTTTCGTTGTTGTTGTTGTTGTTGTTTTTTCTGAGACAGGGTCTCACTCTGTTGCCCAGGCTGGAGTGCAGTGGTGCAATCATAGCTCACTGCAGCCTCGACCTCCTGGGCCCAAGCTAGCCTCCCACCTCAGCCTCTTGAGTAGCTAGGACTACAGGTTCATGCCACCACACCTGGCTAAGTTTTTTTTTTCTTTAATTTTTAGTAGAGACAGGGTCTCATTATGTTGGCTAGGCTGTTCTCAAACTCCTAGGCTTAAGTGATCCACCAGCCTCGGCCTCCCTAAGTGTTGGGATTACAGGCATGAGGCACTGTGCCTGGCTGATCAACATACTTTTTAGTCAAGTATATTTAGTATTTTGTTGAAGCTTTTAGAATCCTGTGGGAGAGAAGTAAAACCATTAATAAAGTGTTGGTACTTAATCAGACTTTTAAGCAAGTACATGGGCAATAAACAATAATTTGTGCAAATAGCAATAAGGCCTGGCTGGGTGCAGTGGCTCACGTCTGTAATCCCAGCACTTTGGGAGGCCGAGGCAGGTGGATCACCTGAGGTCAGGAGTTTGAGACCAGCCTGAACAACATGGTGAAACCCTGCCTATATTAAAAATACAAAAATTAGCTGGGTATAGTGCTGCGTGCCTGTAATGCCAGCTACTCGGGAGGCTGAGGCAGGAGAATTGCTTGAACCTGGGAGGCAGAGGTTGCAGTGAACAGAGATCATGCCATTGCACTCCAGCCTGGGTGACAGAGCGAAGCTCTGTCTCAAAAAAACAAAACAAAACAAAGCAATAAGGCCTAAATTGAAAACAGTGAAGTGGAAGATGAAGAGAACTTGGATGGCAAAACAAACAGAACCCAAACTGGACCTTGATAAAACCAGCACCAGGTAATGTTTGTTGAGTCTTGTGCACGGGATGAGACTTCTACATGTATCAACCCTCACAGCATCCCAGTGACATAGGAATTATCTCCAGCATACCAGCGAGGGAACCAAGGCACAATAGCTGCTATGTGGTAGCGTCAGAATTGGAAAAAAAGCCTGGGGGCTGAGTATGCCACCGTCTTATCCTTTACTATTTCTTTTATAGAAACAAAAATCAGAACTGCAGGTGTAAATCATTCATACTTCGGTTGTTTTTGGTTATTTCCCCATTTGGAGCAAAATGTATATAGTTCTCATTCCTTGGTGGAGACTATATAATTCTAAATAAATCTTTTTGTGGTCTTCGTAAAGTCTTGCACTGAAAAATCCCTCCAGGTATAGTAATCGGTGGAAATCTTGGCAGGGTGGACCCTATTTATTCTGCTATTGTAGTGAAAATTCTGTTGCCCAAGCAACATATCTGAACAGCCTACTTCACAGATCCATTAAGATGTCTCAGGCACATCAGATTAATATGTCCAAGGCTGGACTGAAATATGTTCTGAAGCTTTTTTTTTTTTTTTCCATCGGTGGCACCACTGTCCTGGTCACTCAGGATATGAGCCTGGGATCCTTGATGTCTTCTCTCTCTTTCAATTTCCACACGTATGTCCAGTTGGGCATCAAGTCATTGGGTGCTAGTTCTTAAATGGCCCTCAGACAGGGCTTTAGTTCCATCCCTACTGCCTCTACCCCAGTTCTGGCCCTCTCAGACTCATGACAATTGCAACAGCCATTTTCTAACTGGTGACCCTACTTGTGTTTTGTCATCTTGTTTTTAATGCTTCTTTTTTTTTTTTTTTTTGAGTCAGGGTCTCACTCTGTCACTCAGACTGAAGTGCAGTGGCATGATCACAACTCACTGCAGCCTCCAATTTCTGAGCTCAAGCAATCCTCCTGTCACAGCCTCCGGAATAGCTGGGACTACAGGTGCATGCCGCCACACCTGGCTGATTTTTTTTCTTAATATTGTAGAGATGGTGCATCTTACTATGTTGCCCAGGCTGGTCTTGAACTCCTGGCCTCAAGCGGTCCTCTGGCCTCAGCCTCCTAAAGTGCTGGGATTACAGGCATGAACCACTGCACCTGGCCAATGTTTTCTTTCTTTTTCTTTTTCATTTTATTGTTTTCCTCAATTAACTGTTTTGATTTCTGTTGCCTTTTGAAAAACCTTGGGAGGCATGCACTTTGATTGTAATCCCATCAGTAAATACCTTTAAAATTTAAAAATAAAAAATTAAACCTATAAAATGATCAAAATCAATTTCAGAACTACAATTTAGGGGGTCTTCTTTCTATAGAAGATAAGAAATTAGTTTTGAGACTTTTCCCTTCCCCAGTCTCTGTGATTTTAATTCCATCACTTTTTAAAATTATTTAAAAAACCATTTGGAGGGAAATCAACTTTGTATCCATACTAAAACAATATAGAGTTATTGTGTCTATTCCACTGTATCCACACTGAAACAGTATTTTGGAGTTATTGTGTCTATTCTATTAAACTTGGCTTCAGTACTCACAACATGTTCTTTTTGGCCACTGTTTCCTTATTCTTGAGTATTTATCTTTGATTGCTATTTCATTTTTCTGGTGTGGGTCTTCAAGAACTTTATTCAGGATGGATCTTTGCATGCCAATGTTTCAGAAAACTCTTTGATGACTTCTCCCCAAATGACAACTTGGCTGGACATAGAAATCTTTGGTCATAACTCTTTAGTGCTTTGTAAATAATGCTTCATTTTTTTTTTGTTCTATCATTTAGTATTGCAGAATGCAAGTCTGAAGCCAACATGATATTGCTCCCTGAATACTTGTTGGCGTTAACTTTTTCCCAATTATTTCTACATGTGGATCTTATTTGCCTAAGCAAAAGTCCAGTCTTCATTTTCAAGCTATTGTCTTCATTTAGATCCAGAGTTCCTCTTCTTTTATTTGGTAGTGTGTTTTCTCCTTTTGAGATTTGTTATTTGTTTTTGGGTTTGCTCATACTTTTTGTCACTTTGCTATTTCCTCCGAGTTTAGTGCGAGAGGGGAGTGAGTTTTCTCAAGTGTATCTTCACTGATTCTGTCTTCTGTGTGGCCTTCTCTCCTATGTGCAACCTCCAAAGTGGCTTCTAATTAGATTATTGTGCTTTTCATCTTTAGATAACCCTTCCTGACCTACAATTAATTTCTCATTATGACTACACGCTCCAGTTCCATAGATTAAAAAGACTTATTGGATCTTGTTGAGATCACACATCAAATATTAAAAAGGTGCTTTTCTCTTTCCCTTCCGCTCTCTCACCTTTATCTTCCTCTTCTTCTTCCTCTTTCTTTTTCTTCTCTTTTGTTTTTGGGCAGTAAGTTAGTTTTCCTTGACTCTATAGAGAGGTTTCCTTCCTTTGAACTGCAAAATGTTTTTCTATGCCTCATACTTCTCTTATTTCCCCAGATGGTTATAAGAGGAACCTTCCAGTCCACACTTAAGGAGAAAAGGCAAAACAAAACCCAGAGGAATTCAGAAGCTTAGGAGGTATTGAGCCTGGTGGGGAGAGAAGACTTAAGAATAATGGAAGGAATAGAGTCTTTGGGAGACCCCTGTATGGGGCTTTGTCATAGATGCTACAAACGAAACCCAAGTCTCTCTATGCTACATCCTGGACCCAGAGGTGTCATGTGTATAACACAAGGTATAAAAGATGACAGAGGTTTTCCCCAACAATATAAAAGGATCTCACCAAACATGGATCTGCAAAGAAAAGGTTTTACTCCATCAATCACCAGTTGAGAGTTGGTTCAGCCAGGAAGTCCTGAGTTTGGGTTTTGAAACCCACTCTCCCATCCCTGCTCATCTAGGGAAGCCGGATTCTAAGCTTAGTCTTCAGCCCTTTTAAGTATACCCAAAAATATGTTCAGTGACACTGCTGTAGGTGCCAGGGCTACAGTGGTGAGTCTTTGCTCTCAAGGAGATTACAATTTATGGGGTACTAGTTGGACGTTAATCTAAGAATGATACTAATAAATGCAAATAAAGGCTAATTACAAATTGGGAGTGTGTAACTGGGAGCGGGCAGGGAGATCTGGGATGCTTCCTAGAGGAAGTGATATTTGAGCTGTGATCTGAAGGGTGAGTAGGAATTAAGTGAACTAAGTGGGTGGGGATGGGGAGGGAAGGGCACACAAGGCAGAGGATGTTTGCAAGCTAAGTATTCCCAGTGGGAGGAAGCGGGGACTATTTGAGGAATCTGAATAAACAGCTCCTGTGGTTGGAGTGCAGGTGCAGGAGGAAGGCTGCAGGGTAGGTGGGGGGAGGCAGAGGTCCAGATGCTGTGTCATAATTATGGGCCTAGGTTTCCTCTTGAGAGCAAGGTTGGGGGGCCCTGGAAGGGCTTCCTTGAAGGGTGGAGCTGGAAGGGAGGAATGACTCATTCAGATTCTGCCTTTTGGTAAAGTTAATTCTAGAATCACAGACTCTCCTGGCTGGGGGAGCAGGTAATGAGGGGGAGGAGGAATAGATTAAGAAACACCTACCAGCACATGAGCATCAGCTGTGCCCTTGTAGAAGGGAGTGGTGTTTTTTGTTTTGTTTTGTTTTGTTTTTTTAACTTCCTTTGTGAAAACCAGGTGGTTTGTCCAAGCATCGGTCAGGATGGGTTGGGGAAATTGGTTACTTATTTGGGCTTCTTATCCACCCCTTCTTCGTAGGGTGGGGGAGGACAACCTCCCCTGCTGAATCCATGGAATTTAGTCCATGGGGCTGGTCACAGCCCAAGGAAGCCTGTGCTACAGGTGTAACCACCCAAAGGGTTCATTTTGCCCACTGCCCAGATAGGGCCAATTTCTCAAGACAGGTGAATTGCAATAGAGAAAGAGTTTAATTCATGCAGAGTCGGCTGAATAGGAGACTGGAGTTTTATTATTACTCAAATCAGTCACCCTGAAAATTTGGAGACTGACCAGAGTTTTTAAAGGGTGATTTGGTGGGTAGGGGTCCAGGGACTGGGGAGTGCTGAAGCCGATTCGTACGGTCAGATGAAATCAGCTGAGTTGAAGCTGTCTTCTTGCACTGAGTTGGTTCCTGGATGGGGGCCACAAGACCAGATGAGCCATTTCTTTGATCTGGGTGGCACCAGCTAATTCATTGAGTGGAGGGTCTGAAAAATATCTTGAGCACCAATCTTAGGTTTTACAATAGTGATGTTATCCCTAGGAGCAATTGGGGAATTTCAAAATCTTGTGGCCTCCAGCTGTGTGACTCCTAAACCATAATTTCTAATCTTGTGGCTAATTTGTTACCTTACAAAGGCAGTTTGGTCCCCAAGCAAGAAGGGTGTTTGTTTTGGGAAAGGGCTTCTATACTCTTTGTTTCAAAGTTAAACTATAATAAGTTCAACCCAAAGTAATTTGGCCTATGCCCAGGAGTGAACAAGGACAGCTTGGAGGTTAGAAGCAAAATGGAGTCAGGTCAGATCTTTTTCACTGTCATAATTTTCTGACTGTTAAAGTTTTTGCAAAGGTGGTTTCACAGGAACCAAGCCTCTCACCCTGCCCTTGCCTGCAGCCCAAACCCCTCCAACTTAGAAGATACTTCAGGGACTGGGGGGTGGATGGATGTTTCTAGCAGGTTCTCCCCATTATGTCCCCAGTACACCACCTTTTCCAGAAGGGTAATGGCATATCAGACTTCAAAGAACTCTTTTAGTCTGGTTTTGTCCACACTGCACTGTGCAGAAATTCCTTGAAACTCCTGCTATGTCACTTGCATCCCATCTGTGTCTTCTATTAACCACCGGTGAGTGGAGGAGCTAGAAAGCTGTGCTCACACACACAAAATAGATCTTTTGAAATGAACCTCTAAATAGCCTTTCCCAGACCAGTCTGGGCAACATAGCAAGAAACTCTCTCTACAAAAAATTTTTAAACATTATCCAGGCATGGTGTCCTGTGGCTGTAGTCCCAGCTACTCAGGAGGCTGAGGCAGGAGGATTGCTTGAGCCTAGGAGTTCAAGGCTGCAGGGAGCCATGCTTATGCCACTGCACTTCAGCCTGGGCAACAGAGCAAAACTCAAACAACAACAACAACCAAAAAACACCACCACCACCACCAACAAAAAACCTTTCCAAAAAAGTAAACCAGTTTATATTGCTCAAAACAATAAGCAAGAATGCCTGCTCTGTTCCTTTGCTGGGTATTTTTGGGACGTCTGCTACTTTTTGGGATGAAAATATTGTATCTTATTCCTTGGATTTGCGCTTCCTTCTGTGAGCTTGCTTGTGAATCCTGTTTTCTCTTTCATCAATGTCTGTTCAGGCTGCAGTGGGTTAATTTAAAATGGCAGGTCTCCCTGCAGGGGAGATACAACTAATTACACTGGCTCTGGGAGATCTCTGAGCTCATTCCAAGGTAGATCAGAGACGACTTTTGAAAATGTATTCATTGCTGGGTGGCTTTTGCAGGAGAAATGAGGGAGGGACCTGTTCTTCTTCAGTACTAATTGGTTGGCCATGTGCAATGTGAAAAGTAGTTCTTGGAATCTGTTCTGTTGTAGGTTTTTATTTTTTATTCTATAGCCGAGAGACTTGTTATCACTAGAAAATTCGATAAATTAATGGACTCTGAAAATCAATAAAATAATTAACAGGACATTTCTGGGTGAAAAGAATTTTTTAAAATTGGAAGTTAATATGACTGATGACAGGGGTTAAGCAGGTAACAGAGTGAGGCCAGCCGGGTCGCGGAAGGGAATAGTCAGGGTGTCACTGAGGAGAATCCGAAAGTGGATTTCCTGATAATGGGATTGCTGGGTTGAGTCGTAGCTCTCTTTTAAGTTCTTTGAGATATCGTCACATTGCTTTTCACAATGGCTGAACTAATTTACATTCCCATCAGCAGTGTAGAAGCATTCCCTTTTGTCCACAACCTTGCCAGCATCTGTTATTTTTTGACTTTTTCATAACCATTCTGACTGATGTGAGATGGTATCTCACTGTGGTTTTGATTTGCATTTCTCTAATAATTAGTGATGTTAAACAGTTTTTCATATGCGTAGGAAAATAAATCATTCTACCAGAAGGACAGATGCATGCGTATATTCGTTGCAGCACTAGTCACAGTAGCAAAGACAAGGAATCAACCTAAATGCTCATCAGTGGTAGACTGGATAAAGAGAATGTGGTACATATATACCATGGAATATTATGCAGTCATCGAAAAGAATGAGATCATGTCCTTTGCAGCAACATGGTTGGAGCTGGAGGCCATTATCCTAAGCAAATTAATGCAGGAACAGAAAACCAAATACCACATGTTCTTACTTATAAGTGGGAGCTAAATGTTGAGAACACCTGGACACAAAGAAGAGAACAACAGACACCAGGGCCTACTTGTGGGTGGAGGGTAGGAGGAGGATTAGAATGGAAAAACTATTTATGTGGTACTATGCTTATTACCTAGATGATGAAATAATCTGTACACCAAATAACCGTGACATGCGATTTACCAATATAACAAACCCGTGGGCTGGGCACGATGGCTCACACCTGTAATCCCAGCACTTTGGGAGGCCTAGGTGGGCGGATCATGAGGTCAGGAGTTCGAGACCAGCCTAGCCCACATGGTGAAACCCTGTCTCTACTAAAAATACGAAAATTAGCTGGGCGTGGTGGCGGGCGCCTGTAATCCCAGCTACTCGGGAGGCTGAGGTGGGAGAATTGCTTGTGAACCCAGGAGGCGGAGGTTGCAGTGAGCTGAGATTGCACCATTGCACTCCAGACTGGGTGACAAGAGTGCAACTCTGTCTAAAACAAAAAGCAAAAAACAAACAAAACAAAACAAAACAAAACCCGTGCACGTAACCCTGAACCTAAAATAAGAGTGTTTTAAAACAGAAAGCATATTTCCTGTCAGCTGCAGCTGACTCTAGCCATGTTGGAATGTGGGCCTAGTGTTGTCTTTCAGACTTTTTCCAATGAAGCTGAAATTCTGGATATTTATGTGAAATTAGTTGGCAGCTAAATTCAAAATATGTATGAAGGCCAATCAAAGCACACACATTATAGCCGACCAGTTTGCAGCATAGAGTCTAGATTGCAGAGTGAAGAAATTATTATTATTATTATTATTTTATTTTTATTTTTATTTTTGGAGACAGGGTCTCACTCTGTCAGCTCACTGCAAACTCTGCCTCCCGGGTTCAAGCGATTCTCCTGCCTCAGTCTCCCGAGTAGCTGGGACTACAGGCAGCCGCCACCACGCTCGGCTAATTTTTGTATTTTTAGTAGAGACAGGATTTCACCACGTTGGCCAGGCTGGTCTCAAACTCCTGACCTCAGGTGTTCCGCCTGCCTTGGCCTCCCAAAGTGCTGGGATTACAGGTGTGAGCCACTGCGTCCGGCAAAGAAATTATTTTATCTCAGTGATTTACATCTACTTGGGACCCTCACAAAAGGAGGGAAGATTAAATATTGGGCCCCTCAACCTCAGGGCTTTGTTTTTCTTTCCGTATTGGGAGAAGACTGGTATTTTCAGAGCTCTGCTCCTGAAGGACTCGATAAGTAAAGTGTGGAAACATAATCCATGTTTAACCCATCAACCTAACAGGGAGTGACCACTGGGGAAACCACCATGTGAGCCATCATGGGTGACAGCTCCAGCCTATCATTTTCTTAGCTGTACATGGGGTCCAGTGGAAGCTGTCATGTAAGATTGTATAGGTTGTGTACTGTTTAACTGTAGACAGTCTAATTTATACTGCAGACTATGTAAATGACAAACTGTGGGGCTGTGCAATGAAATCACACAAACCTTGTCAGACACCAGAATTCTCGTATTTAAGAATGGACAGTGATGTATACGTTTGGATGTATGCTTAGTATAACTGATGATATTTAGATTTAACTTTTTCACTTTATTGTGAGCTTCTTGAGAGGAGGCAATTTGCCTCATTCATCCTTCTATTACTAGGAATCCACACAGTGTTTGGCAAACTCTAGACAAAACAATTTTTTTCTGCATAAAATGTCCAGCAAGCAATTGAAAGTATGCTTTTGGAGACTGGGAAAAAGTTAGATTTGGAGGTGGAGATTTGTGACTCATCAGTGACTTCTTCAAGATATTGGAGTAACTGGCATTGGCGGGAGAACATGGGAGACAGGAACCTGGGGTGATGGAGGAAGAGAGAATGTATTCATTAAGGAGGTTGAGGAGGAAGGGTGTGAGGTGTGCAATCAGGAGATATGTGGTCACAAAAAGCAAAAAATAAAAAACAACAAACAACCCCCCCCATTACTGCATCCTCATGGTCAGCACATAATATTCTCAATAAATATCTGGCAAATAAATAAATGAACAAAATAGTGAACAATGGGCATTGCCAAGTCCTGTAGAGAAATCATGTAGAATGCAGATTGATGCAAGGTCATTGGGTTAAAGAGAGTCGTTTATAGTGACTCTATAGTCACTATAAATAGTCATTTAGTGACTTTGAGAAGAGCAGTAGCGGTCTCACTAGAGTGATAGGGGCAGACCTTTGACTTGAGTGGGTTAAAAGAATGAGCTTAGCTGTCTCTTCTTCCAGAGAGCTGTGTGTGACTGCCTTAGTTGCCCCGTGACCTCCTGATTGAGTTTATGTTCATATATGCCCTGCTATAACACTCTGTATTCAACACCTAATGAAATAATTATTACTCAGTATTACATTTGTTGGCACTTCTCTGTAGCCTTCATGAATCTGTAAGCTATGTGAGCACTGAGACTCTAACCTGATTCCTTTTACATCAACCCTCATGGTTTAAGTAATGGTGTATAGTTAAGGTGTTCATAGATATTTTTTGAATAGCAATAACTAAGAAGACAGAGAAAAGTAACTGGCATACCATATAATAAATGTAGGCTTGAGAAACACACAAACCTAAATGGATGTAGAGTGGAAGGAAAAGTTGATTATTCCTGGTAGGGACATTACTAAGTTTCCACAAGGAGATTCACAGAGATCTTTCACAGCAGAAACAGCTGAGAGAACAAAGTATCCATTTTGGACTTCTTAAAATGCCACTTAAAACACAGGGCCATGTTTTTCTACCTTTTTCAGACCTAAGAAATGAGAAGAATAACTTTCTCAGCAGTAAGAGTTTCTGAGGTAAGAGCAATCAGGGAGGTTTTGTAAGTCTGAGCTTCAATAAAATAAAACTGGAGGTTAGAATCCAACAGGGCTTCCGGCCAGCAAACAAATATTTATCGAACGTGGAAAAGTGTTCAAAATGTATTGCTAAATAAACAGCAGGCTACAAAATAATATGTACCTTTTTAAAAATGCATTTTTCTTTTCCTTTCTGAAAACATGAGTATTTCTTAGAAATAAACAGATGTGTAGAAAATATTTGATCATGTCACTCCCCTGCTTTAAATCCCTCCATAGCTTTCCATTGCTTTGGAATAAAGTCCAAAATCCTTAGGCAGATTTATTAGGTTGGTGCAAAAGTAATTGTGGTTTTTGCCATTGCTTTTTAAAAAACTTATTTATATTTTATTTTCTAATTATATATATATTACAATGTATTCACTAAATAAGGAGTGCTCTGTCCTGCTATAGATTTCTTTCTTTCTTTTTAAATTTTACCTCAAGTTCTGGGATACATGTGCAGAACGTACAGGTCTGTTACATAGGTATACATGTGCCATGGTGTTTTGCTGCACCCATCATCTAGATTGCATCTAGTGTCATCTAGGTTTTAAGCCCTGCATGCATTAGGTATTTGTCCTAGTGCTCTCCCTCCCCTTGGCCCTCACCCCTCAAGAGGCCCCAGTTTGTGATGTTCCCCTCCCTGTGTCCATGTGTTCTCACCATTCAACTCTCACTTACAAGTGAGAACATGTGGTGTTTGGTTTTCTATTTCTGTGTTAGTTTGCTGAGGATGATGGCTTCCAGCTTCATCCATGTCACTGCAAAGTACATGAACTCATTCTTTTTCATGGCTGCATAGTATTCCATGGTGTATATGTGCCACATTTCTTATCCAGTCTATCACTGATGGGCCAGAATCCAGCAGCACATCAAAAAGCTTATCCACCACGATCAAGTCGGTTTCATCCCTGGGATGCAAGGCTGGTTCAACATATGCAAATCAATAAATGTAATTCATCACATAAACAGAACCAATGTCATTGCTTTTAAAAGTAATGGCAAAAACTGTGATTACTTTTGCACCAACTTAATACAAGCCTTTTGATGACCTGGATTTGCCTGTCTCTCTGCCATCTCCTGACCCTGCTTTCTCACCCCTGCACCACTCTGATCATGCATTCCCTCTTTCTCCAGCCATGCCGGACTTCTGCACATGCTCTACTGTTCTGGGACAGTCTTTTTTCTCCTTCCCCCACTGGCCTCCCAAATTCTTACACAAAGTTGAGATACCAGCTAAAATGTCACTTCCTTTCAACTCTCTCTGCTTCTCTGTTTAGTTATTCTGATTTATATATTCTCTCAGCACATGGTACATCTTCTGCTTAAGTTCCCATGACACTGTTGTCATTTCTCCTTTAGCATCCACCTTGCTCATTAGATTGTGTTTTCGGCAACTTGCTCACTATGGTAGTCTTTATGTTTAGCACAGTGCCTGCAAGACCATAGGTGCTCCGTAAAGATTTATAGAATGAATGAATGAATGAATGAATGAATACGTTCAGGGGCTGCACAGAAAGGGAGAGCTCAAGGGTCTCATTCATTGGTCAGCCTTTGGGGATGGAATAGGTGGTGACAGTTATAAAGGGACCCAAGGGTCTAAAGCCTGAGAGAATAAAAGCCCAGGGAACCAGCCTGGGCTGGGAACAGTGGCACTAAGCTTCACACTAAAAGGCTGATCCCCGAAAAGGGGATGTTTCAGTTAGGCCTTGAATGAAGAGACTGCCTGGGGAACTTGCACAGGTAAAGCCTATAGGGTGGAAAGTGTTTACTGTCCAGAGTGACAAAGGGCTTAGGGTGAGCAGAAATGGAGAAGAAGGGTATGATTAGTAAAGTGACATAGGACAAGATTGTAGGTCCAGATTGCAAAAGCCATTTAGCCAGTCACTTCGGGCTTTAGGAATCACAGAGCCATCCAAGATTGGTTTTGTTTTGTATGAATATTTAACAAGCAGCTTAATAATTGGAAACAATGCCAATTAGTTCTCTGTCATCGTTTCCATGTCACGTTTGCAAATTCAGCACACACAGATATGCCATGAGCTATGTCAAAGAAAACCCAAAACATACAAACAGCTCATTTGATCTGAAACTCTAAGCTCTTTTACTCAAAAAATGTTACAGGAAACAAGCTTATAAACGGTGTTTACAGGCAGTGTCATTTGGGAGCTAAAGCATTTCTGTTTTGCTGAAGCTCTTTAAAAAATTTATGGCAAGATCAACATTATAATGCCAATAAAGGGAATTTTAAAAAGGCTGAATAAATAAAGAAATGTAACCACTGGTTAAACACAGGAGGATATGACGAGACTTGAGCTGAAGAATTGTTAGACTAGAAGAGCTTTTAAAAATTTTTAAACGAAAATAATATATGTTCACTGTAAAAAAAAAAAAAGAGGGTGGAGGGGAAGAAACAAAACAATACAAATAGTTTTTTTTCGTTTTTGTTTCTGAGATGGAGCCTTGCTCTGTCACCCAGGTTGGAGTGCAGAGGCGTGATTTTGGCTCATTGCAACCTCTGCCCCCAGGTTCAAGTGATCCTCCCACCTTAGCCTCCTGAGTAGCCGGCATTACAGGGACATGCCACCATGCCAGGCTGATTTTTGTATTTTTAGTAAAGACAGGATTTTACTGTGTTGAGCAGGCTAGTCTTGAACTCCTGACCTCATGTGCTCTGCCCGCCTTGGCCTCCCAAAGTGCTGGTGTGAGCCACTGCACCCGGTCAAAATATTTCTTCTAGTAGTTACCTCCACATCTCTACATAATATGCAAAAACTGTTGTTTCTTGATTTATCAATTGTGGACATTATGTATTGACTGCCAGCCATGACGGATGAGGATTTAACTAATTTTTCACTACATTCCTTTTTCTTTTTTTTTGAGACAGAGTTTCACTCTTGTTTTCCAGGCTAGAGTGCAATGGCAGGATCTCAGCTCACTGCAACCTCTGCCTCCCGGTTTCAAGTGATTCTCCTGCCTCAGCCTCTGCAGTAGCTGGAATTACAGGCATGTACCACCACGTTCGGCTAATTTTGTATTTTTAGTAGAGACAGGGTTTCGCCATGTTGGCCAGGGTGATTTCAAGCTCCTGACCTCAGGTGATCTACCTGCCTTGGCCTCCCAAAGTGCTGGGATTACAGGCGTGAGTCACAGTGCCCGGCCACATTTTTTTTCTCTTCCCTGTCTTCCTGCTATGATTATCTTATTATATATATTTACCTTTGCAATTTTAGGGACAAATTTAGGCTAGAGTTTTACATTTTAGGCTGTTATAAAAGCAACGCTTATGACAGCCCTGGGGAAGGAGGCCAGGTGGCCGCAGGTGGCAGCAATATGGGTGGGTGGCAGGTGAGGAAGGACAAAGCCTTGGGGGCATCCTTCATGTTTCTCTTTCTCGGACAGTCCATGTCCATAGAACCAGATGATTCTCTTGGCTCTGCCTTCAAAATATATCCAATTAGACTGCATCTCTCGATGCCTGCGATGCTTCCATTCCGATCTAAGCCCTGTCTTCTCTTGCCTGCGTTATTGTAATTGCCTTCTGATGGGTCTCCCTGTTTCTGCTATTGCCTCTCTGCCAAAGGAGACATTTAAAATGTAAGTCAGAGCACACCACTTGTATTCTAACCACACACCTCCCCCCCACCGCCCCCATACCTCTCCACTTCAGAGTCAAAGCCAACTCCCTGCTGCCACATCTGGACCACAGCTGCTGCCTGGGTTTCACTGCCAAGACGCTCTTCCTTTCTCCCTCTGTTCCACACTGGCCTGGATGTTTGTTCCTCAACGAAACCAAGCACACTCCCACCTCCGAACCTGCGCATTTTGATCCCTCTGTCTAGAATATTCCGACCCCAGCAATCTGCATGGCTCATTTCCTTTCACCAGCTGCTCTGGAGGGAGTGGCACTAAAGCCAGGAAATGGCAGGTGCAGATCAGCATTTGAGAGAGCTTGACAAGTGGGGTAGGAGGAGAATCGGGCACCAGGGAGGAGGAGGACCCAGCCATGCCTCTAACATGATGGCCTCAGGCCTGATTTTTGGTTAAAGTAGAAGGAGCAATGGGAAAGGGAGAGGCTAGAACCTGAAAAAGAAGGAAAAGTGGACTGGGCACGGTGGCTGATGCCTGTAATCCCCGTGTGTCCAGACTTAGTGGGTGCTTGGTCTCACTGACTTCAAGAATGAAGCCGCGGACCCTCGTGGTGTTACAGTTCTTAAAGGTGATGTGTCCAGAATTCGTTCCTTCTGATGTTTGGATACGTTCGGAGTGTCTTCCTTCTAGTGGGTTTGTGATCTCGCTGGTTTCAGGAGTGAAGTCGCAGACCTTCACAGTGAGTGTTTACAGCTCTAAAGGCAGCACATCCATAGTTGTTCATTTCTCATGGTGGGTTCATGGTCTCGCTGGCTTCAAGAGTGAAGCTGCAGACCTTGGCAGTGAGTGTTACAGCTCGTAAAGGTAGTGCAGACCCAAAGACTGAGCAGCAGCAAGATTTTTTGCAAAGAGCCAAAGAACAAAGCTTCTACAGCGTGGAATACGACCTGAGCAGGTAGCCACTACTGGCTCGGGCAGCTGCTGCTGGCTGCTTTTATTCCCTTATCTAGCCCCACCCACATCCTGCTGATTGGTCCATTTTACAGAGAACTCATTGGTCTGTTTTACAGAGAGCTGGTTGGTCTGTTTTGACAGGGTGCTGATTGGTGCGTTTACAATCCCTGAGCTAGACACAAAAGTTCTCCAAGTCCCGCTAGATTAGCTAGGCACAGAGCACTGATTGGTGCATTCACAAACCCTGAGCTAGACACAGGGTGCTGATTGGTGCATTTACAATCCTTGAGCTAGACACAGAGTGCTGATTGGTGTATTTACAATCCCTTAGCTAGACATAAAGGTTCTCGAAGTCCCCACTACACTCAGGAGCCCAGCTGGCTTCACCCAGTGGATCCCGCACCAGGGCCACCAGTGGAGCTGCCCACTAGTCCCGCGCCTAGCCTGCGCCCACACTCCTCAGCCCTTGGGCGGTGGATGGGACCGGGTGCCGTGGAGCAGGGAGCGGAGCTTGTCGGGGAGGCTCGGCCACGCAGGAGCCCACGTGGGGAGGCAGCTGAGGCTTGGTGAGAATTTGAGCGCAATGTCGGCCGGCGGGCACTCCTGGGGCACCCGTCGCACCCTCCACAGCTGCTGGCCTGAGTGCTACGCCCCTTACCACCCGGGGCCGGTGGCGCTGGCCAGCAGCTCCGAGTGCCGGCCCGCTGAGCCCACGCCTACCTGGAACTCGCGCTGGCCAGCAAGCGCCGCACGCAGCCTCGGTTCCTGCCCGTGCCTCTCCCTCCACACCTCCCCGCAAGCTCAGGGAGCCGGCTCTGGCCTCGGCCAGCCCAGAGAGGGGCCTCCACAGCGCAGTGGTGGGCTGAAGGGCTCCTCGAGCATGGCCAGAGCGGACACCAAGGCCGAGGAGGCTCTGAGAGCAAACGAGGGATACGAGGGCTGCCAGGGCTGCCAACACGCTGTCACCTCTCACCAGCACTTTGGGAGGCCAAGGCGGGTAGATCACTTGAGGTCAGGAGTTCGAGACCAGCCTGGCCAACATGGTGAAACCCCATCTTTACTAAAAATACAAAAATTAACCGGGTGTAGTGGCACACACCTGTAATCCCAGCTACTCCAGAGGCTGAGGCTGAGGCACGAGAAGAACTTGAACCTGGGAGGAGGAGGTTGCAATGAGTCAAGATTGCACTACACTCCAGCCTGGATGACAGAGCAAGACTCCGTGTCAAAAAGGAAAAAAAAAAAAAAAAAAAAAACCAAAAAGTTAATGGGGGAAGAATGTCCCTAAGGAGGGAGAGGGCGCAAGATGAAAAGGATAAGGGTATGAAACAAAATTAATTAACAAGTTCATGGCTGAGAGCCATACTTTTCTCTACAAAATGGAAGGCAGGGTCCAATCCAAGGGGGCTGGGGCCAACTTAGGGGACAGAGAAGTGATCACGTGGGTTTCAAGCTCATCAGCTGCTGAGGGGTACAGGAGAGGGAGATGACAAGGGGAGTATAAATGGATTTCCCAGGGAGGGATAGCATTAGGAGAAATACCTAATGTAGATGATGGGTTGATGGGTGTGGCAAACCACCATGGCGCATGTATTCGTATGTAACAAACCTGCACATTCCGCACATGTATCCCAGAACTGAAAGTACAGTTAAAAAAAAAAAAAGTGAAAAAAAAAAAGATGATGTTTCCACTGAGGCGCACTAATTGTGAGCGAAGTAGGATCATGGATAAACATCAGCAGGTAGGTTTTGCATTTGCTCAGTGTGAGACAACTATTGTATGCCTACATAGTGCATGGCCTTGTGCTTCCTGATCCATTCTTCGTGATTCCCTTGCTCTATGTGTATGGCAGGTCTTCACCCCTGCAGGTAGTGTTTCCCAGGCTACCTTGTCAGCTAAATCTTGGCAGCATATGGCCCCTATTAAGAACTGGCTGGAGCTTGGAAGGCAGAATAAGGCAAAAAGGCGAGTATTTCTCCCTTTTTTTTCCCTGTGCTTTAAGTGTGGTTTCCATCAGCAGCTACTTCTCTTCCATGACTCCAGGTTCCTCCACGCAGTTCCGGGTTGTCCTCATTTATTCCCGTCCAGTAACTCTGCCTTCTGCTTTTCCCCCTGTAGTGAAAGAATGGCAAAAACATCTCCTCTTACCTGAGGCTTATGAGCTCTTCTAACATCTGCATAAACGACTTCATAAATTAAATTATCTCTATTTCAAATTTTAAAAAAAGGATTTCCCTGAATGCTGAGTGACCCAGCAAAACTGGAGTTGAATTTGAAGTCTCCACATTTGTGCTTGTATGATGTATGCTTTTCCCCTAGCAGTGCTTGGCAGTATGTTGTAATAATAACAACAACAATAATGATAACTAACATTTAATAGAGGATTATTATTTTCCCTATTTAAAAAATGAGGAAACTGAGGCACAGAGAGGTTACATAGTCAGTGAGTAGTCAGTGTTACTCAGGGTTCTCCAGAGAAACAACGGAACCAATAGGATATTCATTCATTCATTCACTCATTCAGAATTGGCTCATGTGATTATGGAGGCTGACAAGTCCCAAGATCTGCTATCAGCAAGCTGGAGATCCAGGAGAGCTGATGGTGTAGTTACAGTCTGAACGCTGGTAACCTTTATAGCCAGAAAGAGCACATGCTGCACTTTCAGTCTGAAGATAGGAAAGAACAAATGTCCCAGTTGAAAGAACTGTCAAGCAGAAGGAATTCCCTCTCACTTATGGAAATGCCAGACTTTCTATTCTATTTCTGCCTTTAACTGATTGGACAAGGCCTGCCCACATTAGGGAGGAAAATCTGCTTTACTCAGTTTACCTATTCAAATGTCAGTCTCATCAGAAACACCCTCGTAGACACTTGTAGAATAATGCTTGACAAATGTCTGAGCATCCCATAGACCAGTCAAGTAGATGCATGAAATTAACCATCACGGTGGTGGAGCCTCAATTCAAACCCAGGCAATCTCTACCCATTGGAGTCTGAGGCTGAGCAATTTTTGAGATAGTGGCTGAAATATTGTGGAGTGATTGAAGTAATGCTCTAATGGAAGTGTAAGCTGGGAAATACTAGTACTGATGATATTACTACTAATAATTATTGCTTTTAGAGATCAAGCCAAGATAAAGGTTTGGGAGTGGGAGGTATTGGAAGTCTCCAGGGAGCTTAGGAAACAGTTGAAACAAAAGTGCTGAAAGGTGTATTATGGAAGGTATAGGAGAAGCTGCTGCAACAGAAGGACCAGAAAATACAGAGGTTTAAACAGAATGGAAGTTTATTTCTTCCCACATAACAGTTCAGAGGTGGGTGAGAAGGGTTTGCCAACCCCGATACATAGTTACCATCTCTAGCCCAGCTTCTCCAGTTGTTAGCACCTCCCAGCCAATGGGAAGAAGGATTGCACAGAGCAGTGCATGGCTACCTTTTCTAGGATCTGCACCTGAGCTGTCTGCCATGGCGACCATCTGTGGCTATTGCGCACTTGAAATATGGCAAGTGAGAATGAGGACGTGAATTTTGTATTTAATTTCATTCTAATTAGTTTAAATTTACATTTTGAAAAATCATACTCCATTCACTTATTTTTAAGGATGTTTGAATAACTTTTAAGGATGTTTGAATAACTTGGATATATTGAATGTGCTTTTTCAACTACAAATTGTATAAAACTGAAATACAGATCAACTCTCCCTTCCTTCCTTTCTTCCTCCCCCGCTTCCTTTTTCTTTTTCTTTCTCTTTCTTTCTTTCTTTTTCTTTTCTTTCTTTCTTTCTTTCTTTCTTTCTTTCTTTCTTTCTTTCTTTCTTTCTTTCTTTCTTTTTCTCTTTTTCTTTCTCTTTCTTTTTGAGACAGGGACTTGCACTGTCACCCAGGCTGGAGTGCAGTGACACAATTATAGAGGACTGCAGCTTTGACCTCCTGGGCTCAGGTGATCCTCCCACCTCAGCCTCCCTAGGAGCTGGGACCACAGGTGTGCTCCACCATGCCCAGCTAATTTTTGTATTTTTTATAGAAACGGGGTTTCCTCATGTTGCCCAGGCTGATCTCGAACTCCTGGGTTCAGGTGATCCACCTGCCTTTGCCTCCCAAAGTGCTGAGATTACAGACATGAGCCACTGTGCCCAGCCCAGATCAACTATTTCTAATGAAAATGTAGCATCTTCATTGAAATGTGCTGTGAGTGTAAAATACCCACTGGATTTTGAAGACTGAGCGTGGAAGAAAACAATATAAGGTATCTGATTAATACTTTCTTATATTGCTTACATGTTGAAATGATAATATTTTAGACATTTTGGGTTAAATAAAATATATTATTGAAGTTAATTTCCCTTGTTTCTTTTTACTTTTAAAAAATACAGCTACTAGAAAATTCAGAATTACATATGTGGCTCATGTTATATTTCTGTTGGACAGTGCTGGTCTAGACAACTAAAAAATGTACACGTCACTTGAGCTCACATCCATTGAGCAGGAATTAGTCATGTGTAGGCACCAACCTGCAAGGGATGCTGGGAAGTGTAGATGTCATCTCAGCTAAGCAGCCAAGTATCTGCAGAGAATTAGCAGTGATGGACAGTCAGCAGCCTCTGCTTTGGAAAGACCAGAAGTTATGATCAGAGATGGTACAGGCATGACAAGGTCCAGGATGTAATAGAGTGTAAATAGTTAATCCAGAGGAGGAGGTTAAGCAATTGTGGATAATCATTTTGTCATTAAATGCAAGATACTTATCTTCCTATTTAGTCTACCAAAAAGACACAAATACAATTCTTTTCAACAACTGTCTTGGACACTATTACCAAGTTGCACCTTAAATTTTAAGTGAGCATTACAATTTTATACATATCATCATATAATCCTTATAAGAGCCAGCACTCAGCACAATGCCTGGCTTGTTGTAGGTGCTCAACAAACATTAGTTGAACAAATATATGAATGAATTAGGCCATTTAGATGGAGATAAAAGAAAAGGAAGTAAAAAATACATAATTCATTTATTCAACAAATATTTGAGCATTTACTGTGCTAGGCACTGGGGATATAGCAGTGAACAAAAGAGACAATTCTCTTCTCTGGAGGAACAAGGCTTAAAATAAACAAGCAAGCATACAAATATTGTAATACGATATCAGTTCACAATAAGTACAGTCATGTGCTGCATGACAATGTCTCGGTCAATGACAGACTGCATTTGTATGATGATAGTCCCATAAGATTATAATACCGTATTTTTACCGCACGTTTTCTTTGGTTAGATACACAAATACTTACCATTGTGTTACAGTTGCCTACAGTATTCAGTACCACAACATGCTGTGCAGGTTTTTAGCCTAGGAGCAATCGGCTATATACCATGTAGCCTAGATATGTAGGAGGCTCTACCGTCTAGGTTTGCGTAAGTACACTCGATGATGTTTGCACAATGACAAAATCACCTGACATTGCATTTATCAGAGTGACGTGAGTAAGGTAGAATTGGAGATGTCTGTGGGAAGAGCATGACAGGTAAGAGGAACAGCAAGTTCAAAGACCCTGAGGCCAGAATGTGCTAGTGTTAGTGGAGTAACAGCCAAGAAGCCAATGTGGCTGGCAAGGAGTGGGTTAAGAGTAAGAATAACAGAAGATGAAGTCAGAACTGGTGACAGACTAAGATTGTATTTGATTTTTATCTTCAGTGAGAGGGAGACCCGCAGAAGAGTGTCCTTCTTTGAACCTGTTTAAAATTGTTACTGCACCTTTTTGTAAACAATTCCTGTCACAGAAGGCAAGGAGGTGTGAACAACCTTGTGAATGAGAGCCCAGGTAGGGAGAGAGCCAAGCTTTTTCTGACTTTTGCTAAAGAGCTTTCAGAAATTGGTTTACTTAGCTGTGTTTAGCATTCCCACACTTTCTCTTTGGCAGACTGAAGAGACAGCAAAGTGTTATTTTGGGCTTCCTTCCAGACTTGGAATTAGTTTGTTTTCGTCTTTTATCACAAACATCCTGCTGCCCTTTGACAGTATTCCTGGTAATGGAACCTTTTTGTTTTGTTATATTTTAATCTGCTTAGTGCATGTGGCTTGTCTATCTGGCTTCACAAATCACTGGTTATCATCACAGTCAATGGTCTGTGTCCAGCCAATTTCACAGACAAACACCTCTTTCCTGGTCACAGGCCCTGATGTGGGGAAGTCTGATTTACAAAGTCAATAAAAATGCATTCAGGGAATTACTGGGCCCTGCTGGCTTAATATACGAGATTAAAATCTCCAAGTTTGGGACAACGAGAAGTCATTTAAGACACGTAAGATGGCAAGTGGATTATGGAAATGTCAGCTGGTCAGGGTCAGGCACCACTGGGAGGGGATTTA